>NC_000024.10:2437897-2738307 GCF_000001405.40 Homo sapiens | reverse complement strand
AAATGGGAACACTGGCCACGTGTGCAAGCCATCGTTCCCCGTCCTTCTTACCAGCTGGCTCTGCGTTGGCATTCCGGTGGCTCTCCATGTCCACCTCCCCTTGTTCTGCTGAAAAGAAGAAGAAAATACACAGAGAGGCTCAGTGCAACAGATAACCCACTCCTCAAAATACACACAAAACACTTGGGCTTTCCTGAGGTCGACGCTCCTATTGCTTGGATGAGAGCACTCAGTTCTGAACCCCGAGACCCACTGGGAACATGGAGTCTAACACTCATGTAAGTGAAGACTTTGCCAGTATTTTTTCATGCATGGCACAGGCAGAGATGAACTTCAACAGGGTAATCCAAGCAGCTTCATTTTCCTCTATTTTAAGGGTTGCTTTCTTCTCCCTAAACACTGAGGAACACGCACATGGAAGCTCTTTCTATAAAAAAAAAAAAAGTACGTGCATCTGTGAAAATAAGATTCTTATTTATAACTGCCCCCAAACTCATCAAACAAATGCAGACGGCTGGGCGTGGTGACTCACGCCTGTAATCCCAGCACTTTGGGAGGCTGAGGCAGGTGGATCACTTGAGGTCAGGAGTTCGAGACCAGCCTGGCCAACATGGTGAAACCCCGTCTCTACTAAAAAATACAAAAGTTAACTGGGCGTGGTGGCGTGCACCTATACTCCCAGCTACTCGGGAGGCTGAGGCAGGAGGATCGTTTGAACCCAGGAGGTGGAGGTTGCAGTGAGCCGAGATCACACTATTGCACTCCAGCCTGGGTGACAGGGCAAGACTGTCTCAAAATAAAAATAAAAATAAATAAATAAAAATAAATGCAGAGGCTGGGCATGGTGGCTCACACCTGTAATCCCACCACTTTGGGAGGCCAGGCGGGCGGATCACGAGGTCAAGAGATCGAGCCCATCCTGGCCAACATGGTGAAACCCCGTCTCTATTAAAAATACAAAAATTAGCTGGGCGTGGTGGCGTGCACCTGTAGTCCCCGCTACTTGGGAGGCTGAGACAGGAGAATCATTTGAACCCAAGAGGTGGAGGTTGCAGTGAGCTGAGATCGTGGCACTGCACTCCAGCGTGGGTGACAGAGCAAGACTGTCTCAAAATAAAAATTAAAATAAATAAAAATAAATACAGAGAATCTCAGCAGATTAGCATCTTTTCAGTACCTAGGGAAAGGGGACTTTCTTCCTTTACCCACCTCCACCAATCATCCTTCTCAGGTTGAATTGGCTCTCCTGTCCCCCCTTCTACCTCCCTCAGAATGCAGAGAGGTGAGTGAGGACTCCGAGCACTAAGAGCTTCCCCAGCCATCAAAGGACAAGACAGCCAAGGCGTCTTGTGTACCCGGTTTTCTTCCTCCTCCAGCATTTTTTCCCAGTCTTGTTTCCATTCCCAAATTTATTTATTTATTTATTTATTTATTATTATTATTATTTCTTTGAGACAGAGTCTCGCTCTGTCGCCCAGGCTGGAGTGCAGTGGCGCGATATCAGCTCACTGCAACCTCCGCCTCCCGGGTTCAAGCAATTCTCCTGCCTCAGCCTCCTGAGTAGCTGGGATTTCAGGCATGCACCACCACGCCTGGCTAATTTTTTGTATTTTTAGTAGAGATGGGGTTCCACCGTGTTAGCCAGGATGGTCTTGATCTCCTGACCTTGTGATCCGCCCACCTCGGCCTCTCAAAGTACTGGGATTACAGGCCTGAGCCACCACGCCCGGCCCTCTATTCCCAAATTTCCATTAAAAAATGTTTCAAACATGCCGCAATGCAAACAGGGTCAAGTCCCCAAATGTTGTCGGTGTCGCTTCTTTTCTGACCCACAGCATAAGCCAACAGAATTGGAAACGCGTAAGAGATGCACAGATCAATAGGTATTTATTTATTTCCAGTGTTGGTGTGAAGGAACACCCACGTTTTCAACACAAAGGGAAGCAGCAGAAGCTCATCGAATCTGTGGCCATGCGTTTCCCCCTCACAAAGACCGTGCTATTTGTAAAACGGCCCCATCTGTGGTTCAAATGCCTTCATAAAGGAACACGTTTGTATGGTGCAGCAGCGTAACTTTTCTTTTTCTTTTCTTTTTTTTTTTTTTTTGAGACAGAGTCTTGCTCTGTCGCCCAGGCTGGAACGCAGTGGCGCGATCTCGGCTCACTGCAACCTCCGCCTCCAGGGTTCACGCCATTCTCTTGCCTCAGCCTCCCGAGTAGCTGGGACTACAGGCGCCCGCCACCATGCCCAGCTAATTTTTTGTATTTTTAGTAGAGACGGGGTTTCACCATGTTAGCCAGGATGGTCTCGATCTCCTGACTTCGTGATCTGCCCACCTCGGCCTCCCAAAATGCTGGGATTACAGGTGTGAACCACCGTGCCAAGCCAGCAGCGTAACTTTTAATGACAGCAGCAGAGACAGCCTCGCCAGTTTACGCTACGTGAACTCCACAGTTTCAACTGTTCTCCCTAACCACTAAATGACTCCCACATAAAGGGCCAAATTCTTTGATTTAAGAAAAAGAGAGGAAAACCCCCTGAAGAGAAGAACATTCGAAATGATCCGAAAATGTTCACCACAAATGTCATTTGTTCTGCCAGTCACAAGTTGTCAACACGGGTGCATTTTGCAGCAAACTGTCCTGGCTAGAAATTGAAAACCTGCATTCATTTCAGAGGACAAATAATTTCTCCCTCTCCCCTCATTGGTTAAAAAGCATAAAAGATATTCTTTTTATTCCTGTAATTTTATAAAACACTACATAAAAGCTGGCGAGTTTTAAAGAGGGAAAAACTGCATTGAAAAGTATAAAGTCTCACAAGGGCAAAGTCCATCTGGGGCAACAGTTCCAACATCACGGACCTCTCAGGAGGAGAACTGGTCTCATGAGATGCTCCGTACACCCCTACCCACATACCCTTCCTGTCAAAACTTAGACCAAGCATGCCACATCTGACAAGTCAACTTCAAACAATTCGTGGTGCTTTTCTTTCAGGCTAGAAATCATCTGTAGCTATTAGAACCATTCAGCAAAGCAATATGGCTTTAATGGGTACCTATGCTTTGTGAAGATATATTTATACACACACACACACCGTGTGCTTGGGGCCAATCCTGAGACCATATACCTGAGGATCACTGTCTAGCAGTGGCTAATCTTTAAGCGGTGTTAGGACAGACACTCTGGGAAACACGCAGGACATTCTGGACTCAGTCCTGTGGTCAATGGGGGGCAGCTTTCATTGCATCAGACTTGAGACACCTTGGGACACATCCTTCAAAGAGTTGGGGGGCTGTAAAGGTGACCTCTGTGAGAAGGTGACCAGACCCATGTGGGTCAAGGTTTTGTGCCCTCACACCATACAGTGCCCCAACACAGGAGGATCAAACCATCCGTGCTCAGCTAGAACTACGGCTCAACCATAAGGGAGGCTGTGCCTCATTTCCACAAGAGGGCAAATAAGAAAAGTAAAAGAAGTAAGAAAAAATTAAAAGGAATATGAAAAAAAAAGGAAAATAAGAAAAAAAAAGAAATCAGAAAAGTCAAAGAAATAAGAGGAAAAGAATGAGGAAAAACGGAGAAGAAATAAAAGTAAAAAAAAGAAAAATAAGTAAAAGAAATAAGATAAAAAGAAAAAGCAAAAAGGAAAACAAATAAGAAAAAAGAAATAAGAGAAAAAAAAAAAGAAAAAAGAAAAAGGGCCAGGCACAGTGGCTCACACCTGTAATCCCAGCACTTTGGAAGGTTGAGGCAGGCAGATCACCTGAAGTCAGAAGTTCGAGATCAGCCTGGCCAACATGGAGAAACCCCGTCTCTACTAAAAATACAAAAATTAGCTGGGTGTGGTGGTGTGTGCCTGTAGTCCCAGCTACTCGGGAGGCTGAGGCAGGAGAATCGCTTGAACCCAGGAGGTGGAGGCTGCAGTGAGCCAAGATTGCACCACTGCACTCCAGCCTGGGCAACAGAGTGAGACTCCAATTTAAAAAAGAAAAATGAAAAAAGAAGAAAAGTAAGAAAAGAAAAAGAAATAACATATAACAAATAAGAAAAGTAAAATAAATAGAAGGAAAAGAAATAAGAAAAAAATGAAAAGAAAGAAAAAAATAAGAAAAGTAAAAGAAAGAAAACAAGTTAAAATCAATTACATTGAAGAACAAGTTGGTGGACTTTGGAAACAGAAGGAAAATCCAGGTACAATTTGTGTTTTTCAGGGATATGAGAGAATCCAAGGAAGACGGCCGCAGAGGCTCCGTGCTCAAATGTGTGAATAGGGACCTGACCACCCACCAATTCCCAACACGCCTTACAGTGTGAAGATCAGGAGATGTTTAGGTGATTCCTCAACGTATGAATTTTGTTTTTCTAGGAACCAAGGTGTGTACCTGTTTGGAACACTGATCACAGAAAGAGTTAAGAACTGCTTCATAGGAAGTGCAGTGAGAAATGCAAGTCAACGGCCAAAAACGTTGAAGATTTAAAAATCCATGCATGACCTGGAAGGTCAAATCCTTAGGACGTGAGTGAGCTTAACCTAGGACACTGCAGGGAAGAGGGTGGCCACCCTGGGCCCCAGTTTGTTCCCTTGGCAGGGATGGACTTAGGGACAAAACTCATTAAAACATGGAAGTCACTGCCCTGTTTCTGTTAGATTCATGTTTAAAAGAAAATATCTGCATTTCTCTTCATTTTCTGAAGCTCTTATGCAGAAATATGATTTGCTATAATGAGCTTCTGTGCATCCAGAAAGGCAAAAGCATATGGAACTGAAGGCAGAGAATCCGCCATGTGATTGAGAATCCCATCGTGGTGGGAATTTGCCAGCAGGGCGAGGGGAGCGGCAGATGGAAGGGTTTGCTTTAAGGCTATGTCTTAGCAGATAAAACGATTACGGTCAGGACGCTCCGCAGGCCTGGGCTGGGTTCTCTGCTCACCCCTAGGTCTTCAGCCATCTGAAATGGAAGGTTGAAAACGATAAAAAATAATAATACAAAAAGTAAACTGGTGCTGGGTCTGCTTTTGCTGTGCGCTGGGGCTCCCAGCAGCAGGGAGGTGTTAGAAAGAGCTGCTCTGAGCAAGGAAGTAATGGGATAGAGGCTCAAAGTGTGAGAGTGGGAAGTGGAAACCAAAATTAAGGAGTGGAGGAAGGGAGAGACAGAGGAAGGCAGGGAGGGAGGCAGGGAACAGGGAGAGCAGGAGGGAAGCAGGAAGAAGGGATGGGAGGAAGGAAGGGAGGAAGGCAGAAAGAGGGAAGGAACGAGGAGGGAAGGAGGTTGGAAAAAAGGAAGCAGGGAGGTATGGAGGAAGGGAGGGAGGAAGAAGTGAAGCAGGGAGGAAGGAAATGAGGGAGGGAGGGAGGAAGGGAAGGAGAGAGGGAAGGAGGAAGGGAAGGAAGGAAGGAAAGAAGGGAAGGAGGGAGAGAAGAAAGAAGGAAGGAAGAAAAGAGGCATGTAAGAACAGGAGAGATGGATGAAGAGAGACAAAGAATAGAGAGGAAAAAAAGAAAGGAAGGAAGGAAAGGAGGAAGGGATGGAGAGGGGAAAAGGAAAGAAGGAGGGAGGGATGGAAAGAAAGGAAGGAAGGAAAGAAGAGAGAAAAAAGAAAGAGGTACATAAGAAGAAAAGAGAAGGAAGAAAGGAAGAGATAGAGAAAAGGAAGAGAGAAAAAGGAAAAGGAGGAAAAGAAGAAGGGAGGGAGGGAGGAAGAAAGAGGGAGAGTTCAAGAAAGAATGAAAAGAGAGAGAGAGGGAGAACTGAGGGCAAAGGAAGAAAGAGAAAAGCAGGGAAGGAAGAGAGAAAAGAAGGAGGGAGGGGGAAAGAAAGGAGGAGGGAAGGAAGAAAGGCAGAGAAGAAGAAAGAGAAAGAAGGAGACAGGGAGAGCCAATCGCCCATCTTGCCAAAGCCTCAAGAAACCCACTGTGAGCCCAGGACCCTGGCAAACAGAGCAGTAGGACCAGCCACCACAGCCAAAGGACAGCATCCTGAACACCCCTTGCCAGCCACGGAAGCTGGGCTCTGTGGGAAGTGGTCAGGCTCCGTGTGGTTAGTGGTCTGAGCCAGGTCCCCCGCGAAGCCAACACACCCAGATGCGAAGTCACAGACCCCGAGTGCATGAGAGAAGCAGCTTCAACAGGCCCCTTCGTATCACATGGACAAAAACCAGGAGAAGCCCAAGCACCACAAACTCAAATCTGTAGGAAGGGAGGAACGGAGGCTGGTGCAAAAGTAATTGTGGTTTTTGCCATTAAAAGTAATGGCAACATAGCAAGACTCTGTCTCTACAAAAAAAGGTAAAAAATTAGCTGGGAGCCACCACACTCAGCTAATTTTTTTTTTTTTACGTTTTTTGTAGACACGAGGTCTTGCTATGTTGCTATTACTTTTAATGGCATAAACCGCAGTTATTTTTGCACCAACCTATAACAGACAGAGCCATCTGATTCCACAAGGAGTTTCTAATCCGTGAACCCCAAAATATAACACTGCAAAGCTTCTCAGTAAATCTATATCAAGTCACAGGATTTGATAAAGGCATCTCCTTGTTGGAAAGATGCCGAAGACTCACCTATGTCTACTCACTCGCCTGGGACTCATTTTAATACAAATTTAACAAACACCACAGATTTCAATGCAATGACACAGTCCCGGAAAATGAGCCTGTCTGGTAGAATAACAGTATCCCCAAAACTGGGCATGGTTTTTCTTTTCTTTTTTCTTTTTTGAGACAAAGTCTCGCTCTTGTCCCCAGGCTGGAGTGCAGTGGCTCGATCTCGGCTCACTGCAACTCTGCCTCCTGGGTTCAAGCGATTCTCCTGCCTCAGCCTCCCGAGTACCTGGAAATACATGTGTGCACCACCATGCCTGGCTAATTTTTGTATTTTTAGTAGAGCCAGGGTTTCACCATGTTGGCCAGGCTGGTCTCAAACTCCTGACCTCAGGTGATCCACCCGCCTTGGCCTCCCAAAGTGCTGGGATTACAGGCGTAAGCCACCGCGCCTGGCCCATGGTTTCTTGAAGGACCAGGGCATGCTATACTCACATCCTTCTTATGAAATCTCCAAGCTCCCCATGAACCTATGGGGTTGCCAGATCTCAAAATCACCATCCCGGAAATCGAACCCATAAAGCAAAATCCTGCCCCAGAGGCTGAGGGCTCTGACATCTTTCGTCTTCCGGATAACTCGATCCAACATCACAATTCCATGTCTACTAACAAAATCATGTCACTGAGATAAATATTAAACTCATTTTATAATTCAGGTATAAAAACCAAGCTGTGAGTGGATGCAGTTGGAAAGGTCCTCTTTTGAGGTAGGGTCTTGGTATTTATAGAAGAGTGCCTTGTTTTTGTTTTCTTTCTCTTTTTTTTTTTTTTTTTTTGAGACAGAGTCTCACTCTGTTGTCCAGGCTGGAGTGTGGTGGCACAATCTTGGCTCACTGCAACCTCTGCCTCCCGGGTTCAAGCAATTCCCTGCCTCAGCCTCCCAAGTAGCTGGGATATTACAGGTGCCCACCATCACGCACAGCTAATTCTTGTATTTTTAGTAGAGACGGGGTTTCACCATCTCTTGCTTCTCTTTGTTATACTTTATTTTATTTTCTTTTTGGCCCTTTGCTTTGTGCATTTACAAAAGGCCAAGAAAATCAATCCCAGGATAACTAGAAAGCAAACCAGGAATTGAAAGTTGGACCTTCTGTTAATTTGGCATCAGAATAAGAGACTTATAGAAAATATTAGAAGAAAATTAGCCTAGCATCTCATTAGTATAAAGTGAATCTTGGACTCCCCTGAGCCAATTCTTCAGAAAGGATGCTTTTTTAAAAAAAATTATTTTGGGGGCCGGGCACGGTGGCTCATGCCTGTAATTCTAGCACTTTGGGAGGCCAAGGCAGGTGGATCATGAGGTCAGGAGATCAAGACCATCCTGGCTAACACGGCAAAACTCCGTCTCTACTAAAAATATGAAAAATTAGCTGGACGTGGTGGCACGCGCCTGTAGTCCCAGCTGCTCGGGAAGCTGAGGCAGGAGAGTCGCTTGAACCCGGGAGGCAGAGGCTGCAGTGAGCCGAGATCACGCCATTGCACTCCAGCCTGGGTGACAGAGTGAGACTCCGTCTCAAAAAAAAAAAAAAAGGTATTTTTATTTTTATATCTAGAGACAGGGTCTCTGTCTGTCGTCCAGGCTGGAGTGCAGTGGTGCAATCATGGCTTACTGCAGCCTCCAATTCCTGGGCTCAAGCAATCCTCACACCTCGGCCTCCAGAGTAGTTGGGACCACAGGCAGGCGCAAGCACGCCCAGCTAATTTTTTACATTTTTTGTAGAGATGAGGTTTCACTATGTTGCCCAGGCTGATCTTGAACTCCTGGGCTCAAGCAATCCTCTTTCCTTGGACTCCCAAAGCACTGGGATTACAGGTGTCGGCCACCTCGCCAGGACATATTTGCTTTTGTTCTTGAAGAATCTAGGAAAATTGTTTCTACCCAGTGAGAGCTTTCATTGTTCATGCCTGCCCCACCTCCTGCAATAAAAAAAGATAATGCTTCCACCCAAGACCAAGACCCAGGGGTGGCGGGGCGGATAAGGTAGAGGAAAAGTTGTTTTTCCTTTTCCCAATTCTATTTCAAAATTTTTGACAAAATCAAGTCTATTAAGCCTCCTGGGTGCTTTCCCAAGTTTGTGTGTCTTCAGATGTGATATGGTGAGCCTCTGTGTCCCCACCCAAATCTCATCTTAAATTGTAATTCCCATAATCCCCATGTGTCCAGGGAGAGACCAGGTTGGGGTCACTGAACCATAGCGAAGGTTCCCCCATGCTGTTCTCGTGATAATGGGATGGTGCCTTGCGTCCCCTTCTGCCATGATTGTTAAGTTTCCTGAGGCCTCCCCAGCCATGCTGAACTGTGAATCAATGAATCCTCTTTCCTTCATGAATTATCCAGTCTTAGGCAGTTCTTCATAGCAGTGTGAAAACGGACTAATACAGGATGTGAATATGAAATAGGCTTACAAGATCCCAAAAGTTCCTACGTCTGCACGCACAAGGTAATAAACATCCTTTGCAACTCATGAATCCAATTTGGGTTGACCTAAAGATTTTCAGAGAATCATCAATCAGAGACTTTGTAGTTTAATGCAAAAGTGTTCAACAATTGTCTGGGATTCTAAAAAAGAGGCCGGGTGCTTTGACTCACGCCTATAATCCCAACACTTTGGGAGGCCAAGATTGCGGGGGGGAACCACCTGAGGTCACGAGTTCGAGACCAGTGTGTCCAACATGGTGAACCCCCATCTCTACTAAAAATACAAAAATTAGCCGGGTGTGGTGATGCACACCTGTAATTCCAGTTACTTCGGAGGCTGAGGCAGGAGAATTGCTTGAACCCGCGAGGTTGCAGTGAGCCAAGATTGCACCACTGCCCTCCATTCTGGGCGATAGAGCGAGACTCCGTCTCAAAAAAAAAAAAAAAAAAAAGCCAGAGAGTTTGAAATACAACATCTAGAATATTACGCATCCTGTCCTGGCAAACAAGCCTTCCTTACCTCCTGGTTGAATATTATGCTGTGAGTTGAACAGTTTCAGAAAAGAAAAAGAAATGTCATTGAAAAGCAAACAAAAATTCCCTTCCATTGAGTCCCTACTGTTTTAACCCCTCCGCTACTTCTAGAAGAAGCAAGAGGGGAGAAGAATGTTATGCTGTTTGCTTTTTTCCAACGTGATTCTAATCGTACGTCTCTTACAGGCATCTCCTTGAATGTGGTCATCTGTCCATTTGGGTCCCGCTCAAAACTGCCATTCAATCAACCAAACACCAGCTGGGCACGGTGGCTCACGCCTGCAATCCCAACACTTTGGGAGGTCAAGGCAGGCGGATCATCCAAGGTCAGGAGTTCGAGACCAGCCTGACCAACATGACGAAACTCCATCTCTACTAAAAAAACAAAAATTAGCTGTGCGTGGTGGTGCACATCTGTAATCCCAGCTACTCGGGAGGCTGAGGCAGGAGAACCCGGGAGGTGGAGGTTGCAGTGAGCCAAGATGGAGCCATTGCATTCCAGCCTGGGTGACAGAGTGAGACTCCATCTCAAAAAAAAAAAAAAAAAAAAAAGAAACAACCAAACACCATTTCCCACTCGTCTGCCCACCAGGTAGGAGGCAACTGTCTTCCACGCACTGCCCAAAACCCCACAGCAAGAACGGGGAAATAAACACGAGCAGCTCATTTAAAGTCTTGAGATCCGAAAGCTGTTTAGGACTCTCCATTTCACGCTCTAAATAATGTTTGTGGATGTCAAATGCTGGAATGATGGGAGATTACGGGGAAACTCCACCCCTACAGTCTAACTTTGTCCACACCAGCATCTATTCAAATGTTCTAGGAATCCCTCTAAAATCTTCAGGAGGCAGTGCTTTGAGTGAATGACATCAGTGACCAAGAATGAATAAGGACTTAAGATCTAAGTAGGGTGAGAAGTTCAGACACCCAGAGGCGTGAGGGACCCCAGGGGCTCCTCCATAAAACAGTAGCTGTTGGCCAGGTGTGGTGCCTCACGCCTGTAATCCCAAGACTTTGGGAGGCCGAGGCGGGTGGATCACTTGAGGTGAGGAGTTGGAGACCAGCCTGGCCAACATGGTGAGACCCCATCTCTACTAAAAATACAGAAATTAGCCGGGCGTGGTGGCGGGTGCCTATAATCCCAGCTACTCAGGAGGCTGAGGCAGGAGAATCACTTGAACCTGTGGGGTGGAGACTGCAGTGAGCTGAGATTGCGCCACTGCACTCCAGCCTGGGCAACAGAGCGAAACTCTGTCTCAAGAAATAAAAAATAAGAGTAGCTGTTCCCGGTCGATGGGATTCCTGCAAACCACAATGCTTGGTCATGCAAGAGGGAAGGCAAGAGCTAAATGTAAGTGCCCAGTGATGCATGCACGTTAGCTGTGTTCCAAATAGCAGGGCTTACTTCCCAGCTTCACGGCGGATCCCAATACAAGGTCCCAAAGAGCCTGCCAGCTGACCTAGGAGGATTGCAATGGTGAGTACGTCCTCCTCCTAATTCCCCTGTAAATTTTAGTCCCGATCCAAGAAACTTCCCAGGTCCTGGGTGCCTGTGGGTTTTCGGTACTAACAGAAAGGGAATCCGCTGTGCTGGTTTTTGTTTTGTTTTGTTTTTTGAGACGGAGTCTCACTCTGTCGCCCAGGCTGGAGTGCAGTCACATGATCTCAGCTCACTGCAAGCTCTGCCTCCCAGGTTCACACCATTCTCCTGCCTCAGCCTTCCGAGTAGCTGGGACTACAGACGCCCGCCACCATGCCCGGCTAATTTTTTGTATTTTTAGTAGAGACGGGGTTTCACCATGTTACCCAGGATGGTCTCGATCTCCTCCTGACCTCGTGATCCGCCCGTCTCGGCCTCCCAAAGTGCTGGGATTACAGGTGTGAGCCACCATGTCCGGCCTTGTGCCGGCTTTTAACTTAACTCTCAGTGGAGAAAGGACCGTGGCGGCCCCCTGGTCACGGCTCTCCTCCTGATGATGACATCGGTTGTAAATAACAGGGCAGGAATGATCAGAGCTAAGTGTCTTCCACCTTTGCTCTCTGCAGGGTAACTTGTAGCGGCTTTCCTGCAGGACTGTCTCTAACCCCAGCAACAATTCCGCGGCATATGTACCAACCATTTCCCACTTGGTAGACGTAAACAACCCAAGCACTGCAGCAGTGGGGAACTTGTAAACTTTCACACAACAAAACACAAGGCAGAACAGCCCTGAAATCAAAGCCAGAAGGTTCGATTCCAGAATTTTAGCAGTTTCACGAACCATCAGCCATCGTGCACCTGTTTCGTGCCAGCCCGAGTTTGGTTTCTGCCTTTTAAAGAAAGCACAGTTTTCCAATCAGCAAGGCATGAAGGAGAGGCACCGGCGGACTGAGACTTACCATTTTCTTTGAAGCATAGCTTCTTTTTCTGGTAAGCAATGAAGCTAGAGATGGCTCCAGCCACGGCGACCACGACAGCCCCCACAATCCCGGGGATCACGCCTGGGGCGTCGGCTGCAGGAGGAAGCACACAGCATCGTGATTGAGACACGCACGGTGCAGAGAAGATCCCAGGGGGCAGTGGCTGGCAGAGACAGTCAGTCTGAGAGCACCAAGATCCTCAGAACATCTCAGACGCCTGAGCTGACCGATTTGCAAAGGAAGCATGCCGAGAATGATACACAGGAAGGCAAAGCAAGGCACAATCTCCCATCGCACGTGCTGGGCAGACCTGGTCAGACCATGGAGGGAGTGGAGCAGGAGAAAAGAGACATGAAGAGAGGCCAGCGAGGTACGGGCAGAAGCTCAGCAGAACCAAGGCAGAGACAAAAAAAGACAAAGACAGATGGAAAGAGAGCTGGGGCTGGGCGTGGTGGCTCACGCCTGTAATCCCAGCACTTTGGGAGGCCGAGGCAGGTGAATCGCCTGAGGTCAGGAGTTTGAGACCAGCCTGGTCAACATGGTAAAACCCGTCTCTACGAAAAATACAAAAATTAGCCGGGAGTAAGGGTGGGTGCCTTTAATCCCAGCTACTCAGGAGGCTGAGTCCAGAGAATCGCTTGAACCTGGGAGGCAGAGGTTGCAGTGAGCCGAGATTGTGCCGCTGCACTCCAGCCTGGGCGACAGAGCAATTCACCATCTCAAAACAAAACAAAACAAAAAAGAAAGAGAGAGCTGGACATCAAACCTGGAGGAAGGAGCCCAGGCAGGGGCAGAAGATAAAGAAGCAAAGACCTGCAATGCTTGGGGCATTTGCCAATGCGTTTTGTATCGTTAGAATGCTCCTTTTTCACCCCTTGAAGATAGCTTTGGGTTTCAATGCAGACATTTTAAATCTATCTCTATTTAATTAATTATTATTATTGTGTATTATTTTGAGATGGGTTCTTGCTCTGTCAAACAGGCTGGAGTGCAATGATGTAATCACAGCTCACTGCAATCTCAAACTCCTGGGCTCATGAGATCCTCCCACTTCAGCCTTCCGAGTAGCTGGGACTACAGGTGTGCACCACCATGCCTGGTTAATTACTGTGGTTTTATAGAATTGGGGTCTTGCTATGTTGCCCAGTCTGATCTCGAACTCCCAGCCTAAAGCAACCTGCCTGCTGCCTAGGCCTCCCAAAATGCTGGGATTACACGCATGAGCCACCACACTCAGCCTTTTTTTTTTTTTTTATGTTATTCCAGCAATAATTCTTTTTTTTTTGGCGGGGAGACAGAGTCTTGCTCTGTTGCCCAGGCTGGAGTGCAGTGGTGCGATCTCGGCTCACTGCAACCTCTGCGTCCCGGGTTCAAGCTATTCTCCTGCCTCAGCCTCCCAAGTAGCTGGGATTACAGGTGTGTGCCACCACCCCTGGCTAGTTTTTTTTTTTTTTTGAAATGCAGTCTTACTTTGTCACCCAGGCTGGAGTGCAGTGGCACGATTTCAGCTCACTGCAGCCTCTGCTTCCCGGGTTCAAGCAATTCTTGTGCCTCCCGAGTAGCTAGGACTACAGGTGCATGGCACACGCCCAGCTAATTTTTGTATTTTTTGTAGAGATGGGGTTTCACCATCTTGGCCAGGCTGGTCTCGAACTCCTGACCTCAAGTGATCCACCCACCTTGGCCTCCCGAAGTGCTAGGATTACAGGTGTGAGCCACCACACCTGGCCTAATTTTTGTATTTTTTGTAGAAAAGGGGTTTCACCATGTTGGCCAGGCTGGTTTCGAACTCTTGGCCTCAAGCAATCCTCCCGCCTCAGCCTCCCAGAGTTCTGGGATGACAGGCATGAGCCAGCGTGCCTGGCCATTGAAGAGATTATTCATTCCAAATGCCAGATGTGAGCTTCAGAGGACCCTTCTCCAGATAGAATCTTCTCCGCCCTCCACGACGGGGAAGGAGAATTGTCTGACTTTCAGCAAAAACACTGGCTCCAAACATGGCCTGTCGGTGGTGTGTTCACTCGGCCAGTTTTTAATATGTGCAGGACACAGTCATGTCATAGAAAGATTTTTCAAGCTTAACTACCCCTCCCTGATGAAGTGACATAGTAGACATTAACTCTCTAGAAGGCCAAGAACGATGGCCTGAGATAAACATGCCAGACATGTGTTTTCTTAGCTATTTTTTAAAAAATGACCTTGTAGTCCTAGGTGAGGGCTACAGATTACTACCTCTTCAAAGAAAGCCTAGAATTCAAGAACTGTACCCATAAAAATAATAAATACCTAAAACAAGGGTAGACTACCCACTTTTCCTCCCTTCCTTCCTTCCCTTCTTCCCTCCTTCCTTCCTTCTCTCCATCCCTCCTTCCTTCTTTCCTTCCCTCCTTCCCTTTTTTCTTCCTCCCTACTTCTCTGTTTCTCTTTCTTACCTCATTTTGTTTTCTTTACAGTTTTAAAAGGAATTCTGTCTGTCATTATTTTCTTGTCCCATCTAAGGGAAAAGGTTATGAAAAAGGAGACAGGAGATACATCACCGGCACTTCCATGGAGAACACAATGCCTGTTACAGCCAGGGTGGAAGCGATCCACATTCCCACCTCCCACCTGGTTACTGACGTTCTCAAGGGCCAAGCGCAACCGAGGATACTGCGTCACAAGCCTCTGATCGTTAGGGTGAGTGTAGGAGCTTTTGTAAACACAAGGACAAGGCGAAGCGTGATGTAGGGGTCGGGTCGCCAGCCAGGGCATCGTGGGCAGGTGACCAAACATAAAATCCGCGTCACGTGGGCACCCGGAGCAGGGCTGGTTTGCTGGGGGACCTCTGCAGCTACATCACTTGGGAGCACTTGGCACAGAACACCCGTGCCTCCTGCCAGTAGCTTTAGGAGGCCAATGCCAGTGCAGTCCGCCAGCTCTCAGACATTCTGCTTCCCCTTCTCAACACCACGTGGGAGAGACAAGAAGACAGAAGCCAGGTGCACCTACCCTCTTCCCCTTCTTTCCTGTGGCTGCCTCCACCATCACTGCCTCCTTTTCCTGCAAGACAAAAACAACGTCTGCAATGGGAAGGTTTGGGGTCAAGGAAAAATTCACAGCCAGGACCGTGAAGAGGCTGGGGTCCTGCTTCTTACACTCTACGGGGGTACATGTTACCCAGCTACAGAGCTGGGGTCCTGCCTATTACACTCTAAGGGTGCATGTTACACAGCTACAGAGCTGAGGTGCTGCCTGTTACACTCTAGGGGTACTCTGAGAACGCATACTCCCAGGCATTATCACTATTCTCAGGGCTTTAATATTCACATTCCTTAAATTACAGAAAACAGCCTAATAAAATGAAGCTGAAACAACACTAGTTATTTGCAAGAACACACAGGTGAACGGATGGGTGAGGAGGTGGTGACAAGGGCCCATTCATCACGCCCTGTCCCTCAGAAAAGTGGGGCAGCTGCCTGGGCCCTGAACTCTTCTCCGAGGACCGAACCTCTACGGGGCAGCCTTTACTTCCCACATCCTTGAAGCCTCAGCAAACAGGCGGAGTTCCCACAGAGATGGCTGAACATTTCACTGTGAGTTCACAGAGAGCTGACAGTTTAGACCCTGTAGTGATTCTACAGAGCAGGTGGGCATCATGGGATGGAGAGAGAAAAGAGACAGAAAACAAGATAACTGTACCTTCTCCACCTGAAACGCCATCCGCAAGGTCAGCATCTGAAAAGCTACCTAGGAAAGAAAATACAGCATCACCTGTCAACCTGGAACTCCTCCAAGGGTCTTCATGTCTTAGAATAAAGGAAAAACTCATGAAAACCGGCCTGTTCATCAACATGGTGAAACCCCATCTCCACTAAGAATATAAAAATTAGCTGGATGTGGTGACAGGCACATGTAATCCCAGCTACTCGGGAGGCTGAGGCAGGAGAATCACTTGAACCCTGGAGGTGGAGGTTGCAGTGAGCCAAGATGGCACCACTGCACTCCAGCCTGGGCAAGAAGAGCTAAACTCAGTCTCAAAACAAAACAAAACAAAAAACCATAAATAAAGTGGAAAAACGTGAGCATAATATTGCATGCTGGCAATATTTATGTCTGTAAATAAATGAAGAAGGCTTATAAATCAATAATGTCATATCAGAATGTAAGAATAAAAGGCAAAGCATACAATACACAAAATAAGAAGTATCCACGGCCAATTGATGCAGGTTTGTTTTTTTTTTTTAATTTTAAAAGTAAAGTCATGAAACCAGGAGAAAGTTGATAGAAAATTTCACACTATTTGCAAAGGTTTCCTAGGTGATAACTAATATTGGAGATGGTGTGAAGACAGGGACATTTGCACACACCCCTGGCATCAAAATAAATTGGTAAAAATCTGCAGCAAATTAACAACCAGGTCAAAAGCTACGAAAGTACTCATATACGTTGATCTAAACTATTTGAATGCTAGAAATGTCTTCAAAGGAATAAAAATAGCGCATGGAGTTGACTCAGATTTGCTTTGTTAATTCATAATTCTAAAATGCCAGAAGAAACATAACATTTTCAGAATTAGGGATTAGTTACAGGAAGAATATAATTATATATGTAGTATGTAATAGTACATGATTATCAGTAAAACTCATACGATAGAAATGATTACATGACATGAAAAAATGTTCATGGACTATCAGTAAGCAAAAAGTAATGTTACAATGCAGTACAAACAAAAGACTTGGAACTTTATTTAAAATTTATTTCATTTAGATTAATATATAGGCTGGGTGAGGTGACTCGTGCCTGTAATCTCAGAGATTTGGGATGCTGAGGCAAGAGGACTGCTTGAGGCCAGGAGTTTCAGACCAGCCTGGGCAACATACTGAGACCCCACCTCTACAAAAAATGAAAAAACTAACTGGTCACGATGCTGTGTGCCTGTAGCCCCAGCTACTTGAAAGGCTGAGGCAGGGGGATCTCTCTAGCCCAGGAGTTGGAGGCTGTGGTATGCTCTTATGTTTAATATGATCACAGCACTGTACTCTAGCCTGGACAACAGAGTGAGACCCTGTCTCAAAAAAGAAAAAAAAAAGATATATAAAATACTAGCACAAATAGCCATCAAAATGTCAACAAGATATGGACATCATTAATATTCTTCTGTGTTAAAAATTAAATATGTAAACAAAAAAACCTAAACATATAAACTTTCGACAACCATTCAGCTAAAAAAAAAAAACTGGTGCTATTCGAATTACGCTGAAAATGCTGTGATATGTCAGAAAAACTGACTTAAATATTTAAGGGCAGAAAGATTTAAAACACACTAGCTTCTCCACAAGGAATGTGTATGCCAATACTTTTCTCTTTATCAAGTCTACATTTAAATTATTGTATGCAATTTTTTAGAAGTTCCATAAGATGGAACTTGGAAACAAAAGTAGCAAACTAGTCCAGGCACAGTGGCTCACACCTGTCATCCCAGCACTTTTGGGAGGCCAAGGTGGGTGGATCACTTGAGGTCAGGAGTTCAAGACCAGCCTGGCCAACATGGCAAAACCCTGTCTCTACTAAAAATACAAAAATTAGCCGGGCATGGCAGTGTGTGCCTGTAATTCCAGCTACTCAGGAGGCTGATGCAGGAGAATCACTTGAACCCAGTAGGTGGAGGTTGCAGTGAGCCAAGATGGCACCACTGCACTCCAGCCTGGGTGACAGAACAAGACTCTGTCTCAAAAAAAAAAAAAAAAAAAAAAGCAAACTAAAAATAAAATCCAAGCTAAATATATATTTTTGAAATGTACATTTTCCATTACATGAACATGGGCATTACACTGCACAGGCAGTCAACAGTAAGCACACACTCATCTGAAATCACCTCCTCTCAGCTGACATAAATATCGCTGAATTCTGAACAACATGAAGACATCCCACAGGGTCAGAGACTCTTACCGGAGGAACTAGGGTGGTTGGGGTTTGGATTTGGCATCGGTTTGGGTGGGTTCGGTGGTCGTGGGTCGTCTGTTTGTGAAAGATGAGAGTTGCAATTTTAAGTGCCTTGCAGTAAAGAAAATGAAACATCAGTTTACACACAGATGGTTCCCTGAACAGAAATTGGACCTTGGCCTTTGTCCTGGTGGGGATACCTGTACACACACAGTCTCCTGCCAGTTTCCTCCCATCAACTTTCAGCCACAGTTCTTAATGTCAACTATGTTTAATAAAAATTAAAGCGGGTGTCCACACCAGCTACAGAATTTCTAGGGCCAAAATAAAAAGGTGGGACCCATTTTTCAAATTTTCTTAAGTATTCCAAGATGGCGGCAACAGAGCAGTAAACCAGTATGGTTCCCATGCCAAACCAACATGCCATGGGGTCCTGTGCCACTGCACAGGTCACATGCTGGTGAAGCCAGCCCTGGCCAGGGTAGGCACATTTGTCTCATGTCCTTCCAAAGACTGTAAGAGTTTTAAAATAAAAGCACACGTACTGGTTGTAAAGAAAAACCCAACGACAACAGCAAGAACAAACCGACACACCTATTCCCTAGGTTTCCACTGTGAAAACTGGTTCCCTTTATAATTTAAATGGGAGAATTCTCTCTGAAATGATCATAATTGGGTGATAATAAGCAGATCAGCAGCAGAAGAGATTAAAGGAAAATACTCACCATTTTCTCCATCAACAACAGCATCTCCTAAGTCAAAGTCATCCCCTAAAAGAGGGGAAAGAGCAGTTAATACCAAATTCCAGAGAGAAACGAGGAAGGAATGACCTCGTGAACAGATCAAAAACACACCACGGCCCCACATTCCTAAATACTTTTCTGAATATCAGCTTGACCAGGATCTCATTAGAAAAAGTGAATTCCTGACCATTTTTACATCACTATTCTCTCAGATAAAAAGAGGAAAAAACAGAGAGACAGAGACAGATAAAAAGCTAGGAGAGAAGCTCTCAGAGGAGAGGCAGTGGGGAGAGAGAGAGAGAAATAAAGTAATTTATAAATGAATTGTGTTGCCTGGACCAAGTTGAAATTCCAATTCTGCCTGCACATGATTTTCTCCTGTTGACTCCCCATCCCATCATCCTCTCCTCCCAGGTCCCTAACAACTTTGGAAAGGTAGACCCTAAGAGAAGGGGACAGATGACTGTGATCAGATTTAGGCTAGAGGGTGTCTAAAACATGGCTCTAGCAACCCATATGTGCTCCGCAACTGATGTGACAGTTCACCATGGCCTCAGATCTTGTCTTCTAGTATGAAGAATGATTTTGAAAACCCAACTAAGATGGAGGAATGGTTGCTGGCATCCACCCAACAGCATGTACTGAGCCATCCTGAGTGACATATGGGAATTTCCAGTCCCTTCCTCAAGGAGACTATGATAGTATAAATTCAGACGCTCAACACCTACTCATTGGTGCTATCTGCATGATTGCTTAGTTCAAGGATCTGGGGACACAGGGTCCCTTTGCTCATGAGCTGACACTCTAGACAGGAAGCCCAATAATGAAGTGGAGCTATTAATGTTTTATATTAGAAAACTCAGAAGTGCTAAGACAAGACAGTGTCTTAGCTGTAAGACACTGATGCCATAAGTTTTAGCATCATTTTTACTCTGTTTATCCGCCAGTGGGGTTGACCCTTGGGCAATTCCATCACGTGGACCTCGTTTCTGACTTTTGTTTGAAAGAACAGCATTGAGGGCTGGGTGTGGTGGCTCATGCCCGTAATCCCAGCACTTTGGGAGGCCAAGGCGCGTGGATCACAAGGTCAGGAGATCGAGACCATCCTGGCTAACATGGTGAAACCCCGTCTCTACTAAAAATACAAAAAAATTAGCTGGGCGTGGTGGCCGCTGCCTGTAGTCCCAGCTACTTGGGAGGCTGAGGCAGAAGAATGGTGTGAACCCAGGAAGCGGAGCTTGCAGTGAGCCGAGATTGCGCCACTGCACTCCAGCCTGGGCGACAGAGCGAGACTCCGTCTCAAAAAAAAAAAAAAAAAGAAAGAAAGAACAGCAAGCACTGAGAACAAATGAGGTGTGTGCCCACAGGTTGAGAGATGAGTTCACTTGTTGGTCATCATGGGGGAGATCTCAGCACCAAATGCTCTCTCTCCTAGGAAGTTGAAATCTAAAGACACAGGCCGTGCATGGTGGCTCACCGCTGTAATCCCAGCACTTTGGGAGGCAGATTGCCTGAAGTCAGGAGTTCAAGACCAGCCTGGCCGACATAGTGAAACCTCGTCTCGACTAAAAATACAACAATTAACCAGGTGTGGTGGCTGGTGCCTGCAGTCCCAGCTACTGAGGCATCTGAGGCAGGAGAATCACTGAACCCGGGAGGTGGAGGTTGCAGTGAGCCAAGATCACACCACTGCACTCCAGCCTGGGAGACAAGAATGAAACGCCATCTCAAAAAAAAAAAAAAAAAAAAAGGGAAGAAAATCTAAAGACAGAGTAACTCAGACCCTTAGAATAAAAGCACACAGAGATGTTGTCCAAATGGCCCCGAAACATTTCACATCAGCAACCATTCTTTTACTGGAATCACTACATGAAATGTAACATCATAACACAATTCCAGTATTAACTATTAACCAGACTCCAGCCGGAGCACTCAAATCACTTCTGTCTTCTTTCTAGTTGCCTAAGTCCCGTCCTGCTGTCCGAGAAAATGATTTGCTCTTTTTCTTTGCATACTAGGAAGAAGCCCTTCTCACCAGCACTGGGTTTCTTGGGGATTGCAGTGGGTTTCTTGTTTTCATTGTCTAAAGAGATAAGATATTTCAGTTAGTAAAAGTTGCAGCTGGGAAAACAAGTGTCAACTCTTTTGTGGTTAAGGATGTTTCATTTTCTTGGAAACAGTCGGAGAATGTTTTTAGCATTGTTTTTTCTCACCTGCCCACACCGAGCTGAGGTTTATACAACGACTCTTGAGCCCAGAAGACAGACACAGAGGCTGCTACCGGCCATGGTTTCCACAGAGACCAGGAGCCCCTTCTCCACTTCTTTTTTTTTTTTTTTTGAGACCAAGTCTTGCTCTGTTACCCAAGCTGGAGTGCAATGGTGTGGTCTCCGTTCACCACAACCTCTGCCTCCTGGGTTCAAGCGATTCTCCTGCCTCAGCCTCCCGAGTAGCTGGGCTTACAGGTGCATGCCATCACTCCCGGCTAATTTTTTGTATTTTTAGCAGAGATGGGGTTTCACCACGTTGGCCAGGTTGGTCTCGAACTCCTGACCTCAGGTGATCCACCCACCTCGTCCTCCCAAAGTGCTGGGATGACAGGCTTGAGCCACCGTGCCCAGCCCTTCTCCACTTCTTGACGTTGAATGGGACTATGACTGAGACATAAGCCAGGAAGGCAGGAGAATGGCAAAGTTAGGAGAAAAACTGCCCTTTTCAGAGCCCGAGATCTATGCATGAGAAGGAGAGACACCGGATTGATGGCTGAAAGGCTGTTCACATTTCTCATATGAAACACACTTTTGGCCCCGTCAGGCCTCTGCCTAGGCTGCCCCCTCTGAGAATGGAAGCCAATCAGGCAAATCAGGTGGAGGCTGTAAGACTAAGGGCACCTCCCACTGCAGGGAATGGTTGTTCCCAAGGGCCAAGAAGGGGTAGGTGGTCAGGAAAGAGATGATCCCCATCAGCACTGTTTCCGCTCAAACCATCTGCACTGCACCACAGGACATAAAATTAAAAGCTGGCGAGGTGCAGTGGCTCGTGTCTGCAATCCTCTCACGCCTCAGCACTTTGGGAGGCTGAGGTGGGAGGATTGCTCGAACCCACATGGTCAAGGCTGTAGTGAGACAAGATCCCACCGTGGCACTCCAATCTGAGCAACACAGTGAGACCCCGTGTTGCTCACTGTACCAGGTGAGGTGGCACATGCCTGTAGTCCCAGCTACTCAGCAGGCTGAGGTGGGAGGACTGCTTGAGCCCAGACGGTCAAGGCTGCAGTGAGCCAAGATCCCAACACTGCACTCCAACCTGAGCAACACAGCGAGACAGTGTCTCAGAAAAAAAAAAGTAAAACATAAAAAAGTGAAGAGGGTGGCTGGGCTCAGTGGCTCATGCCTGTCATCCCAGCACTTTGGGAGGCCAAGGCGGGCAGATCACAAGGTCAGGAGTTCGAAACCAGCCTGACCAACATTATGAAACCCCGTCTGTACTGAAAATACAAAAACTAGCTAGGCATGGTGGTGCATGCCTGTAATCCCAGTTACTCGGGAGGCAGAGGCAGGAGAATCACTTGAACCCGGGAGGCAGAGGTTGCAGTGAGCCGAGATCGTGCCACTGCACTCCAGCCTGGGTGACAGAGAGAGACTCCATCTCGGAAAAAAAAAAAAAAAAAATGAAGAGGGCTGTCCTGGGTTGAAAAGCATTCCTCCAAGATCCACACCCACCCCAAACCTCAATAGGTGATCTTACTTGGAAACAGGGTCTTTGCAGTTGTAATCAGTTAAGATGAGGTTATAATAGATTAGGATAGGTCCTAATGACTGGTGCCCTTATAGGAAGGAAATTTAGATACATGGAGACACAGGGAAGAGACCAGCGTTCACAAAGGCAGAGCCTACAGTGATGCAGCCACAAGCACAGGGACACGTGAAGCCCTCAAAAGCTGGGAGAAGCAGGAAGGATCCTCCCCTAGAGCCACCAAAAAGAACTGGATATAACTGCAGTGGATTGAGCAGTGGTCCCCGCAAAAGATATATCTACATCCTAAAGCCTAAAACCTGGTAATGAGACTTTATTTGGAAATAGGGTCTTTGCAGATGTGCTTAAGAGAAGGATCTTGAGATTAGATAATCCTGGAGTAGAGTGGCCCTAAACCCAATGACAAGTATCCTTGTAAGACAAAGAAAAGGAGACACAGACACAGAGGAGGAGGCCCCACGGAGAAGGAGGCAGAGACTGGAGTGATGCGGCCACAAGTCCAGGGACACCTGGAGCTCCCGGAAGCCGCAAGAGGCAGGAAGGACCCTCCCCTAGAGCCCCTAGAGGGAGCATGGGTCTGTCTACACCTTGATCTCAGACTTCTGTTGTCCAGGTCTGGAAGATGATAAATCCCTGTGGTTTAAGCCCCCAGTTGGTGGCACCTTTTTATGGCAGCCCCGGAAAACAAATACAAAGGGATGACAAGACCCAGAAGCTGATAGAGTGATAAGACGGAATTCCTTCAATTCCTTTTCCCATGCCCTTCACCGAGGGCTCTGGGTGAGGAGCGGGAGACAGGAAGAGCTGCAGAAGAAGGAAGGAGTGGCCCCATGGAGACAGCGGGTGCCGATTTCGAGAGGGAGGATGCCAGCACTGGATGCCCCTCTCTCCTGGGGACCTCCATTTGCTCACCTCCTCTAGACCCCTCCCCAAGGACCTGGCAAGTTTTTGCTCGGCCTCTGACCATCACAGGACTGTGAATTATTCCACCAGGGTGGTTCATTTATCTTAACAAGGGCATCTTGCTTTTCCTCGTCATCTATGAGTCTAGTTTTTATAATAAGGCAGGTGGACACATACAGGCGGACCTCCTTCACTGCACTTTGTCTTAAGGTGCTTTGCAAATACTGTGTGTTTTACAAACGGAAGGCCTGCAGCAACCCTGTGGCAAGCCAGACTCTCGGCATCATTTTTTCCAACAGCACGTGCCCCACTTCCTGTCTCTGTATCTGCATTTTTTAGCAATAAGGTATTTTCAATTGGAGTATACTGTTTTTAGAGGTAATGCTATTGCATACTTAATAGACTACAGTTGAGAGTAAACATAACATTTATATGTACTGGGAAGCCAAAAATTGCTATGACTCCTGTTATTGCGGTGGTCTAGAACCTAGCTGGAAATGGCTGGGATATGCCTGTATATACTATGTTAACATAAAATATTGACGGGATTTTAAAAAATGATGTTGATACTCACCAGGAAGGGCATCGGATAAATCGAAACCACCATCTAAGAGAGAAAAAAAGAGTCAACTTAGAAACAAGAAAAATAAAAATAAATTTGAATATTATAGAGATAAAAAAGATATGCGATTTTTCTTTTTGTGATATTTAAAACAGCAACTTAAAAAAATTTACAAGGTGCGTGATTTCTCTTCTCATTCTAAATATTCACTTCCATGCCTAAAAGTAAGAATATGTTAGCCTAGGTTTTAAATAAATGATGACCTTCAAGCTTAGTAGAAATTAAAATAGTGTAAAAACACGATCATTTTGTGTATTATTCTTAACAGGTCGTTCCTTTCAAACAGATGAATAACAATTTTGAATATGTACTGAAAACAACATGGGGAACAAAATTCTCCCTTTTTTATTGGCAACTTTCCTGTAATTACAAACCAAAATATAGTAGAAACACTAGACAACCCAGAAAGACACGTGCATTATGCATTAAAAAAAAATCTCATGGAATCCCACGGAATGAGGAAACTGGCATGCTGAATTATTGATAGGCTACCCTGTTTCTACAGTCTTTAATTACAACAATTTCAATGCTACTTCAACGTGGCTGGCCATCTCTGGCGCACTGAAGAAAAGCCAAATTCAGGAAAATTTGGAAAAGTCGACTTGGACTGTTTGGTCAACTGGAGGAAGAGTTAGGATAATCGTCAACATCCAGCGTCCCCACTCCTCAGCACCAAAGGCATACAACATCTCTCAACCGTCAGGAAGCACCTGGCGGTGGGTGGCGAGGGGTCCAAGAACAACCCGCAGGAGCCCTGTGAACACCGGAAGTGTGTCCAGTTCCACAACAGGTGCAAACGACCAGGCTATGCTCCTGCATGTATAAATGAAGCGTGCATGCATATGTCACAGGGGTATGTGTGTGTGAGTGTGCATGTATATTTGGGCATTTGCAGTGCACATGTATGTATTTGTGGGTTTTGTGTGCATGTATGGGGTGTGTAGGTGAGTTCTGTGTGTGCATATGTGTATGTGTTGTGGGTGCATATAGGCAGGTGCATGTATGTGTGGGTTTGTGTATGTGCATATGTGTAGGCGTGTTTTGTGTAAGTGTGGAGGTGTATTTTGTGGGTTTCTGTGTGTGTAGTGTGTTTTTTGTGTGCATATGTGTCAGTGCATGTTCATGTGGGTTTGTGTGTGCATATGTAGGTGTGCACAGTGTGTAGGTGTGTTTCTGTGTGCCTATGGATGCATGTATGTGTGGGTTCTGTATGCATGTGTGTAGGTGTTATGTGTGCATGTGTGTAGGTGCATGTATATGTGGGTTTGTGTGTGTATGTGTAGGCGGATGTAGTGTGTATATGTGTTTTTCATGTGCATGTGTGCATGTGTCAATATGTTTATGTGTGTAGGTGTGTTTGTGCATGTGTGGGTGTGTGCATTTGTGTGTTTGTGCCTGTGTGGGTGTGTGCATTTGTGGGTTTGTGTGTGTATGTGTAGGTGTGTGTAGTGTGCAGGTGTGTTTCCACGTGTGCATATGCATAGGTGCATGTATGCATGTGTTTGTGTGCACACATGTAGTTGTGTGCACGTGTGTGTATGGGTAGGTGAGTATAGTGTGAAGGTGTGTTTTGAGTATGTACATACAGGTAGGTGTGTCCACGTCTGCTTGTATGTCTGTGTGTGTGTGTACTCATGGCTGCGTGTGTGTTTCTGTGTGTGTCAACAATAAGTAGAAAGTAGACAAAACGCTCGGAACAGCTCTGTGGGCCCCATGCCGGCAACCAGAGTGGAGTCGTTTCCACAACCTCAGAGCCCTGAAATGGCTGTTTCCACAACAGGACACTTGCCAGACATCATAAATGCAATTACAGCTCCTCCTGCAGCATGCGGCAGATCTTTAGACGGTAGCAAGGGAGGATCCTACTGATCCAGAATAAACCATAAGGCAGGTACAGACACACGCACATATAAATATATATATGCACTCATGTTCATATGTTTCCATAGAAATCTGTAATTGTATTTTTTGAAGTATTTTTTTTCTTTATTTACATCTTACCTCGCCTATTTATTTGTGGTGCAAACAGTTCAAAGCTACTGTCTTAGGCATTTTCAAGTATGCAACGCATTCTTACTAACCACAGTCACCCTGAGTACAGTAGACCCCTGAACTTATCCCTTCCTATCTGATGGAAATGTTGTACCCTTTACCCATCATTTCCCCATTTCCCCCACCCCTCACTCCCAACCCCTTGGTCACCGCCATTCCACTCTGCTTCTGTGAGTTCAGTGGTTTTAGATTCCACGTAAGCGTGTTTGGGTCAGACGGTATTTGTCTTTCTGTGCTCGGCTTACTGCACTTAACATCATGTCCTCCAGTTCCATCCATGTTGTTGCAAATGGCAGGACTTCCTTCTTTTTTCTTTTTGAGACAGAGTCTCACTCTGTTGCCCAAGCTGGAGTGCGATGATCTTGGCTCACTACAACCTCCGCCTCCTGGGTTCAAGCAATTCTCCTGCCTCAGCCTCCTGAGTAGCTGGGACTATAGGCGCCCGCCCATCATGCCCAGCTAATTTTTTGTATTTTTACTAGAGACGGGGTTTCACCATGTTGGCCAGGCTGGTCTTGAACTCCTGACCTCAGGTGATCCACCTGCCTCAGCCTCCCAAAGTGCTAGGATGACAGGCATGAGCCACCGCACCCAGCCAACCTCCTTCTTTTTTAAAGCTGAATACCATTCCATTGTGAATATACCCTATTTTCTTTGTTCATTTAATAGCTTTATTGAGGCATAGTTTACATAGCATGAAAGGCACTTATTCTCACTGTGCAAATGAATGGCTTTTAGTGAATGTACAGAGTTGATATAGCACATTTTCTTTCTGCATTCATCCCTTGATGGGCTCTTCCATTGACTGCATGTCTTGGCTACTCCGAATGGTGCTGCAATAAACATGGGAGGGGAGTGTCTCTTTGACATACTGATTTCCTTTCCTTATCCCAAATAAACATATATATATATACACACATACACATACTATATATATATATAATACACACACATACTATATATACACATACTATATACATACATACTGTATATACACATACTATGTATACACACACTACATATATACACACCATATACATACATACTATATATACTATATATACATACTATATATACGAATTATATATTTATACAAATATATATATACACATATATATATTATATATATATAGACTTGCCCTGACTTGCTGGGAATACCCTGAAGGTTTAGAAGTCATCTCTGGGGCCGGGTGCGGTGGCTCACACCTGTAATCTCAGCACTTTGGGAGGCCAAGGTGAGAGGATCACGAGGTCAGGAGTTCGAGACCAGCCCAACCAACATGGTGAAACCCCGTCTCTACTATAAATACAAAAAAATTGGCCAGGCGTGGTGATATGCGCATGTAATCCCAGCTACTCAGGAGGCTGAGGCAGGAAAATCGCTTGAATCCGGGAAGTAGAGGTTGCAGTGAGCAGAGATCATGCCACTGCACTCCAGCCTGGGTGACAGAGGGAGACTCCATCTCAAAAAAAAAAAAAAAAAAAAAGTCATCTCTACATATCTTCATATGTAGATACATTAGTAGAGGGACTGCTAGATCAATTCGTAACTGTTTCAATTTCCTCAAAACTCTCTTCCCCGGAAATGACAGTGCTTCCTTGAAGGCTTACCTTTGTTAGTGCCTCAGCGGTAGACGTGACTTCTAAACCCTATGGGCATTCCCAGCAAGTCAGGGCAAGTCCCCACCCCCTCCACCCCAACAAAGAGATTCCAAGAGTCCATAATGTATTCTTTAGCAAGAAAGACATTCTCTTTAGAAAGGTAGGAAGACTTAATAATAAGCAGACAGAACTGTCAGAATGTTAAAGAAAAAAAAGCAGCAGCAATGACAAAAAAAAACCCCACACGTGAAAGTAAAGTACAGATATTATTTTAAGTGTAACCCTTCTTATTTCTGTAATTTCACCCTCATAAACAGAAGATGATCATAGACACCGTCACTAAAGAAACAAAACAAAGCAACATAGGACAATCCCCTTAAAGTGACTCATCCTTCCCAAGCTTCAGGAAATACTCAGAAACGGCAGTCAAGGGCGTACGAGACTCGGAAGGTTTCTAAGACCAGAGTCTTGTCTTCTCCCACTCCTCGCTCACAGCAGAACCCAGGAAACTCCAGTGTCAGGAGGTGGCCTCCATTCCCCAGGACACCCCACGGCCGGAACACAGTGGTAAAACTAGAACTCTCCTCCCAGGTTCCACCCCACACCCTGCACTCCCATGCCCAGCTGCCTGACACAGAACACGCAATCCTAGCATGAGGACTGCTATATATTTCCACAGAAAGGGCATGTCAGCTGCAAAATCGCAGGGCACAGGGAAAACACAGTATGATCTCGATGCTTCCCTCACATGGGAAATGTCACATGTGGTACACATTTTTTTTTTCAAAGACCCTCCTGGCTTGCTGGGTTTTTGCATCTGTCCCTGGGCCTCAGGGGGGCCATTTGCCCACCCAGGTGTCCCCAAGCTTCCCCCAACCACCTTCGGGTTTAGGTCCATGCTTCTTGCTGGGCACCTCTGCATTCAACAGCTCTTCATGTGCTCTTTGCAACCAAGCCACATTTTGGATTTTTTCCAATGCAGGGCCTGGGTATACGTGTGCATGTCTATGTACATGCATGTGCGTGTCTATGTACATGCATGTGTGTGTCTATGTTCATGCATGTGCGCGTGTGGATGTGCTCATGTGTACATGTGTATTTCATATACGCGTGCTCATGCATTCATGTGGTTTCTGTGTGTGCACGTGTGTGCTCCTGCACGTATGTGTGGGTGTATGGTGTGGGCACACATGTGCATGCATATATGTATTGCACTGCATGTGTGTGCACACGTGTTTTCATGTGCATTGTGAGTGTGCTGAATGCACACCTGTTTGCATGTGTATATGTGCACAAGTGCACTGCATGAATATATATGTGCATTTGTTCATGTGTCTGCGTGTTTGCCTGTGTGCTTGTGTGCATATGTGTGAGGGTGCTATCTGAGCACACACCTGTGTGCATGCATATATGGGTGTGCATGTGCACTGCAGGAGTATGTGCATGTGCTTGTGTGTTTTCATGTGTGCTCACGTGCACATGTGACTTGCTGTGTGGGTGCACACGTGTGCATGCATGCATATATGCATGGCATGAGTGTGCATGCATGTATGTGCCTGTGTATGTGTGCATGCACATGTGTGTCTGTCTGGTGTGTGTCCATGGCCTGCCACCTCCCCAGCCTAGCTTGCCCCTCCCATCCTCCTCCATCACCCTCAGAGTCCACCAGCCTTTTCCTCCACATGACTTCCCTGGTCATAGCCACTGAGCTGGGACCAGGTGTCACTTAGAAGCTTCCTCCTTTTCTTGCTCCACCTGCCCTCAGAGGCCACAGTGACGATGCTCTGGCTCACTTCATGTTCCTTCCACTGACCCCAATGCCCCCATGGACCCCACACAAACCCAGTTACAGGGGAGGGCACAGGCCCTCCCGCCACCAGTGTCACCCCCAGGCAAGCCTGGATTGCCAACTTCCCCTCTGCTTCAGGACTACGGCTGACGTCACCACTGAGTGTCCAAACCCACTGCTCCCCGGACCCCAAGCTCAGCCGACGGAGGTCCAAGACAACAAGTCTGAGAGTGGGTGGCAAAGGACACAGTATGCCCCTCACGCCCTTCTCCCCTTCTCCCACCCTCTGCCCTTAGCCCTAGTCCTTGGAGAACTCGCCTCAGCCCCGCACTTGGAGCTTGTCTTCCATTCTTATCTCTGTGCTGTTTCTACAGTTTTTAATTGAAACAATTTCAATGTCACTCCAGGATGCCTGAAGGACAAGGACACCAGAGGAGAGACAACCCCAAGCATTCTATCATCGACCTTGGGCCCTCGACCTCAGCTTCCATCGCTCAAGGCTCTGTCAGTCTGTCCCCTGCCTCCAAGGTCTCCTTTCTCCCAGATACAGAGTCCCACCCTCACCATTTTCTCCTCGGGTGACTAACACTTAAGACAGCTCCCCAAACACCACCCCACAGAGAGTAGGGAGGAAAGGGAGGTGACCCGCTCTCGATTTCATATAGACGTGGGCACCCTGAATCACCCATAATCAGACGTTCACTCCCTGGTGGAATCTGGTACTGCAGACACCTCTGAGGCTAATCTTCCAGGTGTGTGAGGGACACAGTTCCCTATGTATGTGAAGGGATGCAGTTCCCCAGGTGTGTGTGAGGGAGGCAGTCCCCCAGGTGTGTGTGAGGAAGGCAGTCCCCCAGGTGTATATAAATGGATGCAAATGCACGTGCTATTGGCTTGAAGCCTCATGGGGAAGCAAACCCAATCAATGATCATCAGTCAGTAAAGGAATCTCTGTAAATGAAGCTATCGTCTCCTAACTCAGTCCACTGCTCTCTTTATTGCCTAGGATTCATCTCCCAATTCATCACATTCCCTGAGCTTTCAGGTGGTAGGCAGGAAATTGCGGGCTCACAGCAGACACCCCCACTTGCCTTTTTGCTCCTGAAAACGACCTCCGGGGCTACAAATGTGAAGAAAACACCAACAAAACCCACCCAGCAAGAGCTGCAACCATGCCCTCAGAGAAGGAGCCTGGTGGAGAACTCAGGTGCCTGTGTTGCACGTTTACGGCATTCAGCCTCTCTGCAAATTTGCAAAGAGACCAGACCCTCAGCAGAACCCCCAACTGCCACTGCTGTTTCCACCCGGCCCTCTCAAAGCTCCAGATGTTTCCGGGACAGGGTAATGGCTCATCAGGGCAAGGCGGAACGGACGACAGATGGCATGAGTCAGTCTGACAAGACACTTTCTACTGATTCAAACCATGTTTACTTTTTCTCATCAGCCAGGCAACTCAAAAAACAGGACGAACCCAGAGTGAAGTCCCCGAGGCCACATGGGGTGTGTGAGTTCCTCTGCAACGTGACTAAGGCTTGCACTAATGCAGGAATGCACTCAACCGGGGCAAACGCAGGAGGAGAGCCAGTACCTGGGTTCTCTTTTTGCTGTTTTTTTCTTTTCTTTTCTTTTCTTTTGAGGCAGAGTTTTGCTCTGTTGCCCAGGCTAGAGTACAGTAGCATGATCTCAACTCACTGCAACCTCCACCTCCTGGGTTCAAGTGATTCTCCTTCCTCAGCTTCCCCAGTAGCTGGGACTATGGGCATGTGCCACCACATCCAGCTAATTCTTGTGTTTTTAGTAGAGATGGAGTTTCGCCATGTTGGCCAGGCTGGTCTCAAACTCCGGGCATCAAGTGATCTGCCTGCCTTGGCCTCCCAAAGTGCAGGGATTACAGATGTGAGCCGCCGCGCCCGAACACTTGGGTTATCTTAAACCCCATCATCACATCATTCAGGTGTTTCACATAAAATTAAAAATGAGCCAGGCGTGGTGGTGCACGCCCGTAGTCCCAGTTACTTGGGAGGCTGAGGCAGGAGAATCGCTTGAACCCGGGAGGTGGAGGTTGCAGTGAGCCGAGATCGCACCACTGCACTCCAGCCTGGGCGACAGAGTGAGACTCTGTCTCGAAATAAATTAATTAATTAATTAAAAAAAATTAGGCAGTTCCAAGATTCCTGTAACTTTCAGATTTTCATAAGAATAACACAATCATTACATAGTAACAGCAGCAGCCAGGGACATCATTTAAGCAGTGCTCTGTGTGTGCCTGCAGCTTTCTCAATAATGCCGTTCATCTCCATTAAGGGTGGGAGGATGAAGACCCGCCACTGGCCTGGGTGTCCCTGCTGAAAAATGTCCAATTCACTCAGCCCCAGCATCACCCCAGGGTGTTCACACCTGCTGCTGGCCACTCCAGTACTCATCTGCTCCTGCTGGTTTTCCACACCCTTTTCCAAAGCCCACTAAACACGAAACTTTCAGGACATTGTAGAAAAGGAGGAGGAGGTGGTGCAGAGGGCACGTGTGTGCTCTTTACTTGCTGCTGAGTCCTCTGATGCCAAGCAAAGGCAAAGCGTTTTTTGTTTTTTGTTTTTTCCTTTTTTTGAGACAGAGTGTCTCTGTGTCACCCAGGCTGGAGTGCGGTGGCCCGATTTTGGCTCACTGCAAGCTATGCCTCCCGGGTTCACACCATTCTGCTGCCTCAGCCTCCCGAGTAGCTGGGACTACAGGTGCCCACCACCACGCCCGGCTGATTTTTTTGTATTTTTAGTAGAGACTGGGTTTCACCGTGGTAGCCAGGATGGTCTCGATCTCCTGAACTCGTGATCCGCCCGCCTCGGCCTCCCAAAGTGCTGGGATGACAGGCGTGAGCCACCGCGCCCGGCTCTTTTTTTTTTTTTCTTTTTAACGTTTTGGAGGTCGAGTGGAACCAGTCACATGGTCTGACCCTAAAAACTTTCATTCCAGGTTTGGGGGGCCTCGGGAAGGGTCCCCAGCCTAGAGATAATTGTAGCTCAGAATGCTGCAAGAGAAAATGCCTCCACATTGGAGCAAGCACCGGAAGTCCTCCTGTGTGGGAATAGCAGGAGGCAGCTGATACATTTCATTTTACTATTTTATTCAAATGGTCAAAACACCCTTACTTTTCTGTTGCTATAAAACCGAATCGCTCTGGAAGTATTGTCCTCTTTTTCAAGATGTGTCATTTAACACCGGGCAGACGATCGGTCACAGGGCACAAAGCGTCCATGAGACAGGACAAATAACTTCAGGAAAGCTCAGAGACACCATGGCGACTGCAATTAGTAACAATGGCTTGAATATTTGAAAACGACTAAAGGAGCCCATTCTGAATAAGTGTTCTCACCACACACAAAAAAGTGCTGCAAAGTCTGTGAGGTCATGCATATTTAAATCCATCTCACCATGGATACATACATCAAGACACCATGTGCAACCGCATAAACACATACAATGTGTATTTGTCAATTAAAAGAAATAAACACATCATTTAAAAAAATCTGGCGCTGAGATCTTACCAAACATATTGTAAAATTACAGAAAAGAGCTTAATAGTGTCATAAATAGTTTCAGGAATACACCAGAGTGTCATAGTCTCAGAAATACTCCAGTGCTGGGTCCAGCTTCCCGTCAGTAACAGGATGTGTGCCAGTGACTGCATATCTGAGTACAGAAAACACAATGTGCCAGATCACAGACAAGTGCAAGGAACTCCGAGTTCACCAAACATCCTACACTTTAGATTTAACCGCTGAGTCCAGCGCAATCTGTTCACCCCATGGAAAGCTATGAACGCAGTGGGTGATAGTGGCCGCCGGGCCCTGGAAACACTCTCTGCTAGCAAACTATGGAAAGGGAAGGGCTTCATGTCTGTAGCAATAGTTAAACTCGTCTCTCTGTCTTCTTAGCTTGAAAATTATACATAGGTGGCCGGGTACAGTGGCTCACGCCTATAATCCCAACACTTTGGGAGGCCAAGGTGGGAGGATTGCTTGAGCCCAGGAGTTCAACAGCAGCCTGGGCAACATGATGAAACCCCGTCTCTACAAAAAATGCAAAAATTAGACAGGTGTTGTGACGCACTCCCATGGTCCCAGCTACTTGGGAGGCTGAGGCGGGAGGATGGCCTGCGCTTGTGGAGGTTGAGATTGCAGGGAGCTGACACTGCACCACGGCACTCCAGCCTGGGCAACAGAGAGAGACCCTGCCTCCAAAAAATAGGCAGGGCATGGTGGCTCACTCCTGTAATCCCAACACTTTGGGAGGTTGAGGCAGGCAGATCACTGAGGTCAGGGGTTCGAGACCAGCCTGGCCAACAAGGCAAAACCCCATCTCTGCTAAATTAGCTGGGCATGGTGGCGTGTACCTGTAGTTCCAGCTACTTGGGAGGCTGAGGCACAAGAATCTCTTGAACTTGGCAGATGGAGGTTGCAGTGAGCCGAGACTGTGCCACTGCACACTAGCCTGGGTGATAGAATGAGACTTTGTCTCAAAAAAAAAGAAAGAAAAGAAAAAAGAAAAAGATTATATGCAGGTGGTTAAACTGCATATACTTCCTTGTCTGCGGTGGCCTAAGGTACAAGGTAACATCTCGGCTTCATCCTAACTAGGACGACGGCACAAGGGTATAGACGTGAAAGAACAAGCTCTTTCCTGTAATTTTACAATATGTTTGGTAAGAAGTGGGAAACTTTCTTTTGTTCGTGTGCCATAACTCTGGGAACGTCCCCTGAGCTACGCCAAGTTTTACAAGAGGCCAAAGAATGGTGTGAATGTTTGGGCTGGGCTGAGCACGCCTCACACCGGCAGTTCTCAGAATCGCCCTGCGAGGGACCTGGGGAGACGTGGAATCCTGGGTCTCACCCCCAGACATTTTCGTTCTGTGGTCTGGGGTGAGGCTCATGAGCCTGCATTTTTAACAAACTCCAGGGTGATGCTGAAGGACCCCGCCTTCAGGAGTTCTGAGGCTCAGACAACAGCAAGGCAGGGCTGCTCGGGGTTCCCTGCTCTCCGTCCCTGTCACCCCTTCCACAGGCAGATGCCAGCCCAGATCCCATCCCTACAGGAAACTGAGTGATCACCCCCCAAGGCTAACGTGGAAACACCGGAAACTGACTTAGGGGCCTCAGCACTTTTTCCAACTTCATCCCAGCCACTCCCCGACTGCTGATCTCCTTTCAAAGTGGTCTCTGCCCTGCAGTTTTGGACTAGCTTGAAATAACCCCTCCGCCGGTCCCAACTATTAGCAGTTCACAGAGCCCTGTGTGTCTCTGTAAAATGATGTGAGGCCAACACACACACACACACACACACACACACACACACACACACACACACTTAACAGCTCGGTTTGTTAATTACAGCTTTGTTATTCAAAGCAGTTACGTTTTATAAAGTCTCAGCGAACACTGAATTAGCGAATAGTGAACTATTGCTCCCACGTAAATACAGGACTACGTTCCCAGAGGTCATGAACCAATCACTACCTAAGCGCGTTTTATGTGGGTTTCTGTTTAAAGACACCGCAGTGAATAGACATTGTGGAGTCACTCACATTGATCTCGAAGCCAACAGCACTATAACTCGTGCCTAAATGACGCTCATCAAATGTGTATTTTCCCCGTGAGACCATGCCAGCTTTCCTGTACTTAGGGACGCTAGGTAGCATGTCAGCACCGACTTGGGGATATTTGAAAGCGCAAAATCACTGACAAAAAGCACGAAAACACAAAACACGGGACACCAAATAGACCTTGCAAAGAACCCTGTTGACAGTACGCGCTGGCCCGAGAAGGCAGGGTCTGGCTTTGTTGAACCTCAGCTGAGAACATGTGCTATTGAGAAGCTCAATTCTGGCCAGGTGTGGTGGCTCACGCCTGTAATCCCAGCATTTTGGGAAGCCCAGGCGGGTGAATCACTTGAGGCCAGGAGTTTGAGAGCAGCCTGGCCAACACGGTGAAACCCCGTCTCTACTAAAAATACAAAAATTAGCCAGGCGTGGTGGCTGTAATCCCATGCCTGTAATCCCAGCTACTCGGGAGGCTGAGGCAGGAGAATCACTTGAACACAGGAGGCGGAGGTTACAGTGAGCCAAGATCACGCCACTGCACTCCAGCCTTGGCGAAAGAGGGAGACTCCATCCAAAAAAAATAAAAAAAAAAAGTTCAATTTTTTTGCCGTTCTGTGCATGAACAAAATAGCCGAGGGTAAGGAGAAGAACATAAAGGGTAACTATTGGGTCCTGGGTTTAATACCACAGTGATGAAATAATCTGTACAACAAAACCTCATGACACATGTTTACCTAAGTCACAAACTTTCACATGTATCCCCGAACCTAAAATGAAAGTTTAAAATAAAAAAATTAAATGCCAGGAATATTGATGTGGGGATGACAAATACATTTTAGTAAGCAGGCAAGTCACAAATACAGAATCACTGAATGATGAAGATTGCGTGTACCTAGGTTAAAACAAGTTAATAACAGTATTTCTCATGGTGTCCAAAATATATCATTGTCTTTCTCAGAAAATTTAAAATCTCTTCCCCTCTGCAGCATCTTGTGAATTTGGTTGTTACACCATGGGACTGATACAGGGGCATCCTGGGGGTGGGGTAGGGGTAGGGGGTCACAGAATTTGGGCCCCTCGTCTGCCTCATTGGATCCTCTACCTGGCCATGAAAGCCCATTCCTTCTTTCTGAACCTGGAAAATGTCTATTCACCCCTCAAGGCCCTGGGAGAATGTCACCTTCTCCAGGAAGCCCTCCGTGATCCTCTCCCTAGCCCACCTGAAGCGCTTTCTCACAAGTATTACCAGAGGTGATCTGTAAGCACATTACAGTTTAAGGAGCACAGCTCCGCACCCCAGTTCTCAACTCCAGCAGCAAATTACACACATCTGTGGGGTTTTCCTAAGTCCTGATGCCCAGGCTAATTAAATCAGAAACTTTCCAAGGTGAGATGCAGGCATCTATATTTTAAAGCCTACCCATGTGATGCAAACGTGTGGTCAACTCTGCAGGCAGGGACCTGTTACAGATTTTAACTTCCTCAATATCTCCTAAAATAGCTTGTGCCTTCTCTTCTATCTCCACTGACTTATCCACGCTCTGCCAAAAATAGCCCCAGCCCCTCCCACCTGTTCTGCATGCTGTTACCCAAAGACGGGCCTTAGGCAGGTTAAGCGTCCCCGCACAGCTGTCTGCGTCAAACCCTTCAGGGGAGCTTAAATCTGCACTCCTCAGCAGTGGCAACAGAGGTTGCCCACCATCTGGCCCCTGCAGCTCCTCTAGTCTGAGATGAACTGCAGCTGCCCCATCATCACTCTTACTGCTTGTCTACCAGGCTGAGAAGAGGCCCTTCCTCTTCCTTACACCTGGTTTCCTCTGCTCATTCTTGGAAGCTCAGTGTCCAGGGAGGGCCCCTCCTGGGAGAACTCTCTCTGACCCCCTGAACAAGTGTAGTCCCTGCTCTGTGCCTCCAGACATCCAGGCCTTCCATCCACAATGGTGCTTTTATGCCCAAATTGATGCCCTGGTTGTTACCTCCAAAGCAGAGAACAAAAAACAGGGACCACAGCAAATAGCACCAATAGTACATTTAACTTCAACCTATGCTGGCTGAAGGAATACATGAAAGAGCCATGGACTGGGAGGGTGGATGGACAGGCAGGTAAGTGGATGGATGGGTGGGTGGGTAAATGGGTGGGTGGATGGATGGATGGATGGATGCATGCGTGGGTGAGTGGATAAATTAGTGAGTGGGTGGATGGTTGGGTGGACAGCTGGGTGGATGGATGGGTAGTTGGATGGGATGAGTGGAAAGATGGGCAGTAAGGGGATGGATGGAGGTAAGGGTGGATAGGTGGATGGATGGTTGAGTGGATAGATGAGTTTAGGTGGGTGAGTAGGTAGGTGGATGGATGGATGAATGCATGGATAAGTGGATGGATGGGTAGTTAAGTGGATGAGTGGGTGGGTAGACGGATGGAGGTATGGATGGATGGTTGGGTGGATGGATGGTTGGGTGGGTGGATGGATGGGTGGGTGGGTGAGTAGGTGGATGGATGGATAGATGAATGGATGGATGGATGAACAGATAGGTGGATGGATGGACAGATGGATAGATGAATGGGTGAACGGATAAATGGATGGATGGTAGATGGGTAAATTGATGAAAGGATGGGTGAATGGATGGATAGATGAGTGGATGGTGGACAGATGGATGTATCAATTGATGAGTGGCTGGATGAACTAAAAGGATGGATGCATGGATGATGCATGGATGGAAAGATGAATGGAGAATGGATGGATGGATGGACAGGTGCATTAACGGATGGATAAAGGAATGGGACGACGGATGGATGGATGGATGGATGGATAAATGGATGGATGGATGCACGCATGGATGGATGGATGCATGGATGAATGGATGGATGGGTAAATGAATGGGAGGATGGGTTGATGGATGGATGGATGGACGAACGGATGGATGGGTAAATGAATGGGAGGATGGGTTGATGGATGGATGGATAAAAGGAGGATGCATGGCTGGATGGATGCATGGATGCATAAATGGATGGATAAATGGATGGAAGGACACATGGATACCTAGAACACGGAGACCCTGAGGAGCTGGAGAGGCCTCAGTGACTGGTCTAAGTTCACCACCAGGATTCAAGGGAGTTCTCTTCCATATCAAAATGCCCATCACTGATTCAGGACATTCTCCTCCCCTTCAAGTCACACTAGTGGTGAAGGCAGGCATCCCTCAAGGTCCACAAGGCCGTGCCTGGGGAGCTCTGTTCAGCCCACACACGCAGCCACCAACTCCCAAGCCCAGCAACCCCTGTGCCCACGTCTCACCACCAACAGAACTCATGTCCACATGCATTTTTCCCCATGCTGACCATGTGATCACCAGCAAGCTCCTGAACTCTCTGACCCCAGTGTCTTTATCTACAAAAGGCCCATGAGAAATATCTTAAGGGCTCGCTGAAGATGAAATAACAAACTGAATGCTCTTTGAAAAATGTAATCCATGGCATAGACATTCACATCCGAGAGGCGGTCATGGGAAATCTCATGTAGGAGGGAAGAAACAGAATATCTAGTAAAATAACAATGATTCTTGACAACTCAGCCACACATGAAGACCCTCCGAGGGGCTTTTTAAAAATTCCTAATAGCGGGATGCAGTGGCTCCCGCCTATAAACCCAAGACTTTGCCAGGCCAAGGCAGGTGGATGGCTTGAACTCAGGAGTTCAGGACTAAACTGGGCAACATAGGGAGACCCTGTCTCTACAAAAAATGAAAAATTTGGCTGGGCGTGCCAGCTCACGCCTGAGGGAGGCTGAGGCAGAAGAATCACTTGAACCTGGGTGGCAGAGGTTGCAGCGAGCCAAGATTGCATCGCTGCACTCCAGCCTGGTGACAGAGTGAGACTCTGTAATTTAAAAAAAAAAAAAAAAAAAAGGCTGGGCGCGGTGGCTCACACCTGTAATCCCAGCACTTTGGGAAGCCGAGGTGGGCAGATCACGACGTCAGGAGTTCGAGACCATCCTGGCCAACATAGTGAAATCCCGTCTCTACTAAAAATACAAAAATTAGCCAGGCGTGGTGGTGCGTGCCTGTAGTTCCAGCTACTCAGGAGGCTGAGGCAAGAGAGGCACTTGAACCAGGGAGGCGGAAGTTGCAGTGAGCCAAGATTGCACCAAGGCACTCCAGCCTGGGCAACACAGCAAGACTCTGTCTAAAAAAAAGAAGAAGAAGAAAGAAAAGAGAGAAGAGAAAACAAAAGAAAAGAAAAGAAGAGGAAAGAAAAGAAAAAAACAAAAAGAAAGAAAAGATTAGCTGGGTATGGTGAGGTGCACCTGTGGTCCCAGCTTCTTTCGAGGCTGAGGTAGGTGGGCTGCTTGAACCCAGGAGGTTGAGGCTGCAGTGAGCTATGACTGTACCACTGCACTCCAGCCTGGGTGACAGAGCAAAATCTTGTCTCAAAAAAAAAAAAAAATTAAAACACCTAACACGTCTATAAACCAGACTACCCAGGTAACCCTGGGCAAGAGTGACGTTTCCAAGCTTCCCGCAATGGGGCCAAAGCTGAGAACCTCGGATCTAGGTCAGCAAGAGCTACTGGAGGGTGGTCAAGCAGGTTTGTGTCTGAAACCATCACTCAGAAATCAGGAATGCAGGAGGGATGGGCATCACAGTTACTGGTGTGTTTTTAGCCTGGACTCTGTAGGATTAAAATATGTCCACCAGCCTGGGCGACAGAACAAAACTCTGTATCTACAAAAAAGGTAAAAATTAATTGAGTGTGGTGGCATGTGCCCATAGTCCCAACTACACAGAAGGCTAAGGTGGGCAGGTCACCTGAGCCTGGGGGTTCGAGGCTGCAGTGAGCTGAGATCACACCACTGCACTTCAGCCTGGGCGACAGAGTGAGATCCTGTCTCAAAAAAAATGATTGCAGGCTGAGCATGGTGGCTCACGCCTGTAACCCCAGCACTTTGGGAAGCTGAGGCGAGAGGTTTGCTTGAGCCCAGGAGTTCAAGACCAGCCTGGGCAATGTAGTCAGACTCCGATTCTACAAAAAGATTTTAAAAATTAGCTGAGGGTGGCACATGCCTGTGGTCCCAGCTCCTTGGAAGGCTGAGGTGAGAGATTCACCTGCACCCAGGAGGTCAAGACTGCAGTGAGCTACAATCGTGCCACTGCACTCCGGCCTGGGCAAGTCTAAAAAAAAAAAAAAAAAGAAACAAAGAAAAAAAAAGATTGCAAGCCACTGCCCGGTGATATGTTTATGATATGATGAGTGTCTAGGGGCTTGTGGTTTAAGAGTAGAAACCGCTTCCCATAGGTGGCTGTAGCTGTCCATCTTGTCTGTCTATCGGATGCTATGTTAGTCCCAAAGGACCACAGCCTCTTGAGTAAAGACCTCAACACAGGGGGCCTCTACCTTCATTGCCACCTCGGCACGGTCTCAAAAGACAGATGTTCATATCCATCTCCTGCTTGCCCAGATCCAAATCCCTCCCTGTCCTGCTATTCTATGAGTCTGCACTAAATGCCTAACACTTCTCTCCGAGTGTTCAATTGCTGAGAACATTTTGTGCTGAATTCATCGAAGACAGCCCTGTGTTAATTCATATTTAGAACCCAACCCATTTCCCCCAGAAGAAGACAGCTAGCAACAGCAGCAGAAGAGGCCGACTGGCAATATTTGGGTTCTGGCAGTAGTTATAAAATCTCTATGCCTCCAAGTCCATTGGCCCTAAAAGACAATGCAGTGTGTTTATTCTTGTCATCATTCCAGTCCATCGTGTTCCAGTCCATCGTGCAGAAACGAAAGCTCCTTCTGGTCAGCATCCCCTCGTGGATCAATGCTTGCCAGGGTGCATTTGGACAATAATTTTGCAGGGTCAGGCAAAGCAGAAACAAACAAGAGTCAGGCTACCTGGGCAAACTCAGGTGTCGCTGATGAGTAATGCCTGCAGAACCCTCTGGCCAGTCTGCTGCCTCCTCAAGAAGGGCTGTTAGCTCAACCAGATACACTATTATCAGCTTTTAAACAGCGCTTTGGAGCAACAGCTTTACTCCCCGAAAAGATGCAGAAAATCAGACTCTTTCAGGTGATTCTCAAAAACAGGGGACCCACCCCAGCCCACGACACCATTCAAAGTTGAGAAAGCAAAGTGAATTAAAGGGGTTTGCAACCGCTTTCAGACTCATCCAGCTGCCGTCCACAATGACAAACATATATTATATCTCAGCCCAGCCCACCGGGACAGAGGGAGCGGAACAAAAGCTTTGCCCATGCGGCTTCTTTAGCAAGGCTTTCCATGTACCCTGTGGGCATTTTCTCCTCTCCTCTGTTGAATTTTCTTCTTTGCAAGGTGGGTGGCTGCAAGCTACTTTCACAGCCCACTTGAGAAACACTGGTTTGAATCTGACTCTGGGGGAGAAGAAAGGAAGTTTCTGGTTTCCTGCTAAGCGGAAACTTTAATACTATGACTAGGAGACCGTACAAGGCATGGTGGCAACCCTGAGTCATACTAAAACAAAGCCGAAAAACACACCCATGCACCATCTCCTCAAAACTCACCAAGGAACCAAGCCAAGAAAGAATACTGAACAGGAAATTCAAGAAGAGGAAGTCCTTCTGGTCTCTAGAGATGTGAAAAGATACCGTCAGTTGGACAAATGGGAGTAGAAATGCTGGTGAGCTACCATGTTTCAGCCAAGAGACTGGGAATAAATCAAAAAAGAATACACTTTAGGAGGCCGAGGCGGGCGGATCACCTGAGGTCAGGAGTTCGAAACCAGCCTGGCCAAGATGGTGAAACTCCACCTCTACTAAAAAAATACAAAAATTAGCCAGGTGTGGTGGCGGGCACCTGTAATCCCAGGTACTCAGGAGGCTGAGACAGGAGAATTGCTTGAACCTGGGAGGCAGAGGTTGCAGTGAGCCGAGATCGCACCATCGCACTCCAGCCTGGGGAAAAAGAGCGAGACTTCATCTCAAAATAAAAAGAAAAGAAAAGAAAGAATATCAGCAAATCCTCAAGCCCTGGACAGCCTGCAGCCTGCAGCTACACCAGCAACGATGAGCCCACATTCACAAGCAATCCGAACCCCACCTCCCCAACTGGGAGAACAGAGGTGAAGCACGGAAGACAGCAGAAAATCCACATGGGCCTGGGACATGGAACACAGGACTCAGAATGAACAAGCTTCAATAACCAGCCTTTCTCTGCCATTTTGTTGCTGCCCCTGAAGACTCAAAGTCCTTTGTCTTTCTCTGCCAATTCTCTAAAAATGGACTGTTCTTTGTTGAGGGTACTAGAGCAGCTAGAATCCAAGCCACTTCCTTGAAAACTACCCATTTCTAGGTATCTCTCATGTATCAATGAAAAACGCATGTTAATAAAGTTTGGTTTGTTTTTCCCTGTCTTTGGTTAGAGGAGTCACTTCCAAATAAGAATGTAGGACAGTTGATTTTTACAATGATTTTTCAGGTGGCTCACACCTGTAATCCCAGCACTTTGGGAGGCCAAGGTGGGCAGATCACTTGAGGCCAGGAGTTTGAGGCCAGCCTGTCCAACAGGGTGAAACACCGTCTCTACTAAAAATACAAAAAATAGCCAGGTGTGGTGACATGTGCCTGTATTCCCAGCTATTCAGGTGTCTGAGGCAGGAGAATTGCCTGAGCCCGGGAGACACAGGTCGCAGTGAGCCAAGATCCTGCCATTGCACTCCAGCCTGGGTGACACAGTGAGACACTGTCTCAAAAAAAAAAAAAAGACTTTTTTTTCAGTCTGGGCAACATAGCAAGACCCTGTCTCTACAAAAAAATTTAAAAGTGGCCAGGCACAGTGGTGTGTGCTTGTAGTCCCAGCTACTACAGAGGCTGAGGTGGAAGGATTGCTTGAGCCCAGGAGGTGGAGGCTGTAGTGAGCCCTGATTGCACCCCTGCACTCCAGTCTGGGCAACAGAGACCCCACCTCAAAAAAATATTTTTCAGCCTGGTCAACATAGTGAAACCCCTTCTCTACTAAACATACAAAAATTAGCCAGATATGCAGTGCATGCCTGTAGTCCCAGCTAATTGGGAGGCTGAGGCAGGAGAACTGCTTGAACCTGAGATGGAGAGATTGCCATGAGCTGAGATCGTGCCACTTCACTCCAGCCTGGACAACAGAGGAAAATTCCATCTCAAAAAAAAAAGACTTTTCCTCCTTCGCACCCCGAGAGACACACAGGTCTTATTTCTTACTGTGTCTATAAATCACAAAGGACACGTAATTCTTTTCCCCTAAAGTAACAAGAGTGCTCAGAACATTTTCAGCAGGACTGAAAACCAGCACAAGGTCCACGTGGCTACTGAGAAGTCTATTTCCCCGGGGGAAGATATCTGAGTCCGAAAACATTCCAGACAGTATCCATGAAATCCCGCCATGATTCCTAAATGCTGAATTGGGAAAAGTATTGTATGAGCTGCATTTCTTTCTAAATGACAGCATGTACCCACCATAGGACCTTCAGGAAGAAAAATGATTTCCAGACAAACAATCATTTACTTGAGTATCTCCAAAGTGTAAAGACATGTATTTGTCTTTACATGAAAACTCTGTCTCATACACAGAGAAAGGAGAAAGAGCTAAAGCAGGAAGTTTTTTTTTTTCTTTGAGACTGAGTCTCTCTCTGTTACCCAGGCCATAATGCGGTGACACGATCTCAGCTCACTGCAACCTCTGCTTCCCGGGCTGAAGTGATTTTCCTGCCTCAGCCTCCTGAGTAGCTGGGATTATAGGCGCTCACCACCACGCCCGGCTAATTTTTGTATTTTTAGTAGAGTCGGGGTTTTGCCATGTTGGCCAGGCTGGTCTCGAACTCTTGGCCTCATGTGACCCACCGGCCCTCGGCCTCTCAAAGTGCTGGGATTTACAGGCCTGAGTCACCGTGCTCGGCCTAAAGTAGGGAGTTAAATGCAAAGCAATCAACTTTTACCAGAGCCAAACGCGCTGATGGAAAATCAAGGCAAACTCGCTGGATGATAAAACCCACTTCCTCTGCCCAGAAACATTCTCCTAATAACTTCCACACACACCCACAGGGGCAGGAGACAAGAGCTCTGGAGAGAGTTAAAAAAAAAAAAAAACAACGAAGCCCACACTTGCTCTACTGGGGCGAGGGAATCCTGAAGAGGCCTGGTATTGTTCAAGAGATGTCGGTTCCGTAGATGTTTGGAGTTTTTCAAACCGCACAGGCCGCTGTGCCGTTGCCCCGGGGGGTGGGGCAAATCAGCCTTTGCCAGAGAGCAGGGATGCATCGGATGTGTGCGACTCTACTGTCGGGACGGCAGGCTCCTAACTGCAGGGGCAGCCCTGAATCAGCGCATACATGCAACTCCCAAGCCCTCCTCAGGGTTTTCCACCCTCAACACCACTGGCATTTGGGACCAGATGAATTCTTTGTGCTGGAGGCCGTCCTGGCCCTTGAAAGATTCTGAGCAGCTTCCCTAAGCTGCCCCACCCATTGCAGGATGGTGGGATGTCCCACCCCAGGGTGGCAACCAAAAATGTCTGCAACCATCACAAAGTGTCTCCTCGGGGCCAACGTCGCCCTGTGGGGACATCCTGCTCTCTACAAAGCTGAAGCCTCCTCTTTTCCTCTATACACCTCCCTCTGTCCATCCATCCCTCACCACATCCCACCTGTACCCCTGAGAATTTATGAAGGAACCAAGGAACACAGGGTCCCCAACACTCTGAGATCAGGCCAGAGCTATCAGCACCAGTCTGAGAACCTACTTCAGGCTCAACGGGGTTTTGCAGCCTGATGCACGTTGCTATAAGAAAGTGTGTTCTGAGCATCACCAACTCAAAAGTCAACTTTCCCGATGAAACGTGTATTAATATTATTGGGACAGGCTGTTTCTGTCTCCATCTCTAGCAGGGTCAGACTGCAAAGAAGGGGTGAGAAGCGTCCCTCAAGGAGATCCATCAGTGCTGACGGCCAGGCCCTCCTCTGCAATTGGAAGGATAGGTTGGCCCCTGTTATGCCCCTATCCCACTGCTCTTCCCTACCCACCCACCCCATAGACAGGTACTCTTCCCTTTACTCAAAGCATCAGCAGCTGGAGTTCCTAAGCCCAGTCTGCTTCCAAAATCAGGAGTTCCAGATGAACACTGCTGTGGGTTTAAAAACTGTGCAACGCCAATGAGCCGACATCGTGCCACTACACTCCAGACTGGTGACAGAGTGAAACTCCGTCCAAAAAAAAAAAACCACCACCACCAACAAAAACAAAAAAACTGTGCAACGACTTGTTTGGGGCTTAGAGAATATAAGGCTTTCCACTCACTCTGCTCCAATGACCTGGAACGCCAGACCAGCCGGCAAATCTGTCCCTAGGGCTTCAAAATCCAGCCAAGCCCCTCACCAAGATTTACCACTGGGAACCCCTGAGTTATTTCGTGATGGAACTATAAAGGTCCCTGTGGCCCTGTCTCCCGTCTGCCTGTTCAGATGCCTCTGTTCTCCAGGAAACTGAATTCTTAGGCCACCAGCACTCCCTTGGATATATTTCCCTGACCCCAAGCCCACAGTAGGTGCAAAAGAAGGAAGGCAGGCATGAAGGATGAAGGAATGCATTCGCAGAGAGACAAGTGAAAAACCCGTTCATCTGCAGGTGCCTGGGGAACAAATGCAGCTGATAAAACCCTACAGAGCCATCCCGTCCGTGGTGACAGGTTGCCCGCAAGAAGGACATTTAGGAAGAAAAGGGAGAAACAGGAAGCTCTGCTTGGAACCTCCCCTGCAGGCTGGAAAGTCCTCCAAGTTTTCCTCTACGGAGCAGGCTTCATTATCTCTAATCTCTACCAAGTGAAAGCACAATTTCTAGGATACCCGGGACCCCTTTAAAGAGGGTGTAAATCCATTAGCAACTCCTCCCTAAAAATAGAGACCCGGCCTAGTCACCGCAGCTCTAGGCTGAGCTAGATCCTATCAACACAAATCGGGCCTCCTCCGTCCTCCCCAGGGCCGGGCGTTCCCGCGTCTCCTTCCTAAATACGTCCAGCCCTGATAAGGCCCGTCCTGAAGTCCACACTGCCCGCAAGCCGGTCTACTTAAAAGCCTGCCCATACGAAGAGCAAAAAATGCACTGACCATTGAAAAAAGAATTTATAACATGAAAAAAGAATTTATAACATACCACATCCGGCAGGGTCTCCGTTTCCGTTTCAAAGGGAGGGAAACAGAAAAACATGATTAAAGTAATAATTAGAAATAGGCCCGGTTTAGGGCGTGGGAGGGTGACCGTGGCTCTTTCTTCCCTGCCCACTTTTTCTGTTTTCCGAATTCTCCACCGCCGCAGATGGACAATTTGGTAAGCACACGTTTCTTTCTGCGCCCCGTGTTGCTTGGCGCACAGCACGCGCTGAAATTCCCGGAGCCCGCATCCACAGAGTATTTTTGAACATTTTCAGGGCTCAAAGTTTTTTTCTAACTTTTCCTTCCCTTCCCCCCACCACCCGGGTCTCAGGCTCCTAGCGATTCCAAATTTAGGCCCGGGACGCAGGGCGTGGCTGTGACAGGCAACTCCAGGGCGGCCTCCGCGCGCGGCCTGAAGACGCAGGTCCCCAAACCCTGGGGGTAGATAACGGGGTGGGGTGAGGGGCTCATGCAAAGGGAGAGAGATCTGTAAGAAGGTCCCCTAGATTGGGAAAAATCGGACGCACCTCTCCCAAGGCCGCCCCACATGTAAGAGTTTGCAACTCCGACAACAAACGCTGACTTTTCTCTCTGGAACGGCTCCAGGAAAAGCGTTGGGGAGAAAGTGGGCGCCTCCTCCGGGCCTGGGCCCCCGTGGGCACAGCGCGTCCTGCCGGGCAGGGAGGAGGCTCCGGGTGTCCCCGCGGGGCGCCCCCAACGCCGCATCTCAAGCGGATCCCCAGTCCCGGCCCGCGCCCTCCGCGTCCCCCAACCCGGATCCCTCCGCTCGCTCACCCGGGGCGGCGACCAGAACACCCAGCAGGCCGAAGAGCAGCAGCGCCAGCGCAGCCCCGCGGGCCATGGTGCGCCCAGAGCGCGCAGGGACGGTCCCGGAGTGCAGGGCGTGGGCGAAGGCGGCAGGACAGATACTCCCCCACGGGCCGGGTGGGGCGAAGCCCGGGGACTCGAAGGGGGCGGGTGAGGGGAGCGGCCCTGCAAGCTCAGCGCCGGCTGCGCCCGCCCCGCCCCGGCCTCCACGCGCGCACAGAAGGGGCGGGAACGCCGGGCCCGGGGAGGAGACAGAGGGGGTAGGCGGGCGGGGGTGGCCCAGGCAGCGCCGAGGGGAGTACGGTACACGCCCCGCCCCTTCTCAGGAAACTGCCCACGCCCCCTCACCCACCCACAGGGCCGTAGCCAGGGCGGCGCCGACCCGAAGCAAAGTGAACTACAACGTTCTCGGGAAAGTGCGGGTCCCTCCCGGTTTACAGCCCTCTGAATGCACGCCCGAGGGCGGCCCTTAACTGTAGTGGCACAAAACTGCCGCCCTTCTTGGAAACATAGAGCCCCCTCTCCCCACTCGCCCCTGCAGCCACTTCTCCGCCCCTCACCCCCTGGTCTCCAGTGGGAGCAAAAAAACAAACTTTCCCAGCAGCTCCCCTGCTCGGGAAAGTGCGGGTCCCTCCCTGTCTACAGCCTCCTAAATGCACGCCTGCAACTGTAGCGACACGAAACTGCCGCCCTTCTTGGAAACGTGTAGCCCCCCTCCCCACTCGCCCCTGCAGCCCCTTCTCCGCCCCTAGCAGGGACCCTCCCCTGCTCTGCAGTGGGAGCAGAGGAAACTCCCGGCTCCCCTGCTGGGAAAAGTATGGGGGCCCCTCCCCGCTGCTCACCTCAGGGAGTTCCCCAAGGGGAGCAAAGTGCAATCCTCTCCCTGCTCAGGAAGCCTAGGCCCCCGCTCCACAGGCAACCCCCGTCCCAAGTCCTTTCTAGAGCGTCCGAGCGCGGGGTGCGCAGCCGGGAGGGTGGCGGACGAACCCTTTGCGCCGGACCAAGGACAACCCTTGGAGTAGCCTCTGCGCTGGGGCAGTTTCTCCCCAGAATCCCCAGGACAAGGTTGGGAGTGGGGACTCCTGGTCACGGGAGTTAGTGAGGGGCAATAGGGAACGAGGTGCCTTCTATCTGGGGCACCTGGGCCCTAGTCCTGGTCATGGGCGACTCGCCTTCCAGTGGGCTTTGAGTTTAGACACCCTCCCGCGCCACTGGCCACAGCTGCAGTGCAGTTGTCGCCCTTCCCACACTTAACAATGTTATCTGTTAACACCTAAGCCTAAAATTGTATCCATTTTCCCGCAGGGTAGTGGAACAACTTTGCAGCCTGACAAATAACCCTGAATATTCTTGCATTCCACACTTCAAACTGTCCACGAAAAGAGTCAAACTAGGCCGGGCGCGGTGGCTCACGCCTGGAATCCCAGCGCTTTGGGAGACCGAGGCGGGTGGATCACCTGAGGTCAGGAATTGGAGACCAGCCTGACCAACAAGGTGAAACCCTGTCTCTTCTAAAATACAAAATTAGACGCGTGTGGTGGTGTGCACCTGTAGTCCCAGCTACTCAGGAGGCCGAGGCAAGAGAATCGCTTGAACCGGGGAGATGGAGGTTGCAGTGAGCCAAGATCAGGCCACTGCACTCCAGCCTGGGTGACAGAGCGAGACTCCGTCTCAAAAAAAAAGAAAGAAAAAAGAAAAAAAGAGAAAGGAGTCCAACTCTAACATATTTGAAGAGATTTATTCTGAGCCAAATATGAGTGACCATGGCCCATGACACAGCCCTCAGGAGGTCCCGAGAACGTGTCCTCAAGGTGGTCGGGGTGCAGCTTGGTGTTATACGTTTTAGGGAGGCATGAGACATCAATGAAATTTAAGAGACACATTGGTTTTGTCCAGAAAGGCGGGACAACCCAAAGCAGGAGGCTTCCAGCTTATAGGTAGATTTTAGAATTTTCTGATTGGCAATTGCTTGGGTTTCTTTAAAGTCCTGGGATCAATAGAAAAGAATGTCTGGGTTAAGATAAAGAATTGTGAAGACTCAAGTTCTTATTTGAACAGGAACCCTTCCGGTGCTAGGGTCAGAGAGAAGAGGTTGTAAAATGTTTCTTCTCAAACTTAAAGGCTGTGTGGATGTTAACGCCGGAGAGGCACCGGGAGGCATGTTCAACCCCTGCTTCCCGTCACGGCTTGAAACACTCTCTCAGGTTAAATTTTTAAAGAGCTCTGGCTGAGGAAGAAGTCCATTCAGATGTTTTGAAGGTGGGGGGCGGTGGGGGCTTAGAATTTTATTTTATTTTATTAATTTATTTAGTTTTTGAGACGGAGTCTTACTCTCTCGGCCAGGCTAGAGTGCTGTGGCACCATCTCAACTAACTGCAACCTCCACCTCCCAGGTTCAAACGATTCTCCTGCCTCAGCCTCCTGAGTAGCTGGGATTACAGGCACCTGCTACCACGCCTGGCTAATTTTTATATTTTTAGTAGAGATGGGGTTTCGCCATGTTGGCCAGGCTAGTCTGGAACTCCTGACCTCAAGTGATCCACCCACTCCAGCCTCTTAAAGAATTTTATTTTTGGTTTACAAAGCCCTGCCTCATCTATTGGCCCATTCCTGGGCTGGCATACTTGCTGCCCAGCCGACTGAGTCAGGGGCTCTGAGATAACACCTGTCTTTTTATTATTGTTATTATTATACTTTAAGTTCTGGGGTACAGGCTGGGCGCGGTGGCTCACGCCTGTAATCCCAGCACTTTGGAAGGCCGAGGCAGGTGGATCACGAGGTCAGGAGATTGAGACCATCCTGGCTAACATGGTGAAACCCCATCTCTACTAAAAATACAAAAAAAAATTAGCCGGGCGTGGTGGCGGGCGCCTGTAGTCCCAGCTACTCAGGAGACTGAGGCAGAAGAATGGCGTGAACCCGGGAGGCAGAGCTTGCAGTGAGCCGAGATCGTGGCACTGCACTCCAGCCTGGGCGACTGAGCAAGACTCCGTCTCAAAAAAAAAAAAAAAAAGTTCTGGGGTACATGTGCAGAACGTGCAGTTTTGTTACATAGGTATACACACGCCATAGTGGTTTGCTGCACCCATCAACCCATCATCTACATTAGGTATTTCTCCTAATGCTCTCTCTCCCATTGCACCCCACCCCCCAACAGGCCCTGGTGTGTGATGTTCCCCTCCCTGTGTCCATGTGTTCTCATTGTTCAACTCCCACTTATAAGTGAGAACATGCGGTGTTTGGTTTTCTGTTCCTGTGATAGTTTGCTGAGAATGATGGTTTCCAGCTTCATCCGTGTCCCTGCAAAGGACATGAACTCATCCTTTTTTATGGCTGCGTATATTCCATGGTGTATATGTGCCACATTTTCTTTATCCAGTCTATTATTGATGGACATTTGGGTTGGTTCCAAGTCTTTGCTATTGTGACTAGTGCTGCAAAAACATACGTGTGCATGTGTCTTTATAGTAGAATGATTTATAATCGTTTGGGTATATACCTAGTAATGGGATTGCTGGGTCAAATGGTCTTGAGCTATCCCCTGCCTGCGGCCATACCCACCCCTCCCTAGGTCACCTGCACCCCTAGGTCAGAAACCTGCAAGGCTAGAGGGGCTGGGCCTGTGCCCCAGAGACCTGCTCAGCAATGTGAGCTCGGTGGTGTGAGTGATGCACATCTTAAAAAGTAACAGTGTGAGCTTGCACACCGGAAGGTTTTTTCTTTTCTTTTTCGTTTTCTTTTCGGCCAGCAAAACCCCAGCAACATAATTGCACTTTAGAAGTATGAGGAAAATGTAATCGTTCTTCATGGGAACACCACCTTTAAAGTGTTACCTCTTGGAGTGAACCCGGATGAACTACCCAACCAGAGCTCCTTCTCTGGTATTTTCTCCTGCACCTCTCCCCCGACCTCCCCACGTGGCATTGACTCTCTATCAATTAGCACTTTCTTTTTCCCTGGCCACAGTCCTGGGCTGGGGTCAAGGGAGGGTGTGGATCCTAGGTCAGGGCAAGTAGGAGGACCCTGGGGGCTCATTTTGAGGAGCAAGAGGATGCTGGAGCTGCCCGGGCATTTTGGCATCCTGAGGCAAGTCTGACTTGGGATGAAGCAGAGATAAAAAGAACGCAGGGTCTTCCTGCTGTCTCACACTCCAAACACCCCTCTCCCTGTGAGCTTCCTGCTTCACCCCCATTACCGCCAAAAGAAAGGCCCTCCCCTGGACCATCTCCAGCCTCTGACATTTGGACGGCACTGCAGGTGAAGCTTCCCTCCTCTGACTGTCCATTATGTTCCAGTAGAGTCTAGACTCTGGCTGCCTTTCAGGGAGGGCGCAGGTCATTCTCGCCAGCCATAATAAAGATGCAACATCAGCTTCTGAAAGCCAGGCTTTGAGGCTTTTTATCTATGTTCTCACAGGTAAGCATTTGGAAGACTTCTGTTTCTAATTCATTTAGTTAGATGCCTTTTGCCTTTTTTCTTTATTTTTTTTTAACGCTGCCATTCTTTGGCTCCAAATATGAATTTCCATAATATTCTGCAGACCCTCTGGAACTGGCACCAAGAGGCCGTAACCTCCAGAATGAAAATTAAATTAATTGAAAAAGCCTTCTGAATTGTATCCAGGTGCCACGGGAAGCATCTTTTGAAGGCCACAAACTAGGCTGAAGAAGGGATGGGGAACTCACTGCTGGGGCAGCCTCCATGTTTCCCGTTTATTTCACCAGTGGAACCTCAAGAAATAACCATGTTCTGACCATTTCCGAGGGACCCACGTGGCCACGTTGCACATTTCAACCTAACCCTTGGTAGCTCCCAGCCTCCTGCGGAAACCTTCCATGTGTCTTTAATTTTTAAGAATTAGTTCTTCTTCTATTTATTTATTTATTGAGACAGAGTGTCACTCTGTTGTCCAGGCTGGAGTGCAGTGGCACGATCTCAGCTCACCACCTCCCAGGTTCAAGCGATCCTTGTGCCTCAGTCTCCTGAGTAGCTACGGCTATAGGCACCCATCACCACGCCTGGCTAATTTTTGTATTTTTAGTAGAGATGGAGTTTCACCACGTTGGCCAGGCTGGTCTCGAACTCCTGACCTCAACTGATCTGCCGGCCTCGGCCTCCCGAAGTGCTGGTATTACAGGTATGAGCCACCACCCACAGCCAAGGATTAGTTCTTCTGACTTTGGACTTTTCATACCCTGCTCTCCAAACCAGTTTTATATATTTTATACTGCACACACACGCAGGTTATAATTATATTCCATCTGCATGCACACACATACACATGCATGCACACACACACACATGCATACACACACACATACATGCACGTACACACACACACACATGCACACACTATTGCACACTGGCATTTTCTCCCACTTTCTATGGGGGGATCTGTGGTTTCTTGCCCACGGGGCTTTGTTTACTGGCCTGGGAAATGGGTCTAAATACACAGCTGCAGAATTCAAAGGAGGACTGAAAATCAAACTACACAGCACAGAACATGGAACTCCATGGAACAGGAAGGAAAGCATCGGGGCAGGGGAGCTGTCAGAAAGAACCACTTCCAATGATAAGTGCATCTTTGAAGAAAATACATCTAGACTGGGCATGGTGGCTCACGCCTGTAATCCCAGCACTTTGGGAGGCTGAGGCAGGCAGATCACCTGAGGTCAGAAGTTCGAGACCAGCCTGGCCAACATGGTGAAACCCCGTCTTTATTAAAAATACAAAAATTAACCTGGTGTGGTGGTGCACGCCTGTAATCTCAGCTACTTGGGAGGTTGAGTCAGGAGACTCGCTTGAACCCAGGAGGCGGAGGTTGCAGTGAGCCGAGATCACGCCATTGCATTCCAGCCTGGGTGACAGAAAAAGACTCTGTCTCAAAAAAAAAAAAAAGAAAAGAAAAAAAGAAAAAGAAAAAGGAAATATGTCAGTATGTCTAGACTGGGCACGGTGGTTCACACCTGTAATCACAGCACTTTGGGAAGCCAAGGTGGGTGGATCACCTGAGGTCAGAAGTTCAAGACCAGCCTGGCCAACATGGTGAAACACGGTCTCTACTAAAATTACAAAAAAAATTGGCCCGACATGGTGGCAAGTGCCTGTAATCTCAGCTAGGCACAAGAATCCCTTGAACTTGGGAGGCGGAGGTTGCAGTGAGCCGAGATCGTGCGTCTTCACTCTGGCCTGGGTGACAGAGCGAGACTCTGTCTCAAAAGATAAATAAATAAATAAAATAAAAATAAAATATGTCTAGAGAGAAATTTTGGCATTCTTTCTGAGTGGCAAGATGCTTGGTGCTGTGCTGGTGGTGATATGGTTTGGCTCTGTGTCCCCGCCCAAATCTCATGTCAAACTGAAATCCCCAGTGTTGGAGGTGGGGGCCTGGTGGAAGGTGACTGGATCATGGGGTCAGATCCTTCATGAATGGTTTTGCACCATCCCCCTCAATTAAACCTCTTTCCTTCATAAATTAGGTAGTTCTTCATAGCAGTGCGAGAATGGGCTAATACAGGCTCCTACTGATTCTACGTTATGGTGAGTTGTAGAATTATTTCATTATACATTACAATATAATAATAATAATAATAATAATAATAATGGAAATAAAGTGCACAATGTAATGTGCTTGAATCATCCTAAAACCATCCCTCCCACCCTTGGTTCTGTGGAAAAACTGTCTTCCATGAAACCAGTCCCTGGTGCCAAAAAGGTTGGGGACTGCTGCTCTCACCATCAAGGAGGTGGACACAGATCCCCACTTCTTCCAAAGTGTATGACATAAAAAATTAGGAAAAGAATAATTTCACCATGGAGGAGTCTCACAGACACAATTCAGATAGGATGAGTGGATGGATGGATAGGTGGATGGATGGATAGATGGATAGATGGGTAGATGTGTGGGTGGATGAATTGAGGGCGGGTGGGTGGATGGGGTGGATTGTGGGTGGATGAATGGATGGATGGATGAATGAGTTGATAGATGGAGGGTTGGATGAATGGGTGGGTGGATGTATGTATGTATGGATGGATGGATAAATACATGGGTGGATGGGTGCATGGATAGACAGACAGATGAATAGATGGATGGGTGGCTGCTGGATGTTCTTATCTCCCTGTTCTCCCAAATTGTGACCAGCAGATGCTCTCCTGATGTCTAGATTATTCTTTTTCTTTTTTTCGAGATGGAGTCTCACTCTGTCGCCCAGGCTGGAGTGCAGTGGTGCGATCTCAGCTCACTGCAACCTCCGTCCCCCGGGTTTATGCCATTCTCCCACCTCAGCCTCCCAGGTAGCTGGGACTACAGGCGCCCGCCACCACACCTGGCTAATTTTTTTGTATTTTTAATAGAGACGGGTTTTCACCGTGTGTTAGCCAAGATGGTCTCGATCTCCTGACCTCATGATCCACCTGCCTCGGCCTCCCAAAGTGCTGGGGTTACAGGTGTGAGCAACCGTGCCCGGCTTTTTTTTTTTTTTTTTTTTTTTTTTTTGAGACAGAGTTTTGCTCTTGTTGCCCAGGCTGGAGTGCAATGGCGTGATCTTGGCTCACCACAACCTCCACCTCCCGGGTTCAGGTGATTGTCCCGCCTCAGCCTCCTGAGTAGCTGGGATTATAGGCAGGCACTACCATGCCCAGCTAATTTTGTATTTTTAGTAGAGACAGGGTTTCTCCATGTTGGTCAGGCTGGTCTCGAACCCCCGACCTCAGGTGATCCACCCTCCTCGGCCTCCCAGAGTGCTGGGATTACAGACGGGAGCCACCGCACCTGGCCTGTAGATTATTCTTAGAGAGTCAGATTCAAAACGGATACATTTGCAGTATGATATATATGCACATGTATATTCCTGTACCATTACCCTGAGTCAGGTCAACTCTGCCACCCATTCAAGCTTAAGAATGTGACCTTCGGGAATGAGTAGCATCAGATCTTTCGTCCAGCTGCATTTGCCAGGGTGCAGCCCACTAGCGATTTTCTTTCATGTACCCCTAACTGCTTGGCTCCTGCACCAACAACTCAGCTTTTTTCTCCCCAGGTTCCTACAGTGCTCTATTCTTGGTGATTTCTCAACATGCCTGGTTATTCAACAAAGCTTTTTCATGTTTTTAAAAATATTGTGTTTATTTTCGCTTATTTTTATTTTTTGCAGAGATGAGGTCTCTCTGTGTTGCCCAGGCTGGTCTCAAACTCCTGTACTCAAGAGATCCTACCATCTCAGCTTCCCGAGCCTCTGGGACCACAGGAATGTGCCACCATGTCCGGCTAATTTTATAATTTTAGAGATGGGGTCTATGTTACCCAGGCTGGTCTCAAACTCCTGGGCTCAAGTGATCCTCTGACCTCAGCCTCTTGAGTAGCTGGGACCACAGGACTGCACCACCATGCCCAGGTTATTTTATTTTAGAGACAGGGTCTCACTATATTGCCCAGGCTGGTCTCAAACTCCTGACCTCAAGCGATCCCCCAGTCTCAGCCCTCCCCAAGTCCTAGGATTACAGGGAGGAGCCACCATGCCCAGCCTCAACAAAGCTTTTTGAGTATCTGCTCTGTGGGATACAGCAGTAAAATCAAACAGCCGTGGCTCTGCTTCTGAGAGCAGCAAGTGTTTATTTAAATAGGCCTTAATTTATGTGTGTTTATTTAGATTTATTCGTGTTTATCTGAGCCTCCCCATAAGCTGTGGAGCAGTCACATCTTTGTCTGTACCTCAGCACCAGGCAGAGAGCCCAACAAAGAGAGGCAGCCTTTGAGAAGCTTAATTACTCAATTGAATGCATACACAACAAAAATTAGCTCACCCGAAAGGCTAGGCATTTAGATAATGAGGCTTCCTATCTTTCCATACAGACACACGTGCACACACACATAGTATGCATGCATATATGTGCTATTAATGAGACTTCCAATCTTTCCATTGACCCACATGCACACACACATTTAGTATGCATGCTTATATGTGCCATGAGCAGAGTTGTATCTACTCCCCAAATTCGTGTGTTGAAGTTCTGTTCCCCATGTGTCTGTATTTGCAGCAAGGAAATAATTAAGGTTAAATGAAATCGTAAAGTTAGGACCCTATGCAGGAAAGTTAGTGCCTTTGTAAGAAGAAATACCAGAGGGCATGCTTGCTCTGTCTCTCCTCCATGTGAGAACACAGCAAACCAAGAAGAGAGCCCTCACCAGGAATTGAACCAACCAGCCCCTTGATCTTGGACTTCCCAGTCTCCAGAGCTGTGAGAAAATAAATTCCTTTTGTTTAAGTACCCAGTCTATGCTATTTTATTATGGCAGCCTGAGAAGACTAAAAAGTATTTACATACGCGCTCCTGTCCACCATCCTTCCATCCATTCCTCATGCACGTGTGAGACTACAGTTGCCTATCCTATATCCTTTCTTTCTTCCCTTATATTAAGAGACCTTGAATTTACTGATTTTGGCAATGTGACAGCTGAAAGACGATATCCTCATTCTCCTTTGCAGTTAGGTGTAACCAAAAATCTATGTTCTGGTTAATAAAATCAATGTAAACCAAAGTTATTGGGTGAAACTTCTGAGGAGTCCCTTAAGAGGGGGACTGGTGGCCAACAAGCCCACTTTTCGCTTTCTCTGCATCATGCTGGGCCTGCCTGGAATAATGACGTGATGTCTGGAGTTCCAGCAGCTAGCTTAGAGCAGGAAGTCCTCCAGAGGGTAGAGGTCCTATTCCAAGAATGGCAGAATATATGGAGCAAAGGTGCCAGGGTGGCTGGTGACACTGCAAGACAGCTGTGCCAGGCCCAGACCAACTCTCCTGACCTCATTACAGGACAGAAGAGTACGTTTTTAATCTTACCATTTAAAAAGTCAGGTTTGTTTCAGTGTTATTTAAATCACTTTTTATTTCTGGTCTCCACTGCCAGGGGCTGAGCCCAATTTATAGCAGAGACCTCCTGTGAGGTACTTGTGGGCAGCCAAGGCAGTTAAGAGGTGTCTGAGCCACACGCAATGTCGGCTGTACAGATGCTCAAATGAAGTTTCCTGAGTCAGTGGGAGGATGGAAGTACACATGGGTGGATGGGTGGGGGTTGTGGATGTGTGGATAAATGGACAGACATCTGGATGCATGGATTGACTGAGAGATAAATGGGTAGATGAATAAATAAATGGGTGGATGAATGAATGCATGGACAAATGGGTGGGTGAGTGGATGGATGGGTGGGTGGATGGATGAATGGGTGAATAGATGGAGGGTTGGATGAATGGGTAGGTGGATATGTGGGTGGATGAATGAATGGATGGATAAACACATGGGTGCGTGGGTGAATGGATGCATGAACGGGTGGGTATATAAATGGCTGGCTGGCTGGATGGATGATAGATAAGGTTTCAGTAAATGGGTGGCTGAATGTATGGATGGATGAATAAATGGATGGATGGATGAATGGGTAGATGGGTGGGTGGGTAGATGGATGGATGGACAGATGGATGGGTAGATGGGTGGGTGAATGGATGAGTGGATGGATCGACGAGTGGGTGTATGCAGGGATGGATGGATGGATAGATGAATAGTTTGGTGAATGGGTGGGTGGGTGGATGTGTACATGAATGGTTGTATCCATGAATGGATGGATAGATGAATAGTTTGGTGAATGGGTGGGTGGGTGGATGTGTAGATGAACGGTTGTATCCATGAATGGATGGATGGGTGGGTGTGTGGATGGATATGTGGATAGATGGATGGATAACTGGATGGATGGATAAATAGGTGCATGGATAGATGGATGGACGGGTGGCTAGAAAAATAGATGGATGAATAGATGGAAGGGTGAGTGGATGGATGGATTGACAGACTTACAAACAAGTAAATTTCTACCTGATATTTTTGTATTGTTGTATAACTTTCTAGGTGTTCATTCATTGAGGAACAACTGTGAAACAGGGGATCTGGATTCATTAGCCCACCTCTGCTGATGAGGAAACATCCTGGGGCCGTTGAGCTTGTCAGCGGTGGGCTGGGATTAAAATCAAGAGCCCTTTGCTTCTGAGTCCAGGCCGTATGCAGCACATTGCCTTGTGACTGCCTCAAAACCACCGGAATTTTCCTCAGAGCGTTCACAGCAGGCAAAGATAAAGAGTGTCTTGTAGCCCAGAGTTCATACATTGGAAATTTTACGGTGTGTGCCCATCAGTGCTGCAAATTATTTTCAAAACAATAATTTAATTTGGCAAAAACTTGATGTGTGATCCTATGTCTGTGTGTCTTTTTAATTTTCTTACCTGTAGCATTGGTTGAGTCTTCAGAAGAAATTAAAAGGCATTACGGAAGTTGCATAATATATGAACAACTACTTTGTTGATGAAGCTTATGCTTGCATTTAGTTTGGCTCAGAGTCAAGAAAGAATCAACTTCCCAGAATACTGTATTTGAAGCAGGAATCCTGTTTACCCCTAAGTCTGCTTAGATAGGTAAACAACCTTGTGGGTTAGAACCAGTGGCCCGTTAGGACTGTATCCAAGACCTAAGGTTGAGTCTTGATCATGACAAGTGCTGACTATGATGGTCACAGTGCTGAATCTGAGAAAGCCATCCTAGGGTGTTCCAAAACATAGAATGTGACAGGAGAGCTGTTAATTTGTGTTTATCTGAGTTTTCCAACAAGCTAGGAGCAGGCTCAACTTTGTTTTTAACACGGTACCTGGCAGACAGCCCAGTGTACAGACTGGGTACTTTAGATGCTTAACTGCTCAACTGAATGCAGGCAAGGCAAAAGTGAGCTGACCACAAAACACTAGGCAATAAAGCTCCCTATCTCTTTTGCCTGTGCACACACACACAAACACACACACATAAATGCACACACACATTATATATGTGTGAGAATGCTACATGGTAAAAGTTAGCTTACATATGAATTCTAAAATGCCTGATTGTTTCAGTTATTATGTATAACTAGCTATCCAAAATTTACTGGTTTAAAAAAGCCACTGTGGCTGGGCACAGTGGCTCACGCCTGTAATCACAGCACTTTGGGAGGCTGAGGCAGGCATATCACGAGGTCAGGAGTTCGAGACCAGCCTGGCCAACATAGTGAAACCCATCTCTACTAAAAATACAAAAATTAGCCGGACATGGTGGTGTGTTGACTGTAGTCCCAGCTACTCGGGAGGCTGAGGCAGGAGAATCGCTTGAACCTGGGAGGCGGAGGATGTGGTGAGCCGAGATTCCACCGCTGTACTCCAGCCTGGGCAACAGAGCGAGACTCCATCACAAAAAAAAAAATAAATAAAAATAATGTGCAGTCACAGCACATTTACAACCTGGTTTCTGAAGTCATGTGGCAACCCCTCTGCACAAAAGCAGCCACAAATATCCACCCAATTTCAAGGAAAAGGGAATCAGATTCCCACTCTTGATGGGAAGCACCAAGGTTCTGGAAGAGAGTGTGGGACAGAAATATTGCTGTGGCCATTTATGAAAAATATAATCTCTTCCAACAACAATATGTGCATCATTGTAGCTACAGAGCTGACGCAAGCACATTTAAGCACTGTAATGTAATAACATGAAAATTATGTTGATTTATCCAATAAACATTGACTTAGCAAATAGAGTGTTACAGATTGTCTCCTACATGCAAAGCATGCCAAGGTGAGTAAGTCCTTTTTCTTTCATCAAATAGCCCAATTGTTCCATTGAGGAAGAGCAAAAAACCAAACAAAACACACCACGACCACCACCAAAAATAACAATGTATCTCACACAACGTGATATAGTCTACAGATGATGGACACAGAGTGCTGCGCAGAGTGCTGTGCGAGGAAAAAGGAGAAAAATGGAGGCCATGCTGGTTGAGAAATGTTTCACGAAGGAGACTGCATTTAAGCTGGGTTGTGCGGAACGTGTAGGAGTCTTCCGGATAGAAAATGCTCCATTTCAGAGAGCATACACACATGAGCAAAAACACAGACACTGAGGGAAAAAATTATGACCTTAATGAGTAGGAAGAGAATTGGGAGGTGAGGGTGGGTAGGCAGTATGGGATCAGGTGGGGATGATCTCTTGTGGCCAGAAGTTTGAGACCAAACTGGGCAACACAATGACACCCCATCTCTATAAAAAAAAAAAATAGCAGGACATAGTGGTGCACACCTAGAGTCTCAGCTACTTGGGAGGCTGAGGTGGGATGATCACTTGAGCCCAGGAGTTCAAAGTTACAGTGAGCTATGATTGTGCCTCTGCACTCCAGCCGGGGTGACAGAGTGAGATCTTGTCTCTGAAAACAAATAAATAAGCATTTTTTAAAAATTTCTGCACTTGGGCTTTTAGAGGCTGTTCACGCCTTAGCTCCCTGGCTTGGAAACCTTCCCGGCTGCCATATGCATAAGCATGAGCTGCCTCAGCGAAGGCTGAGAGACCAGTTGGAGCTAAACCAAGCTGCCCCAGCTGAGTCATCCAAACCAGCCTGCTCCTGGCCACCCGGCAGCTGAGCACTGACTCATGAGTGAATCCAGCTGACCCCAGAGCTGCCTCACTGAGCCAAACCTGAACAGCTGAGCCACGGAATCGGGAACGAACTAAATGGGTATTGTTTTAAAGCACCACGTTTTGGGGTGGTTTGTTTTGCTGCAAAAGCTAATGGCTGCGTACCTAATGAGCTTCCCATCGTCCCCACTTCCCCATGCCAACACACACATTATGGAGAATTTGCCAGTTTTCAACGCTCTTCTAGGCACCCTGAGCGACACAAGATAAAGCATCCTCAAGGGCTTTGCAATCCTTTTTGGGGCTGGAGAAAGGGGAGGTCCACACACATGTTCAGTTTATGATCAGAAACTGTTTATCTGGCTTTGATTTCCATGGTTAATCATCTTCTGGCGATTAACACCAAACTGGCTAGTCTGTGGTTTGCAGATTCTTCCAACATTTAAGGAATATACTTTGTTCGGTCTTGGTTGGCCATATATGGGCAGACAAAAGTCCAACAGGATCACATTAATAGCTGCCTGAATTATAAGCCATGTATTTCTCATATTTTATTGCACTAGAACCTTAAGCAGGCAGTAAGAACCACCATTTATAATACACTTTATGCCATCTTTCTCTCTTCATCATCTTATGAGGAAATCACTGACATCCCTAATATTCTATTGCACTAGAACCTTAAGCAGGCAGTAAGAACCATCACATTTATAATACACTTTATACCATCTATCTCTCCTCATCATCTTATGAGGAGTCATTGACATCCCTAATATTAAAAAAAAAAAGAAAACAAGGAAATGAATCCAAGGCAGTTGACTCATATCTTGAAACTAAAAGAGCTCATCTTTGAACCTTTCTCTCTCTTCCAGGGTCAGATCAGGACACCTGCACATTCTGTTTGCAGGTTCTCGTCACCGGCAAATCAATGAACCGAATTTTAATTGATGTGTGTGCAGGTGTGCATGCATGTCTGTGTATGTGTGTGTGTTTATGCATCCATCACTTTAACCCCATCATGGGTTCTAGTTAATGCTTAACCCTGATTTCAAAGAAGCAGACAGATTTGTTACTCAATGTAATAAAACTACCTCTCCTTAACAGGGAATGATGTTAAGTCAACTTCAAAGATAAACGTGGGGCCGAGGGCTGTGGCTCAAGCCTATAATCCCAGCACTTTGGGAGGCCAAGACAGGTGGGTCATTTGAGGTCAGGAGTTCGAGACCAGCCTGGCCAATATGGTGAAACCCCATCTCTACTAAAAATACAAAAATTAGCTGGGCGTGCTGGCAGATGCCTGTAATCCCAGCTACTTGGGAAGCTGAGGCAGGAGAATCGCTTGAACCTGGGAGGCGGAGGTTGCAGTGAGCCGAGATCACGCCACTGCACTCCAGCCCAGCTGACAGAGACTCCATCTCAAAAATAAATAAATAAAAAATAAAGATGGGAAGGTTTTTGGTTCCAGACAGGATTATTTCATGACGCCCAAGCAAATTTAGATTTTGAAATATAACAAGACGTGGTAAAATGTACCACTTTTCCAAATTAGTTTTCTGCATAATGTTTACAAATTGTAATTTTATATTTTTTCTTTAAATTTCCTTTTGAGATAATTAAAGAGTCTAAGGAAGATGCAAGTACACAAGACCCCCACCTAGAGTTTCATTTGCCCTTAGCCCAGCTTCATTTTCTATTAGGATTGGGGTGCAATATCAGAGCCAGGTCACCAACACTGGTGCACTTCTGATAACAAGACTACAGACATTGATTGGTTGCCACAAGTTTAATAGCTTTAAGTCAACACATCTTCATTAACTCCAATATACACAAAGCATTACAGAGGAATATTTATCAGCCAATCCAGAACTATTTATGGAATGGTCAGCTCTGTGCTGGATTCTGGGAGAAATACCTAGCAATTGTTTCATAGGGTCATGTTGCAACGTCTTCCAACTTGAGGGCTGAAGGAGTGCTTGCAGGTCAATGCTGAAGGGTCTTGTTGCTCCATGCACACACAGTAATAAAAAGCTGTGCTAGGGCCGGGCACGGCGGCTCATTCCTGTAATCCCAGCACTTTGGGTGGCCAAGGTGGGTGGATCACCTGAGGTCATGAGTTCAAGACCAGACTGGTCAACATGGTGAAACCCCATCTCTACTAAAAATACAAAAATTTGCCAGACGTGATGGTGGGTGCCTGTAATCCCAGCTACTTGGGAGGTTGAGGCAGGAGAATCGCTTGAACCCAGGAGGCAGAGGTTGCAGTGAGCCGAGATTGCGCCATTGCACCCCAGCCTGGGCGACAGAGCAAGACTCCATCTCAAAAAAAAAAAAAAAAAAAAAAAAAAAAAAAAAGCTGTGTGATAGTTCCAGGAATTCATGAGAAGGAAGAAGAATTTAGATTCCCTTGGGTTACTTTCAGGAATTAGTTCTGGTTTGTTTACTGGGCCAAACAAACCAGGGTAGATGTAAAATGGCCCCATCAAAACCATCCTACGGAACAGTTTTCCACTGCTGGCGGGAATGTAAACTAGCACAACCACTATGAAAAAGTGTGGAGATTCCTTGAAGAACTAACAGTAGAACTACCATTTGGGGAAGCCGTCTCACTGCTGAGTATTTACCCAGTGGGGGAAAAAGTCATTATAGGCAAAAGGCACTTGCACACACATTTATAGCAGCACAATCCACAACCGCAAAGCTAGGGAAGCAAATCTAAGTGCCCATCAACCAATGCGTGCATAAACAAAATGTGGTATATATACACCATGGAATACTACTCAGACATAAAAAGGAATGAAATAATGCCTTTTGCAGCAACTTGGATGAAGCTACAGGCCATTATCCTTTCTTTTTTTTTTTTTTTTTTTTTTTTTGAGATGGAGTTTTGCTCTTGTTGCCCAGGCTAGAGTGCAATGGTGCAGTCTTGGCTCACTGCAACCTCTGCCTCCCAGGCTCAAGCGATTCTCCTGCCTCAGCCTCCCGAGTAGCTGGGATTACAGGCATGCACCACGACGCCCAGCTAATTTTTTTGTATTTCTAGTAGAGATGGGGTTTCTCCATGTTGGTCAGGCTGGTCTCACACTCCCGACCTCAGGTGATCCGCCCGCCTCAGCCTCCCAAAGTGCAAGGATTACAGGTGTGAGCCACCGCACTTGGCCCTGGAGGCCATTATTCTAAGTGAAGTAACTCAGGAATGGAAAACCAAATATCGTATGTTCTCATCTGTAAGTAGGAGTTAAGCTATGAGAATGCAAATGCACGATAATATTATGGAACTTGGGGACTCGGGGTAAGGGTGGAAGGTGGGTGAAGATAAAAGGCTACATATTCGGGCTTGGCGCGGTGGCTCACGCCTGTATTCCCAGCACTTTGGGAGGCCGAAACAGGCAGATCACCTGAGGTCAGGAGTTTCTGAGACCATCCTGGCCAACATGGTGAAACCTCATCTCTACTAAAAATACAAAAATTAGCTGGGTGTGGTGGCATGTGCCTATAGTCCCAGCTACTTGGGAGGCTGAACCAGGAGAATTGCTAGAACCTGGGAGGTGGAGGTTGCAGTAAGCCGAGATCACGTCACAGCACTGCAGCCTGGGTGACAGAGCGAGATTCCATTTCAAAAACAGACAAACAAACAACAACAACAACAACCACATATTGGATACAGTGTACATTGTTCAGGTGACAGGTGCACTAAAATCTCAAAAATCACCACTAAAGAATTTATCCGTGGAACCAAAAACCACTTCTACCCCCAAAACAATTGAAATTAAAAAAAAAAAAATCTGTCACACAACAGGGGATGTGTGAGCAAAGGCAGGAAGGAACAGAGCCCTGAGAAGGAGAAGGGATCACCGAGATGACAGGGAGGGCAGGATCGTATCAGTCAGTGTCCAAGCAGGCAATGGTGGGAAGGGCCATTCAGGGATGGGGAGGCCATGGTCAGGAGCTTCTGTGCTGGGCCTTGCGGCCACAGAGAGCTGAACTGGGGTGACATGCGGAGCCTGGGCTCATAACCAGGTGGTGCAGCCGTTGGGAGGGGTGTGCTGCTGCCTGAGGGACTCAGAGGAGACTAGAGGGTATGAAAGAGATTCCTGGGAGTGGCATAACAAATGACCACAAACAGTGGTATAGAACAACAGGAACTGATCGGGCGTGGTGGCTCACGCCTGTTATCCCAGCCCTTTGGGAGACCGAGGTGGGCGGATCACCTGAGGTCAGGAGTTTGAGAGCAGCCTGGCCAACACGACAAAACCCGTCTCTACTGAAAATACAAAAATTAGCCGGGTGTGGTAGTGCGCACCTGTAATCCCAGCTACTTGGGAGGCTGAGGCAGGAGGATCACTTGAACCCAGGAGGCAGAGGTTGCCGTGAGCCGAGATTGCATCACTGTACTGCAGCCTGAATGATAGAGCAAGACTCTGTCTCAAACACAAAACAAAACAACAGGAATTTATTCTCTCCCAGTTCTGGAGAGCAGCAGTCTGAGATCAAGGGGTGGGCAGGGCTGTGCTTCCTCTGGAGGCTCTAGGGGAGGATCCCCCCTGCCCCTCCCAGCTCCTGGGGGCTGCAGGCATCCCTGGGCTTGTGGCCGCATCACTCCAGTCTCTGCCTCCGTCTCCACCTGGCCTTCCCCTCTGTGTCTGTCTTCATCTCCTCTTGTTATAAATACAGCAGTCACTAAATCAGGGCCCACCCTAGTGACCTCAACTGCAAAGACTGTTGTGAGCTGAATTCTGTCCTCTAAATTTATCAGTTGACGTCCTAACTCCCAGGACTGCAGGGTGTCACTGTGTTTGGAGATATGGTCTTTAAAAAGGTGATTAATATAAAATGAGGTCATTACGGTGGGTCCTAATCTGATATGATTAGTGGCCTTATAAGAAGAAGATATTGGGACACAGACATGAGCTCCCTCCAGGAAAATCCCTCCTGCCCCTCCTAGCTCCTGGGGGCTCTAGGCGTCCCTGGGCGTGTGGCCAGATCACTCCAGTCTCTGCCTCCATCTCCACGTGGACTTCTCCTCTGCATCTGTGTCTCCTCTTCTGTCTCTTACAAAGATACCTGTCATTGAGTGGAGGGTCCACCCTATGCCATGATGATCTCATCTTGATTTGTTGCTGCAGTTGTTATTGTTTTGAGATGTAGTCTCGCTCTGTCACCGAGGCTGGAGTGCAGCGATGTAATCTCAGCTCAAAGCAACCTCTGTCTCCCGGGTTCAAGCGATTCTCCTTCCTCAGCCTCCCAAGCAGCTGGGACTAGAGGCGCCTGCCACCACACCCAGCTAATTTTTGTATTTTTAGTAGAGACAGGGTTTCGCCATGTTGGCTAGGCTGGTCTCGAACTCCTGACCTCAGGTGTTCTGCCCTCCTCAGCCTCCCAAAGTGCTGGGATTACAGGTGTGAGCCACCGGGCCCGGCCTTCATCTTGAGATTCTTAACTCAATTACATCTGCAAAGACCCCGCTTCCAAATAAGTTCCCATTCGCAGATTCTGGGGATGAGGACGTGGACATATCTTTTAGGAGGACCACTGTACAGTCCACTACAGTTGTATCCAGTTGCTTCCAGAGGCTCTAGCGGAGGCTCCTTTTTGCCTCTCCCAGCCCCTTGTGGCTCCAGGAGTCCCTGGCCTTGTGGCCATCTTATCTCAGTCTCTGCCTGCATCTCCACGTGACCTTCTCCTCTGTGTCTCTGTCTGTGTCTCTTCTTCCGTCTCTTAGAAGGATGCCTGTCATTGGATTTAGGGCTCACTCTCATTCATCTTAACAAATGCATCTGCAAAGGCCCTATTTCCACATAAGGTCTCATTCTGAAGTCCCTGGGAGACAGGACTTTGGAAGGGCCACTGTTCACCCCAGTACAGGTTTTACTGTCAAATTTCAGTCCCCTAGATCGGCCAACACTATTTAGAAACTCACAGGGCTGAGTCCTTCTGATACAGTCTCTAAAAATCAACTCCCAGGGCAGAAAGTGGACATAGAAGGGTGAAAAGAGGACTATAGTCCAGGGATATAGATTAAGCACAAAAATTACATGTCAAGGGCTGTCCCCCCTTGAAAGTCACAGGACAGGGCCGGGAACAGTGGCTTACACCTGTAATCCCAGCACTTTGGGAGGCCGAGGCGGGTGGATCACAAGATCAGGAGTTCGAGACCAGCCTGGCCAATATGGTGAAACCCTGTCTCTACTAAAAATACAAAAATTAGCCAGGCATGGTGGCATGAGCCTGTAATCCCAGCTACTCAGGAGGCTGAGGCATGAGAACCGCTTGAACCTGGGAGGTGGAGGTTGCAGTAAGCCGAGATCATGCCACTACACTCCAGCCTGGGTGACAGAGCAAGACTCCATCTCAAAAAAAAAAAAAAAGAAAGTCATAGGACTAAGAATGAAAAGCCCATTCAACTGGGGTTCTATCTTCTAGTACTGTTGTGCCAGGAAAATTCAACTCTTGAAAATAGATAACTATAAAAGGCATTGACTTCTGGCTCTGATTCCTAGAATGTTGCCGTTCTGTTTTAAAAGTCAAATTAAAGCCATTTTGTCTGAAAGCCTCCTAACATGCTTTTTGGAATAAATGGAGTAATAAACATTATTCTGGCAGAGGACTGATTGTATTCCAAATTATCCTCAAGAAGAGCAAATAAAATATAGAGATGAATTTGGCGGACAATTTTCTTCACATGAGGTTTCAATGTTTGTATGGTTTTGAACCGGGAGTTTTCACATAAAAACATGGGGCTTAATTTCTTACTGTCAGCATTTTTTTGTTGGGAGAGATCACTTTTTTTCTCGTCTGCCTGCGGAGATGCTGTTGTACTGCATGTCACTGTTGGAAAATTCAGCTTCTTTTTTGTTTAATTTACAGAAGAGTGGTTGAAATATTCTTTATACTTAACATATAAATAATATTTTTAATGTACAGAAAAAACTTAAAGAAAATGTAGTCAGGGGAGGAAAAGTATGAGGAAAAAAAAGAGCATAAGAAGCAAAATATTGCAGCCAAAAGTCACAGAAAATGTTTTGCGATGGAAACCATTTCCTTTTTAGATGCCAAGGCAAGGACGGGCACGGTGGCTCACGCCTGTCATCCCAGCAATTTGGGAGGCCGAGGCGGGCAGATCACTTCAGGTCAGGAGTTCAAGACCAGCCTGGCCAACATGATGAAACCCTGTCTCTACTAAAAATACAAAAATTATCTGGGCATGGTGGTGCACGCCTGTAATTCCAGCTACTCAGGAGACTGAGGCAGAAGAATCACTTGAACCCAGAGGCGGAGGTTGCAGTGAGCTGAGATTGCGCCACTGTATTCCAGCCTGGGTGGCAAAGCGAGACTGTCTCAAAAAAAAAAAAAAAAAAAAAAAGAAAGGAATATTTTTAAAGAAAAATTTTAATGTAAAGAAAATATATGCAGGGGAAGGAAAATATGAGAAAAAAAGCATAAGCAGCAAAATATTGCAGCCAAAAGTCACAGAAAATGTTTTGCAATGGAAACCATTTCCTTTTTAAATACCACTGCATGGAAATGATGGGAAGTGGAAAACACCTCATTTGTAGTGGTCACCACAGGGCCAGCAAGCATGCTTAATCTGGCTCTAATTTTATATCCCAAGGGCACACCAGGAGTGTGGGTGTTCATTATGCCGTTTGAAGAGAAATGGAAGCCAAAGGCATGAGGCTCCTCCAGTGAGGAGAGGTCCCAGGGGTGGCCTTGGCTGGGTGGACTCTTCTGTGAGCCTCCGCAGTGATGCTTGGGACTCAGGCTGGGGCCTGAGAAGGGTGCAATCAGCCCAGGTCCTGGGGCTGCTTCTTGCTGATGACTGTCACCACTGAGATATGTACAAATCAAGTCAGGGTGCCCCTTCACTAAATGTGTGTGTATGTGTGTATACATTCAGACACACATGCAAATGTGAGTGGGCACGTGTTTGAGACATAGCATATATAAGAAGTGCAAATGTATATGAAATGTAGAGATACATAGAGATACATGGATAAATGGATATAGATACATTAATGCATAGATAGGTAAATATCAATACATGGATTGATAGAGATCCAAATAGATACATGGATAGATGATTGCTAAATAGATATAGATACATGTATGGATATATTGATAGAAAGAAGTAGATTCATGGATAAATGATGGATAGAGGTAGATACATGGATGAATAGGCAGACAGGTAGGTAGATAGATAGATGGATAGAGATAGATGAATGGATAGATAGGTAGATACATAGTTATGGATAGATATATAGATGATAGATATGGATAAATGGATGAATGGATAGATATATAGATAGAAAGAATAGGTAGATATATAGATGATAGATATGGATAGATAATATAGATGGATAAATGGATATATAGATGATATAGATAGATAAATGCATAGGCAGATAGACATATAGATAGATATGGATAGATATATAGATAGATATGGATAGATGGATGAATGGATACATAGATAATAGAGAGACAGAGAGAGAGAGAAAGAGAGAGAGAGACAGATAGAGATACAAATACATGAGAGGCCAAGTGCTATGGCTCAGACCTGTAATCTCAGCATATTGGGAGGCCAAGGCGAATGAATTGCTTGAGCCCAGGAATTTGAAACTAGCCTGGACAACATAGCAAGACCCCATCTCTACAAAAAATTTAAAAACTAGCAGGAAATGGTGGTGCACCCCTATAGTCACAACTACTTGGGAGGCTGACGTAGGAGGATTGCTTGAGCCCAGGAATTTGATGCTGCAGTGAGCTATGATCACGCCACGGCAGTCTGGCTGGGGCGAAAGGGCAAGACCTTGTCTCTAACGAAAAAGAAAAAGAAGTAGATGACAGATAGACAGATGGATATAGGTAGATACCTACGGAGAAATAGATAGACAGCTAGATCAATATATGAGACAGAGAGAAAGAGAGCCAGCGAGCAAAACAGAGAGAGAGTGTATGTGTGCGTTTGAAGCTAAGACAGGGTTTCTCAGCCTCAGCACTGTGGACATTCGGGTCTGGATCACTTTCTGAGGTGAGGCCATCCTATGCACTGTATGGGAAGCCCCTGAGGCCATGGGAATAGGCTCGGGGCTGCGGTAAGGAACGGATCCACCACTAGAGCCTCCAGAAGGAACCCACCCTGCCCACACCTTGATTTCAGACTTCTGCTTCCAAAACTGCGACAGAATGAATCCCAGTTGTAAGCCACCTGGTGTGTGATGGCTTGCTACAGCAGCCCTGGGAAATGGATACAAGGGGGATGAGACACATTCTAATATACTTTCCAGCAAAGCAAGTCTGAGTCGATGTTCTTTTTTATTTTTTTTGAGACGGAGTCTCACTCTTATCGCCCAGGCTGGAGTGCAATGGTGCGATCTCAGCTCACTGCAACATCTGCCTCCCGGGTTCAAGCGATTCTCCTGCTTCAGCCTCCCGAGTAGCTGGGATTACAAGTGCCCGCCACCATGCCCGGCTAATTTTTCTATTTTTAGTAGAGACTGGGTTTTGCCATGTTGGTCAGGCTGGTCTCCAACTCCTGATCTCAGGTGACCACCGGCCTGGGCCTCCCAAAGTGCTGGGGATTACAGGTGTGAGCCACCGTGCCCAGCCCCTGGGGTCCCTTTTGTAAGGGCACTGATCCCCTTCATGAGGTTCCACCCTCATGATCACACCACCTTCTAAAGACCCCACCTCCTAGCACCATCACTTTGCGGCACAGAAATTTAGGGGAAAAACAAGCATGCAGTTTATTGTGATCAAGGAGCAAGCCCTCTAACAACGCTGGAGAATTTATCGCTCACAGTCCTGGAGGCTGGAGGTCCAAGGCAAAGACGTGGCAGATTCAGTGTCTGGTGGGGACCCACTTCCTGGTTCCTAGATGGCGCCTTCTGGCTGTGTCCTCACATGCTGGAAGGGGCGAGGGAGCTCTCTGGGGCCCCTTTTATAAGGGCACTCATCCCATCCATGAGGCCCCACCTTCACGACCTCATCACCTCCCAAAGGCCCCATGTCCGAACACCATCAGCTTGGAGGTGAGGACATCAAAATAGAAATTTTGGGGAGATATCAACATTCGGACCATAGCAAACTTTATATGCTAATTCCTAATAGGCTTACAATCATTTTTTTTTAAAAGATCATTGAACTCCCATGAAATTCCTTATCACCCCTTTGACTTGGAGGTCTAATCTGTTTTGAAATATTTCATTTAAAATAGGAAGTTTGTCACCTCCTGGGACCACACATTCTACCTGTTCAATGTTTTTGACAGGTAAGCAGTCAGGAAACATTTGTTAATAACCATGCATGGGGAACACCGTTACTCAAGTCATCTCGCTTCTTTGCCTTTAAAATCACCTTTTCTGGGCCAGGCGTGGTGGCTCACGCCTATAATCCCAGCACTTTGTGAGGCCAAGGTGGGCGAATCACGAGGTCAGGAGATCGAGACCATCCTGGCTAACACCGTGAAATCCCATCTATACTAACAATACAAAAAATTAGCCAGGTGTGGTGGCGGGCGCCTATAGTCCCAGCTACTCGAGAGGCTGAGGCAGGGGAATAGCCTGAACCTGGGAGGCAGAGGTTGCAGTGAGACGAGGTTGCACCACTGCACTCCAGCCTGGGCGACAGAGCGAGACTCCATCTCAAAAAAAAAAAAAAAAAAAAATTACCTTTTCTTTCTTGTTACTCCCTCTGCTGAAAACATTTGGAGGTGAATCACACAAAACTGTATGAACCAATTGATGACTTTAAAAATTCATATTAGCAAAGACAACTTTTACTCAAGATAAATTAAGAACCAACATCTAGGTTAAATTCTCTTTTCTAAAGGGAAATTAAGTTTTAAAAACTTAATCCTCGGCCAGTCGCGGTGGCTCATGCCTGTAATCCCAGCACTTTGGGAGGCCGAGGGGCGTGGATTTCCTGAGCTCAGGAGTTCAAGACCAGCCTGGGCAACACAGTGAAATCCCGTCTCTACTAAAATGCAAAAAATTAGCTGGGTGTAGTGGCACGCACCTGTAATCCCAGCTACTCGGGAGGCTGAGACAGGAAAATCGCTTGAACCTGAGAGGTGGAGGTTGCAGTGAGCCAACATTGCACCATTGCACTCTAGCCAGGGCAACAGAGCAAGACTCCATCTCAAAAAAATAATAAAAAAAAATCCTCACACTGGGATGAGACACCCAACATCTGGAAGACATTGGGTCTCACCAATTACATAAAAGGTCATGTGTCCTTCATACCTCATGGCAGGCTGTTCGGGAACCAAAGAAATCCAATAAGGCTGACACATGTCTGTTGCTCTCCTTGGAAGAAAACATTTGCAAAGTCAGGGGGAAATTTCAGATTTTATTTATTTATTGTGATGACCAAAAGCAACCAAACATGATCAACTTCCTCTTTTTTTTTTTTTTTTTTTGCATTTGCCATTCTTCCTTAACAAGAACATGGTAACTGCAGGTATATAACAGGAAGGAGACCAGTGGGGGCTAGTTCCAAAGACATGAGCCTAATAAGGAATGGAAAAGCCATTTCTTCTCCAGGAAGGTAACTGCCATTTTTAACATTTTTATCTCATTTCCCCAACCTCCCTGCTATGGACCATGTTCAGATCTTCATGAGCCTGGGCTCTTCCACCAGCTTCTCAGCATTGCTCTCCAAGGTGTGGTCCCTGGATCAGCAGCATCAACATCCCCTTGGTGCTTACTGGAGATGCAGAATCTCAGGCCTCGTGTCCCAGGCCTCCTCAATCAGAGTCTGCACTTCAGCCAGACTCCCCAGTGATTCCTGCACCCAATAGAGACTGGGAGTCCTGAGAGTTGTCCTGGTGCTGTGGAGTCCAAAGTTCCTGAGGCTCACTGCATAACAGCCAATGATTCACGAGACAAAAAGTTAGAGCAAGAAAAGCATCTTTATTTGGAGAGCCAGCAAGTCAGGAAGATACTGGACCCATGTCCTAACGAACCATCTTTAAAGGCATGAATCTCAAGCTTCTTTGTACATTGAAGGGGTACACTGAAGGGGAACAAGGAGGAGACTGAGGTGAGGGGGGTGGCTGGTGACCACAGACACTTGGGCATCAGCAGGGGCCCAAGGAGATTGCAAAACTTTGTCCTTGCTCAGGTCACAGCGCTCCTACAAGTCTTCAATATAACATTGTTACTTGTGTGCATGCCCTTCTTATCTCCTCAGAGGTTAGTTTTGGAAAGGAACGCTTATCATCCTTGCTTTCCAGTTAAACTGTAATCTAAGTTCTTTCCATGATTAACTTGGCCCGTGTGCAGAAGTGCCTAAAAGCAGTTAGCTTGAGGAGTCAGAAGCAACATGGAGTCAGCTATGTTCGATTTCTCTCCCTATTACACTGGCAACCCATTCTATCCTCTTCTGAGAGGCTGAGTGTTTCAAAATATGGGCCTCTCAGTGGCTTTCAGGATAAAGTCTAGGTGTCTTTAGAACTAAGCAGGGTGCAGCCCTCTGCTCAGGACCCTGCATGTGTGGCATGGTATCCTCACTCTCTCCTTACAATAAAGGTAGACAAAAAATAAAAACAGTTCTTTTCTTTCTCTTTACTCTCACTCATTAAAACAAACAAAATGAAAGAGAGAGAGAGAGAAAGAGAGAGAGAGAAAGAAAGAAAGAAAAGAAAGAAAAAGAAAGAAAAAGAGAAAAGGAAAGAAAGAGAGAGAAAGAAGGAAGAAACGGGGGGTAGGAGGAATGGAGGAAGGAAGGAAGGAAGGAAGGAAGGAAGGAAGGAAGGAAGGAAGGAAGGAAGGCCGGCCATTGCCAGCACATGGCACCTGCTCCCCTCTGCAATTTCAAATCGATCACCCAAGAAAACATCCCATCCACATAATTCCTAAAACATAAAAGTCCATTTTCAAATCACAAAATAAGTAAATGTTTCTATGGGAAAGCCATCGTTCTTCCTTTTTCTCTAAACACGGCCCCAAAATAAGTATTTATCTTTCTCAGGGGAGAGTCCTTCTCTTATAGCCTGATCCAGTGAAGGCCTTCCCTCTGGGTGAACTCTGTGGGGCTTTGTTTCTTTGCTTTGGGACCTCTGAAAAACAGACGTATCATGCAATGAATTTACAGAAGCAGCAGATAAAAACCCACCCACGCTGTCTCGCAGCCCTGATCTCTTCCAGTTGCCTGCTTTGTCACTAGAACAGACTCTGCAGGCCACTGGGCTCAGGGGGCTTCCCACCGGGTTCTTGCCTTTGGCAGATGTTTTTGTTTTTACTTTCTCGGCAGATGTTTTCTTCGGCTAAACTTGGCTTAGACACAGGATGAGGAGCTGAAGTTGAGTCAAGATTACTGTTGTGGTGTGGGTGTTTTAGAAACTATGACGGAGGCTGGCACCGTGGCTCACGCCTGTAATCCTAGCACTTTGGGAGGCTGAGGCAGGCGGATTGCCTGAGCTCAGGAGTTCGAGACCAGCCTGGGCAACAACGGTGAAACCCTGTCTCTACTAAAATACAAAAAATTAGCCGGGCGTGGCAGCATGCGCCTGTAGTCCCAGCTACCCGGGAGGCTGAGGCAGGAGAATCGCTTGAACCCAGGAGGTGGAGGTTGCAGTGAGCTGAAATCATGCCACTGCACTCCAGCCTGGGCAACAGAATGAGACTCCATCTCAAAAAAAAAAAAAAAACACAAAACTATGACAGAACTGAAAAGTTTTGGATCAGGTGGCAAGTTTATATTTTCAAAGCTACATGCCATTTGCAATGGATAATTTTAAGACGTAGCACAGAAATAGAAGAGTAACTGCAGAAATAAAAATAGTGTATGTGTTTAGCCTGAGCCAGTCACAATGATGAGGACTATTTTCTTTTTGTCATTGACAAACAAAAATTAGATATGCTTCTGATATACAACATAACATTCCATTCATATACTGAAATATGTATCCATTATGGGATGGGTAACTAAAACTAATTAACATATTACCATAAATACTTTTTTTTTTTTTTTAGATGGAGTCTGGCTCTGTCATGCAGGCTGGAGTGCAGTGGTGTAATCTCGGCTGACTGCAACCTCTGCCTCCTGGGTTCAAGCAATTCTCCTGCCTCAGCCTCCCAAGTAGCTGGGACTATAGGTGCCTGCCACCACGCCTGGCTAAATTTTTGTATTTTTAGTAGAGGTGGGGTTCCACTGTGTTAGCCAGGATGGTTTCAATCTCCTGTCCTCGTGATCCACCCCCCTCACCCTCCCAAAGTGCTGGGATTACAGGCGTGAGCCACCATTCCCAGCCCATACTTATTTTTTTAATGTGGTGAAAACAGTTAAAATCTACTGTCTTAGTGGTTTTCAAGTATGCAGTACATTGATATTAACTACAATCACCACATTGTGCAATATATCTCTTGAACTTATTCCTTAGGTCTAACTGAAATGTTCTGCCCTTTTATTATAATGTGGTGGAAGGTATCTGAGTTACCAGTGATGAATCCATACAGGCCTGCAGCCACTGGAATTCTTGCATCCTCAGAAGAAAGAATTTGACTGAGGGCCATAAGGCAGAGAGAGAGACCCGGGCAAGTTTCAGAGCAGGAGTGGAAGGCTTTTGTTTTTGTTTTTGTTTTGAGACAGAGTCTCGCTCTTGCCACCCAGGCTGGAGTGCAGCAGTGCGATCTCGGCTCATTGCAACCTCCACCTTCCGGGTTCAAGCGATTCTCCTGCCTCAATCTCCTGAGTAGCTGGGATTACAGGTGTGCGCCACCATGCAGGGCTAATTTTTGTATTTTTAGTAGAGACGGGGTTTCACCGTATTGGCTAGGCTGGTCTCGAACTTCTGACCTTCTGATCCACCCACCTCAGCCTCCCAAAGTGCTGGGATTACAGGCATGAGCCACTGCGCCCAGCCGAGTGGAAGTTTATTTTAAAAGCTTCAGAACAGAAAAGAACGGAAGTACACTTGAAAGAGACCCAAGCAGGCGCCCTGAAGAACAAGTGTGGTGTTTAACTTTACAGGACCTTATAGGCTGGTCCACTTCTAGCATCTTGTATCCCTTTCCCATGATTCTTCCCCTAGGGTGAGCTGCCCGCATGCACAGTGCCCTCCTTATGCTTGGGAGGTGAGCATGAGGTTTAGGAAGTTGTAGCGTGCCCATATCTGAGGCTTTCTTCCTGTTTCCAGTGGAGTGACCTCAGAAGGTCATATTCCGCCATGTTTTCTCCTAATGTGCATGCTTAGGAAGTTGTGTTTCCACGGCACTTGCACTCAATGAACAATTGAGTGTGACAGGTGTGGAACATCAGGAAATGGTCTCTCCCTGCCACAGGCTGCCAATTTTTTTTTTTTTTTGACACTGAGTCTCACTCTATCGCCCAGGCTGGAGTGCAGTGGCACGATCTCAGCTCACTGCAACAACCTCCGCCTCCCAGTTTCAAGCATGGGATTACAGGCATGCACCATCATGTCTGGCTAATTTTGTATTTTTAGTAAAGATGGGGTTTCACCATCTTGGCCAGGCTGGTCTTGAACTCCTGACCTCGTGATCCACCTGCCTCGGCCTTCCAAAGTGCTGGGATGACAGGTGTGGGCCACCGTGCCCAGCCGCCAATTTATCATTTTTTAGAGAGGCAATGCGATCATCGCTGAACCAGCACCTGGCATTGCTGGTGGGTGGAAGAGCCCTCTCCTGCCCGCCCATGCCTGTCTAGTGGCCTGTAATACTCTGACCAACATCTTCCCATGCCCCACCCATGCCCATCCCCTGGTAACCACCACTGTGCTCTCTGCTTCTGTGAGACCAAGGTTTCTAGACTTTTACATAGGAATGAGATCATGTGGTACTTGTCTTTCCGTGCCTGGCTTATTTCACTGAACACAATATCCTTCAAATTCACCCGTGTTGTTGCAAATGACAGATGCTCTTTTTTTTTTTTTTTTTTTTTTGAGTTGGAGTCTCACCCTGTTGCCCAGGCTGGAGTGCAGTAGCATGATCTTGGCTCACTGCAACCTCCACCTCCTGGGTTCAAGCACTTCCCTGCCTCAGCCTCCCAAGTAGCTAGGATTACAGGCACCTGCTACTACACTTAGCTAATTTTTGTATTTTTAGTCGAGACAGGGTTTCACCATCTTGGCCAGGATGGTCTCCAACTCCCGACCTCAGGTAATCTGCCCGCCTTGGCCTCCCAAAGTGCTGAGATTACAGGAGTGAGCCACCGTGCCCAGCCAGTCTGACATTCTTGAATCACCCACACTCATGGGCCATTGGACCCTCCCTGCAGGGCCACACCTTGGGCTCCCATCCCCCTGTGGCTCACTGCTCCTTCCCAAACACCGCACCTGCAAAGGAGGAGGCAGGCACATGTGCAAATCATGGAGGTTTCCGAGAAGCAGGATCTGTCCCTCCTATATCACCAATGTAAATTGCAAAGTCAATTATTCTGCCAACACGTAGTCTATTGATGTCTCAGAAAATAATGAAGAGCCTCAAATAATGCCTCTGGCCCTACCGGGTATTGATACAGGGTGTTTTTTAAGGTGGGGGGTAGTAGGTGGGCAAAGGAGAGAGGAGAAGGGATTTGGGAGGTGGGACTGGGACTCTGCATAGTTCAATCACTCTCTGGTCTGCTGTCATCTCCAGGGTCTGGGACGCTTGTATAGAAACATGGTTGGCCAGGCGCGGAGGCTCACGCCTGTTAATCCCAGCACTTTGGGAGGCCGAGCCAGGTGGATCACCTGAGGTCAGGAGTTTGAGACCAGCCTGGCCAAGATGGCGAAACCCCGTCTCTACTAGAAATACAAAAATTAGCCAGGCGTGGTGGTGCACACCTGTAATCCCAGCTACTCAGGAGACTGAGGCAGGAGAATTGCTTGAATCCGGGGGGACAGAGGTTGCAGTGAGCCAAGATCATGCCACTGCGCTCCAGCCTGGGCAACACAGTGAGACTCCATCTCAAAAAAAAAAAAAAGAATAAAAAATGAAAAGCCTCACATAATGCGTCTGGCCCTAGTGGGTATTTCTACAGGGTGTTTTTTTAAGGTAGGGGTAATAGGTGGGCAAATGAGAGAGAAGGGATGTGGGAGGTGAGGCTGGGACTCTGCATAGTTCAATCACTCTCTGGTCAGCTGTCGTCCCCAGGGTCTGGGACATTTGTGTGAAAGCATGGTCAGCCAGGCGCGGTGACTCACGCCTGTCATCCCAGCACTTTGGGAGGCCAAGGCGGGCAGATCACCTGAGGTCAGGAGTTTGAGACCAGCCTGGGTAACATAATGAAACACCATCTCTACTAAAAAATACAAAAATCAGCCAGGCGTGGTGGCAGGTGCCTGTAATCCCAGCTACTTGGGAGGCAGAGGCAGGAGAATTGTTTGATCCCGGGTGGTGGAGGTTGCAGTGAGCTGAGAACGAGCCACTGCACTCAAGCCTGGGGGACAAGAGCAAGACCCCTCTCAAAAAAATAAAAAGAAAAAAAAAAAGAAAAGAAAATAATATCTCTGAGTGTGGGGGTGCATATCTGTCATCCCAGCACTTTAGGAGGCTGAGGTGGATCACTTGAGCCCAGGAGTTCAAGACCAGCCTGCACTACATAGTGAAGCCCCATCTCCAGGAAACATTTAAACATTAACCAGGCTGGGCATGGTGGTTCATGCCTGTGATCCCAGCACTTTGGGAGGCTAAGGCGGGTGTATCACTTGAGCTCAGGAGTTCGAGACCAGCCTGGACAACATGGTGAAGTCTTGTGTCTAAAAAATAAAAAAAAATAGCCGAGCGTGGTGGCTAGTGCCTGTGGCTGCAGCTACGTGGGAGGCCAAGGTAGGAATACTGCTTTCGCCCAGGAGGCAGACGTTGCAGTGAGCCAAGAGACTGTACCACTGCACTCCAGCTTGGGCATGAAAACCTGCATGAAACGCTGTCTCCAAAAAATATAAAAATTTAAAAAATTAGGCAGTCATGGTGGTGTGCGTGTGTAGTCCCAGCTACTCAGGAGGCTGAGGAGAGAGCACGGCTTGAGCCCAGGAGGTCGAAGCTGCAGTGACCCATGATCACTTCACTGTACTCCAGTCTGGGCAACAGAGTGAGATCCTGTCTCAAGAAAAGAAAAGAAGCGAAAAGAAAAGGGAAGGGGGACAGAAGTGGAGGGAAGGGGAGGGGGTAGGGGAGGGGGAGAGAGGAGGAATGGGAGGGAAGGGGAGGGGGAAGGGGAGGGGGAAGGGGAGGGGGGAGGGAAGGGGAGAGGGGAGGGAAGGGGAGAGGGGAGGGAAGGGAAGGGGAGAGGGGAGGGAAGGGAAGGGGAGAGGGGAGGGAAGGGAAGGGGAGAGGGGAGGGAAGGGAAGGGGAGAGGGGAGGGAAGGGAAGGGGAGGGGGAAGGGAAGGGGAAGGAAGGGGAGGGGGAAGGGAAGGGGAGGGGGAAGGGAAGGGGAAGGAAGGGGAGGGGGAAGGGAAGGGGAGGGGGAAGGGAAGGGGAGGGGAAAGGGGGGAGGGAGGAGGAGAGAGGAGGGAAGGGAAGGGGAGGGGGAAGGGAAGGGGAAGGAAGGGGAGGGGGAAGGGAAGGGGAGAGGGGAGGGAAGGGAAGGGGAGAGGGGAGGGAAGGGAAGGGGAGGGGGAAGGGAAGGGGAAGGAAGGGGAGGGGGAAGGGAAGGGGAGGGGGAAGGGAAGGGGAAGGAAGGGGAGGGGGAAGGGAAGGGGAGGGGGAAGGGAAGGGGAGGGGGAAGGGAAGGGGAGGGGGAAGGGGGGAGGGAGGAGGAGAGAGGAGGGAAGGGAAGGGGAGGGGGAAGGGAAGCAAGAAACAAGGTAAAGGAAAGGGAAAGGGGGAGGGGAGGGGAAGGGGGAAGGAAGGAAGGAGAGAGAGAGAAAAGAAAGAGCTTGATCATGGCTGATGTCCACATTGATTGAGATCCACAGAGCACAATGGGCCATCCTGATAATACAGACAATTGTCATTTCTCTCTCGTATCACCATGAAACTAGAGATATGCTTTCTGGAGGAGCAAAGGTGCTTCAGAAATGTGGAATCCTGACATTCACAATGCAGAATCTTTCTCAGAAGCGAGCTCAACAATGTGTTCATTTTTTTTTTTTTGTTTTTGTTTTCCGAGTTATTGGTGATTGGCTTTGTAAACAAAAAAAAAGAGAATGCAACTATGAATAGAGAGATCGAATGTGTCTGATGCAAGGTTGTCGCAGTTCCTGTTTTCTGGTTAGGCCTGCATTGCCTTATGAATTACAGGGAATGGAGAACTTTTCTTGATAATAATGGTCATTCTATGTAGAGCAGGACTTGAGATGTTATGATAAATGTATAATTTCTCAAAAGTGGTCTACTTGAGAACACAGTTTCAAGGAGTTCCTCTCCACATTTGTTCCTGGGTAAAGCAGCTGTTCATAAGGTAATTCAGCTTTCAATTTATTTTAATCGGCACTTCAGCTCAGGCCAGCAATGTCACTATGCCTTCCAGCCAGGATGGTCCCAGGGTGCCTAGGACATTGAGACAGAGAGGGGTGTAAAATGACTGTCACTGAGGGGTAAAGTAGAATCTGATATGAGAAAAAAACAGAGATATGTAGAAATCACAAAAGAAGCATACTATATTTCCAGTGCAATGCCATTTTAGGTGAATACAGAAAATAATTGCAAAATTTCACATAGGCCTTCATTAATTTATGCTATAGTAATTTTCACATATGCCCAAGTTAATTCATACTAATTTATACTAACTACCACCAAGGCCATACAATTCTGCCCAAGGTAAAATTTACCTACTGTCAGAAGTAAATGTGGTGTTTTAAAACTGATTCTACAGTCAAGAGATCCCCATTAACCACACTTCTTAAAACCAGATGAGAAAGTTCTATCAGATTAACTCAGGAGCTTAAAATCCAACTACACAGAGAACTTTCGAAAACCCTGAATGATTAGTCCCACCTGTTGGAAGTGGTTCCCCTCGCCTGGGCAACTGCTAAGTCATTGTTTTATTTTGTGCAATGGAAACACAGTAATGCATTAGATATTCATAAGATTAAAATAATTTGAGGCAGGTCCAAGATGCACAGTAACGCTGAAGTGGTCATGAGCATAAAGGATATTTCATCTGCAACTCCTGTACAGGGATAGGAAAGTATTTGTGATAATGGTTGGTGAGAAATCTACAGGCAAGACTAACATTGTTGTGGGATGTTGCCTATGTCCACAGGCAATGCTGAATTTCAGTTACAAGTGAGTGAACCCAGAGATGTAGACTTTGTCCCATCTGAGTTGACAAAACCCCGGAATTTTACTCACAGACCTCTGGGTTCTCTCAACATACCAAGGCAAAGAACAAAACCTCCAATGATAGGGTAACAGAAGAGGGAACGAGTGGCCAGCCTTCTTCGTTTGAGATACCATTTAAATAATAAACTTAAAGCAGAAATAAATAAAATGAAATTGCATGTTAAACTGCTCTTCTATACGCTTACTTTTGGTTTCCCTTGTTCCTCTTTTATTTTTCATTATTATTATTATTGAGACAGAGTCTTGCTCTGTCACCCAGACTGGAGTGCTGTGGCACCATCTCGGCCCACTGCAACCTCCACCTCTCGGGTTCAAGCGATTCTCCTGTCTCAGCCTCCCGAGTAGCTGGGACTACAGGTGCGTGCCACCACACCCGGCTAATTTTTGTATTTTTAGTAGAGACGGGGTTTCACCATATTGGCCAGGCTGGTCTCGAACTCCTGACCTCATGATCCACCTGCCTCAGCCTCCTAATTTTCATTATATTTTTAATCAATAAACAATAATTGCATATGTCTCTGGGGTGCAATGTGATGTTTCTCTGTATCTTTCCTGTTGGATTCATCCTCAGCATCAGTGCAAAACCCATCATGTTTGCAGACACTTGGTTTGAAGAGATCCAACGTTCAATGGAAACGTCTATCGGACAATGAGTGAATGGCTGTGCCTTCCATATAAAAGCACGATAATGATGTGTTCTGAGTGGAGGCATGCCTCCGTGATTTTACTCCTCTCTCAGCTCGGCTGGGACTCAGATTCTTTCAGATTTACGTCTCTCTGGATTAAAAAAAAAAAAGCTGGGACCCAGATTCTCAGAGTTAAGTATAGTCTTTCTGCAAGAGGCTCTTTGTCCACATCAACAGTGAGATAATTTGCTGTCTCAGAACTGCTAGACCAGCTGAACTTTCCTTGTTTGCTTTCTTGTTAGAGTACCCATGAAAAGGCAGATTGGAGATAAAATTGATTCAAGAGAGGCCATGGATAAGAGATGTTTTGTCTCCAGTTGCATCAGAATCACAAAATATTGCAGGGGAAGGTACACAGAAGACATTTCTGTAGGTTATTCTGTGCTGAAAATGATTATGAATGACATTTGTCACTGTGGTTCATGCATATTCTTTCTGGTATGTCAACAGCAATGTGAAACCCACGAACACGGTCAACATCGTAGAGACTGGGATGCGAAGAAGGGCACAGGAGAGCACAGTGCCTTTGGAAAGCTCCCAGGTCCAATATCAACTCTACATTCCTTCAGCCTGTCTCTCTCCGATGTATCCCTCTTGTCAAGAGAGGGAAATGCAGTTAGACAGAGTCCATTTAATGTTTGCTGAGTGAGTGAAAGAATGAATGCATGATGAGTTCTTGTCTGTGGCCACGTGCCTCTCTGCCAAAGTCTATTTCTTCAAACTTAATTTCTGTCTGAACATCTCTATTCATGCTCCCTGCGGCTTTGGTATTTCAGCAAAAATCCTCCCTGGGTTCTGACTCCAGGAGACATAAACCACTCAAGTGGTCTTTAGAAATCCTTCAATGAATTTTTAAAAATTATTTGTAGAGACAGGGTCTGGCTATGTTGCCCAGGCTGGTCTCAAACTCCTGAGGCTCAAGTGCTCCTTCTACCTTGGCCTCCAAAGGTGCTGGGGTTACAGTTGTGAGCCACTGCACCTGGCTCCAATTCTGTCTTCCAGATTTACCCTCACTGATGATCCAGTCACCTGCTCACTCTCCTCTTTGGGTCATGAGAGCTGGTGACTATGCAGCCAACAGGGTACCTTCTGCAGACTTCAACAGAGTCCTGCCCTTCCATTTACATTTAACCTCATTGTTTATGGGTGGCCCCCAGGAACTCTCAGAAACAACAGTTAGAGTGGGGGGGTCCTAAGGGGAGTGGGGTGAAGTTAGACCTGAGCTTCTGAGTTATCCTTCCTCTCTTCTCCTCCGTCCCCTGCTTCTCTCACATTCCTCTCACCTTCTCTATCTCTTGACCCCCGTCCCTTCTCTCAATTCCTCTTTTTTCTCAAGCTCTGAGAATGTTCTGGCATCTTCCACCATGCAGAGAGTATGGTAGGAGGTTAGGAATTAATGGCTCTGGAACCAATGTCTCCTTCAGGTGACATGTACTTTCAATCAGCATCTCCAAGTCTGTTCATGTTCCTATGACATCAGAGAGGGAAGCAAGATTATCTGGTGACCAGCCAGTCTCCCCCTCCTCTGGGAGATGTCCAGCCTCTGCGTCCTCTCTTCTGTCTGCACCCAGGGGACCAGGTATTTGGAAGCCACACACAGAGACTCAGCTTTAGGGGGCTGGCTCCCCATCTCAAAGACATCTGGTAGCTGAGGCTGGTTGACCCATCCAATCAGTGATCTTTCAGTTGGTAGGTTTTTTGGTGGGGAAAGCGACTAACCCTATGAAGAAAAAGCACCAGATCCCCATGCTTTTCAGTCTCTCGTTCCTGACTCAGACCAGGGAACCGATCTCTGGGGGACTTTGAGCTGGGAGGAGCTGACAACGGCTGCTATTGATTTGGGGCTGAGACTTCTCCCAGTTTCTGACGAGTTTGGAACTTGTTGACTTCGGGTAGGTCCAAAGGCAATGAATGTAAGGGCTGTTTAGGCTTCTGTAGGGGGTCTTGGAGAGGTGCCTGGGGCTTTTGGTCAGGGGTGATTCCCAGGAGATGCTTCTAGGGGAAAAGGGAGAAGCAAGAACCTATAGATGGTTGTACGGCTCTGGGGACTGAGAGGTGAACTGGACAAAATGAAGATAGCAGGAGTCACTGGGCCAGCAGGTGGAGGTCAACGTCCACAAAGCAAACAGCCTTCACCAGGCGTGCTGCCAATTAAAGGGACAGCTTTGTGGAGCTCCAGAAGCATGTTGGTCTGCCACACTCCTGTCTTCTCCACTGAGATTTCTGTGGGGAAGCATGTTGTTGTGGAAAAATACCCATAACATTAATTTCATCATTTAACCTTTTCATTTGTGTACATATGTATTTATTTGTTTTAGAGATGGGGGTCTCCCTCTGTCACCCAGGCTGCAGTGCAGTGACAGAAACACCTCTCACTGCAGCCTTGACCTCCTGGGCTCAAGTGATCCTCCCACCTCAGCCTCCAGAGGAGACGGGACTACAAGCACACGCCACCGTGCCCAGCTGATTTTTTAAAATTTTTTGGTAGAGACTGGATCTGTGTTGCCCACTCTGGTCTTCAACTCCTAGGCTCAAGCAATCCTCCCACCTTGGCCTCGCAAAGAGTTGAGATTAAAAGGTGTGAGCCACTGCACCCAGCCTGTTTTCATCTTTTTTTTTTTTTTTTTTCTTTTTGAAACGGAGTCTCATTCTGTCGCCCAGGCTGGAGTGCAGTGGCGCAATCTCAGCTCACTGCAACCTTCGCCTCCCGGGTTCAAGCGATTCTTCTGCCTCAGCCTCCTGAGTAGCTAGCAATACAGGCATGCGCCACCAGAGCCAACTAATTTTTGTATTTTTAGTAGAGACGGGGTTTCACCATGTTGGCCAGACTGGTCTCGAACTCCTGACCTCATGATCCGCCTGCCTCGGCCTCCCAAAGTGCTGGGATTACAGGCGTGAGCCGCCGCGCCCGGCCCGTTTTTACCATTTTTAAGTGAACAATTCAGGCGCATTGACTACATCCACAGTGTTATGCCACCATCACTGCTATCTAGTTCCAGAACCCTGCCATCACCGCCAAAGGAAACTTCGTACCTATCAAGTAATCACTGTTCATTTTCCCTGCCCCCAGCCCTAAGCAACCATGAGTTCAATTTCTGTCTTGATGGCTTTAACTATTCTGGACATTTTATATAAATGGACTCCTACAATATGTGACCTTTTGTGTCTCTCTTTCTGCACTTAGCATAACGTCTTCAAGGTTCATTCATGTTGTAGCATGTGACTGTTTCATTCCTTTTCGTGGCTGAATAATATTCCATTGTATGGATGGAACACATGGGGTTTATCCATTTAGTATTAGATGGACATCGGACTGTTTTCACCTTTTGGCATTTTGGATATTGCTACATACATTTGTGTACAAATTTCTGTTTACACATTTGTTTTCAGTATCTTTAGGTATTAGGTAGAAGTAGGATTGCTACATCACTTGGTAATTCTGTGTTTAATTTTCTGAAGAGCCATAAAACTGCCTTCCATAGTGGCTACACCACTTTAACTTCCCACCAGCAAAGTAGGAGAATTCTAATGTTTCCACATCCTTGCCAATAATGATTCCTTTCCTTCTTTGTAAAAACAGTTATCAGAATTCTAGTGATGCTTTGAGGATTTAAACATTGCTCAGGCCTGGCACAGTGGCTCACGCCTGTAATCCCAACAACTTTGGGAGGCCGCATGGGTGGATCACCTGAGGTCAGGAGTTCAAGACCACCCTGGCCAACATGTGAAACCCCGTCTCTACTAAAAACACAAAAAATTACCCGAGTGTGGTGTCACATGCCTGTAATCCCAGCTACTTGGGAGGCTGAGGTGGGAGAATCACTTGAACCTCGGAGGCGGAGGTTGCAATGAGCCAAGATCGCACCATTGCACCCAGCCTGGGCGACAAGAGTGAAACTCCATCTCAAAAGCAAACAAACAAAAACATCGTTCAGAACTCTGGTTCTGTGCATTCAGGGGTATGGGAAACAAAGGCTCAGGTTGTCTTATTTGTAGTCCCATTATAAGAACTGAAAATACAGAACTGTGGACAGGTAGTCAAACATATTTTTCTATCTTGGTAATCTGAAATCTAAACCACTTGAAGGGCACAAACAGAATCTGCTGTCCTGGGTTTGCACAGTTAACTCTGCAGAAAAGCTATTTTGAACACAAGAAAGAGTCCATAGTCACAGACCCCACAGTTAGCAATTTGCTTATTATGCCTTTTATTTATGTATTCATTTATTTTATTTATTTATTTTTTTGAGATGGAGTTGCCCTCTTGTTGCCCAGGCTGGAGTGCAATGGTACGATCTCTGCTCACCGCAACCTCTGCCTCCCTGGTTCAAGCGATTCTCCTGTCTCAGCCTCCTGAGTAGCTGGGATTACAGGCATGTACCACCACGCCCAGCTAATTTTGTATTTTTAGTAGAGATGGGGTTTCTCCATGTTGGTCAGGCTGGTCTCGAACTCCCGACCTCAGGTGATCCGCCTGCCTTGGCCTCCCAAAGTGCTGGGATTACAGGTGTGAGCCACCGTGCCCAGCCTTATCAGCCTTTTATAATCAACTCAATGGGTGGTGCATCCATCACAAATGAAGTAAAGTGGGAGAGGCCAACAGCGAGGATATGTCTGTGCCATCATTATCCATCTGCATTATGTGACCTCCCACAGCAGGCACCAGGGGGGAAAAGAACACACACACGGACCCCCAAACACTGTAGTCTCCTTCTCCCTCTGCTGCCCCCTGGACCAGCAAGAGGAAAATACACCTTGTTGTCCACCAGAGATGAAAAAGGATCCCCAGCCAGGTGCGGTGGCTCACGCCTGTCACCCCAGAACTTTGGGAGGCTGAGGCAGGTGGATCGCTTGAAGTCAGGAGTTCAAGACCAGCCTGGCCCACATGGTGAAACCCCATCTCTACTAAAAATACAAAAATTAGCCGGGCATGGTGGCGGGCGCCTGTAATCCCAGCTACTCGGGAGGCTGAGGCAGGAGAATGACCTGAACCCGGGAGGCGGAGGTGGCAGTGAGCCAAGATCGCACCACTGCACTCCAGCCTGGGCGAGAGAGTTAGACTCCACCTCAAAACAAAAAGACAGAGAGAAAGAAGATGAGGGAGGGGGTGTGGCAGGAGTTTCCTTGAGGAGACCAGCACCATTAGTTTGTTCTCACATTGCTATAAAGAAATAACTAAGACTGGATAATTTATAAAGAAAAAAGACTCCATCTCAAAGAAAAAAAAAATGAGAAAAACCCCAAAGCTTCAGGAGACCCAGGGTATGAAACCACAGATCCACTGGGCAAGGAAGATGATGCCTCAGTATCCCAATTCTTCAGATGTTCTTCTTCTTCTTCTTCTTCTTCCTTTCTTCTTTTTTTTTTTTTTTTTTTTTTTGTTTGAGACGTAGTCTTGCTCTGTCGCCCAGGCTGGAGTGCAGTGGCATGATCTCAGCTCACTGCAACCTCCACCTCCGGGATTCAAGCGAATCTCCTGCCTCAGCCTCCCGAGTACCTGGGATTACAGGCGTGCACCACCATGGCCAGCTAATTTTTGTATTTTTAGTAGAGACGGGGTTTCACCATGTTGGCCAGGATGGTCTCAATCTCCTGACTGATCTGCCTGCCTCGGCCTCCAAAAGTACTGGGATTACAGGCGTGAGACCTGCACCCAGCCCAGACCTTCTTCTTATCAGTCACCAACTGAGCTTTCCCTGGGACCACTTCAAAAATCAGCTGTTCATGAGCCCCGGTGCCAAATGCCCGGCTTCTAAGAGATACATGAAAACCCTGATTCCTCTTTTCATGGGGAAGACGTCTCTGTCCACCCAGTGGACAGCACAAACAGCTCCTAGCACCAGAATGGCAGCGCAAGGGTAAGAGCGTGCCCAGTGGGGAGGCGGGAATGTATATACGTGCTTCCAGACAGGATGTACAAGACAAAGAATTTGAATGACTTTTTGAAACAGTCATACGGTCGCCTGTGCCAAGCCAATTCCCACTCAGGAGACAGCACTTACTCAGTGTGCTGGAACAAGCATCCCCCTGTGTGAGGAAGTGACTGCTGCCAGCAAGGGCAGCTCACTTGGCAGAGAGGAGAGGCTGGAATGAAGACTAAAGGCATTTTCAGGGTGTGGGCTCCCATCAGTGACTTCTAGAGAGGAACCCTGAACCCAGTCTGGGGTCTGGAGTGGGGGCCAAAGGGACAGAGGGGAGGCAAGAAGGGGCTCCCTGGGAGACTTGATAGATGACAGAGAACCACAGACACAGAAAAGGCAAAGCCCTGAAGCCACCATTTGAAAATCAAGGTTAGGGAGACCCAACGCAGGAGAGGATTTGGTAAAGGTCACCCAGGACAGGAGGCAGGCAGGGCTCCCTGATCAGAGCTCTCTACACCTGCATTTCTCTTTGTCCTGGTCACCAGGAGAGAGAAAAAGAGGGCCTCTGCCTGACTCAAATGAAAGATGTCTCCGTGGGTAAGGATTTAATTTTCCCCTGATGACCTAAGGAGAAAAATTCTCACTTGCATCCTCATAAATCTATCCTTCTCTTTGCATTCACCTTTGCATCTATCTACATATCTATCCAGCCACCCACATCCACCCATCCATCTATCCACTCATCCACCCATCCATGAACCTGTTTACTCATGCATCCATCCATCCAATCATCTACTTATCTACCTATCCATCTATCCATCCATCCATCCACCCATCCACCCATCTACTCATCCACCTTACCATCCATCCAACCATCCATCCATCCATCCATCCATCTATCCACCCACTCATTCATCTACTCATCCACCATACCACTCACCCATCCCTCCAATGATACATCCCCCATTCATTGACACATGTATTCAGTGATCCATCAGTCCCTCTATCCATCCACCCATCTATCTATCTATCCACCTTTCCACCTACACATCCACCCAAACACCTGTCCATCCATGTATGTGTCTATTCATCCATCAAACACTTATCCATCTCTCCATCCATCCACCTGTCTACCCATCCACTCAGCCATTCACTCATCCATCCATCCATCCATCCATCCATCCATCCATCCATCCAAATATCCATCCAAACACCCATCCATCCCTCCATTTTACCCACCAATTCACCATCCATTCATGCATCTATCCATTCGTCCACCTTTCCATCCATTTATCTATCCATCTATTCACCCATCCCTCCCTCCTTCTCACTTTCCCTCAGGTCCTGCATATGGACACCTAGACATGTCTAGACATCCATGTAGCCATGAGCCCACCTGTAACATCACTCATGCACAGCCTTGCCTGCTGTTTTGTAGCCAGATGATCACGACTATGGGTGGCAGAATATCAACAGCAGGGTGGGAAACCTGGGGCCACTGGAATTGGGCACATCTGTGAAAATGTCCCTGGATCTTTCCTTTGTGTCTCATTTCTTAGAGGACTCAGGGATTATAGCACTTGTGTTATTTATCAAGTTTCTCTACTGCTGGCCTCTGCTCAAGGGAGTTAGAAGAAACGGCAGGAGTGAGTCTCTGGAAAGCCCTTAACTCAGAGCCCCACACAGATGAAGATGCTGGTCTTGAGACCTCAAATAATAATTATTATGTGAAAATAGATCAAAGCAATATCTCTGACCTGCAAAATATTGAGAGGGGAAAATCACGTATTACATTTTCTAAAGATACAAACACTATTTTCCATTAGGCAAAACAGTCTAGAAAGCAAGGCGAAGTCTGAAGTCGACTTGAAAGAGCCAGATAAGTTGTAAGATTTATTTGCCTAAACCAGGGCCCCGGAAAACCTTGTTTATCTGTTTACACTGCTCCCCGCTATACCGGACTAGAATAATTCCCATGTACTACTTGCTGGGGGTCCAGGAAGGGAAACTGAAACTGATTCACCCCTAGGATATCAGGGCCATAATCTAGTTACAAGCATAGACTTTGAGGACAAATGTCTTGATATTTGAATTTCACTTCTGCTGTTTATTAGCAGTGCATTAGCTGAACATGTCACCAATCTGATCTTCAAGTTTCTGACTTGTAGAATGACAGCGATCATTCTTACTATAAGGTTTGGTGCAGATTTTCTGAAAGTGCTTGCAAAGCACCTGCCATGTAGAGAGGGCTCCATCAAACAGTATGGATGTTGTTATAAATTTCATTCCTGCCCCTAAAGAGGGAATTCTTGACAAGACATCCCCAGCCCCTGACTTGTGGATTGAGCCTGCTGATGTTCAGTCAGTGGTGGGAAATGAGACCTGCTAATGGGACCCTGTACCGCACCACGGTGCTGAACTGTTGGGAAGATAAAGCAAGAAGTCAGATAAAGTCTGGTAAGCCAGGTGCCTCATCATGAAAAACATCTACAAGGAGCTCTCACATACCTGGAACTAAATTCTGAACCTATGCATGAGTTGAAAAGAAAAACAGGCTGGATGCGGTGGCTCACACCTGTAATCCCAGCACTTTGGGAGGCTGATGTGAGTGGATCACAAGGTCAGGAGTTCAAGACCAGCCTTGGCCAAGATGCTGAAACCCCATCTCTACTAAAAATACAAAAATTAGCTGGGCATGGTGGTGGGCACCTGTAATCCTAGCTACTCAGGAGGCTGAGGCAGGGAACTGCTTGAACCCGGGAGACGGAGGTTGCAGTGAGCCAAGATTGTGCCACTGCACTCCAGCCTGGGCGACAGAGTGAGAATCCATCTCAAAGCAAACAAACAAAAACATGCTAGTGGAGATAACTGCATGCTCCCTGCACCCATAAAAATAAGCTATACCAGCTCATGTTTGCCCATATTTGCGCAGAAACAACAGACCTTGTTGGATCATTTAAAATGTTGCTAAGATTTCTGCATGATTTCTTCAGCCATGTAGCATTTTTTTTTCTTGGTTAGCATGTTTTCATTGGTTTTCTTTTTTAGCATTTTGAATTTATCAGCCTACTGCCTTCCGACTTCCAAAGTTTCCAATGAGAAGTCTGATGATAATCTTCTTTAGGATCCCTGGGATGGGATCAGTCACTTCTGTCTTGTGGCTTTTACTGTGCTTCAGGGTGGACTTCTGACTTCATCCTACCTGAAGTTTGCTGCCTTTCTTGGATGTTTATTTCAAATAGTTGCACTGACAGGTCTAAGAATTTCCCCTGTACCGGTGAGTGAAATGGATGAGCATGCCCACGAGAGGTCTCAGATTTTCCAACCACCCATGTGTGGGTTGTGTTCAATTTCCTCCTCCTACAACCACTTTCCTTCTTAATGAAAATGCCTGGGTCACTTCACAATGTAATCACATGACCGAATCTGGTCACACATCCTATGCTTGGCACCTGTCACATCTACTTTGCCCCCAGCCTTTGGGGTCCCTACTCCTGAGGTCCTGAACATTCATAGAGAACAGATCTCATTAAGCACAGGAGAGGGGCAGAAAGAATTTGCAAGATTAAGTGGGCCAAGTCTTGTAACACCAGTTGTAGGTAGAAGCAATAGCAGGCTCCAAAGATATCCATGTCCTGATTCCCAGAACCTGTGCAAGGGAAATGAAGGTTGCAGATGGAATGAAAGTTGCTGATCAGCTGAGCTTGAGATGAGAAGACATTACTGGATTACCCAGGTAGGACCAATGTTATCACATGGGTCTTTATCATGGAAAGAGGGAAGCAAGAGGGTCAGAGTTAGAGAGAGATTGGAAGATGCTACACTGCTGGCTTTGAAGATGGAGGGAGCAGCTACATAATAAGGCGTGTAGGCAGCCTCTAGAAGCTGGAAATGTCAAGCAAACCGTTTCTCTCCTAGAGCCTCCAGAAGGAAGCCAGCCCTGCTGACACCTTGATGGGAGCCCCAGGAAACTAATTTCAGACTTCTTACCTCCAGAACTGTAAGCAAAGAAATGTGCATTGTTTTAAGCTGCAAAGTCTGTGATGCTTTGTCCTAGAAGCAAGAGGAAACTGTTCTAACCTCCTTCGGCAGTTGAAGGAAATCAAGTCAACAGCAACTGAAGTCATTAGAGTGAGGTCTCAGATTCCCATGTGGGATTTTTTTCCTTGCTCTTGGTTTTGCTCAAGACCTAGGATCTGATTTTGGCTGGTGCAAAAGCCACCAAAGTTACTGAGATTTGGGGGAATGGGATTCAGGGCCGAGTGGGGACATAAGAAGCCCAGAGCAGAAGCTGAAGAGCCAACAGACGTCAATTTAAAACACAGCACATTCTTAGCATCGGGCGATGTGTCTGCAACTAACTGATCGGATGGTGTGTGTTTTCTGTGTCTTTTTCAATATGTTAAAGGCAAAATCACAATAGTGAGTAAGGGTGACCGCACAGCAAAACTGTTCTTCTAGACTCATCTTGCACCATAGTGGCAGCTGAAGGAATTGTGCACCACGATGCACCCCTGTGGTCAGGAAAGGCTTCTAGGATGCCTGGGAGCTGAACGAGGTGGTAAATGATGGTGTTGGAGCTGGAGAGAAGTACAGGGTAGGCATTCCAGGTGACAGGAAGGAAATAAGGAAGCCAAGCAGTGTAGTGGTGAGAAGAAGCACAGGTTCACCCATGTGTGTGGACCGCTGCTTCTTCATACCCAGGAACCCAGCCAGTCCTGGAGATGCACAGATGAGCAAACCATGGCCAGACACTCACTCCCATGTTGCTTAGCGTCTAACGAGGAAAGCGGATATTTAAACAAAATTGCCCACAGGATATAAAAGTAGTGCCGTGGTCAGAGCCGCAGTAAGGAGGTGAGGCTTCTAGATGCTTATAACATGGTCAGCTTGGGTCAGGCAGGGACACAGATATATGAACTTTTTTATTTTTTTTTAAATTTTTTTGAGACAGAGTCTCGCTCTGTCGCCTAGGCTGGAGTGCAGTGGCGCAATCTCCATTCACTGCAACCTCCGCCTCCCAGGTTCAAGTGATTCTCCTGCCTCAGCCTCCTGAGTAGCTGGGACCACAGGCACATGCCACCACATTCAGCTATTTTTTTTGTATTTTTAGTAGAGATGGGGTTTCACCGTGCTAGCCAGGATGGTCTCAATCTCCTGACCCCGTGATCCGCCCGCCTCGGCCTCGCAAAGTGCTGGGATTACAGGAGTGAGCCACTGCACCCGGCCACAGATGTGAACTTTTAAGGGCAAGTGACCATGGAGCTAACAGTGGAGCTGACAATTGAAGTATGAAGACAGCACAAGGTAGAGGCAGAAAGTTTTGTGTAGCAAGTGTGGTACGTGCAAAGGGCCTGTGGTCGATGGAACCGAGGATCCTGTGGGGCTCAGTGAGGAGGGAAAGAGGAGCTCAGGTATGGCGTGCCATGGAGGGGAACACAGTGAGGCCACAGTCAGTCCTCAACCTTGAAAATGGCCCTTTGACTGTCCTCAGGGTCTAGCCTTGCTTGCCATGTTCATTGGGTCTAGCACCCTCTGCTTGCTCCCAGACAGCTTTCTCCTGCCTCCCAGCTCTGCATCTCTCAGATCCTGGCTCTGATCCCACGCTGCTGTTGCTTCCACTCATGTACCCATTGCTAACGGCATCATTTCTTGGAGTAATTCATTGCAAAGTTCATTTCCCACGATAAACGCAGTCTGTGCTCATTACAGTCAACAGGGTGGCCCAAAAGAGTTCAGTTAAGGGAAAAAAAAATCAAATTTTCCCTTGAAAAGAAGCCAGTGATATGGCTTGGGTCCATCTTCCTGAGGTTTGAAAACTTCTCTGTTAGTGTTAGTTGCTTTTAGGCCTGGTCCTGCTGCATATACAATGTGTATCTTTCTCTCTCTCTTTTTTTTTTTTTTTTTCTTTTTTGAGATGGAGTCTCGCTCTGTCAGCCAGGCTGGAGTGCAGTGGCGTGATCTCGGCTCACTGCAACTTCCGCCTCCCAAGTTTAAGCGATTCTCGTGCCTCAGCCTCCCAAGTAGCTGGGATTACAGGTGTGTGCCACCACGCCCAGCTAGTTGTTGTTTTAAGACTGAGTCTCACTCCAGCCCGGGCTGGAGTGCAGTGGTGTGATCTTGGCTCACTGTAACCTCCACCTTCTGGGTTCAAGCAATTCTCCTGTCTCAGCTTCCCGAGTAACTGGGATTACAGGCACCCGCCACCACACCCGGCTAATTTTTGTATTTTTGGTAGAGACGGGGTTTCACTATGTTGGCCAGGCTGGTCTCGAACTCCTGACCTCAGATGATCCACCCACCTCGGCCTCCCAAAGTGCTGGGATTACAGGCAGGAGCCACTGTGCCCGGCCTATCTTTCTCTTTATATGTAGACGGTGCCCTCTCCTGGTGGGAGGCTCTCAGTGCCTGGCTCCAAATCCATGACCCTAGAGGTGGAGGGGTCCCCAGCTGCCCCACTTACTTCTCCCAAGCTGGTGCCCTTGGGAATCACCAACTTCTTGTGACCACCTGTTCTAGCTACTTGGTTCACTTTGACCCAGCCCCTCAGGGGTGACACCCTCCCTCATCAGGCTCCCAGATCCCATCAGGTGTTCAAACCCTATGTGGCAGGTACAATCCTGGTCCCCAGAGATGCCCACATCCTAATTCTTAGAACTTGTGAACTTTTAGGACAAAGAGGAATTTGCAGATAGGATTCAGGTAAGGTTCTTAAGATGGGGACATTTTTTGAATGATCTATGGAATCACAGTGGGGTCCCAGGGCTTTTATAAGGAGAGGAAGGGAGATATTTAACCGCAGAAAAAAGGGATGTGAGGATGGAAGCAGAGGTCGGAGTCATGTGCTTTGAAGATGGGGTAACGGCTAATGAGCCAAGGATGGCAGGTGGCTTGTAAAAACTAGAAAAAGTAAGAAATGAATTCTCTCCTAGAGATTCTGGAGAGACTGCAAGCCTCCCAACACCTTGATTTTAAAATAGTGAAATCCATTTCAGACTCCTGACCTACAGAAATGTAAGAAAATAAACATGTGTTGTTTTCAGTGTTGGCAGCTGACAAGTAATGAACACACTTCCTCAATTCATCCTTCTTCCTCCGCCCACTCAGGAATAAAGCTCCCTCTCTTCAAAATGGCATTTGTCTGCAGTATATGAGGAGTGTGAATACAGGTGTCATGATGTATATTTTTGTGTTTTTCTTGTTGTTTTTTTAGAGATGGGGTCTCACTATGTTGCCCAGGCTGGACTTGAATTCCTGGTCTCAAGCAATCCTCCTGCATTAACCTCCCAAAGTGCTAGGATTACAGGGATGAGCAACTGTGCTCAACCCGTATCTTTTTTGTTTTGTTTTTTTGTTTTTGAGACAGAGTCTCATTCTATCGCCCAGGCTGGAGTGCAATGGCACGACCTCAGCTCACTGCAACCTATGCCTCCTGGTTCAAGCAATTTTCCTGCTTCAGCCTCCCAAGTAGCTAGGATTACAGGTGCCCACCAGCCTGCCCAGCCAATTTTTGTATTTTTAGTAGAGACGGAGTTTCACCATGTTGCCCAGGCTGATCTCAAACTCCTGGTCTCAGGTGATCCTCCTCTCTCAGCCTCTTGAGTAACTGGGGTTGCTGACATAAGCCACTGCACCTGGCCTTTGAATCCTTTCAAGAATTAAGTCAATGGTCTGTTTCCTCAATTCTACTCACTTATTTCCCCACAGCCCTTCTCCTCCTCTTTCCCTTTTTCCACTTCCCACATGCTTCATGCCTCACACACCCTTCCTATGAGTCTCAGCATCCATGCATCCTTGCACCAAAGCGTGAGAGACACGGGGTCAGTCTTGGATGGAGAAGGAGCTCCCTTCTACACTTTCCTGAGCTCCTGGAGCTGATGTTACCGGTGCCCCATCCTCCCTTTGAATCATCTTCGCCTTCTGCCATCCCTCCCATGAAGGTCGGCCCCACCTCAAGCTATCCCCTCATATCCCTGACCTTTGCTACCATTTCTGTGCCCCCCTCCAGCCCTGTGCTCACTGCTTCTCATGCTCTATACCTGCAGTCTTTGACCGCTGCCCTTGAATTGCTGGGTTTGCTCTTTCCTGTGATCCGAAAAAGCTGAAGCACAGGGGTTTTCCTTCCTCCTCTTTGCTGTGGCGTGAACCCCCACTCCCTTGCCACGCAGGCCTGGAGGGTCTGCCCAAGTAAACCACTAGCATGATTGCATGCCAGAGTTGCATATTGTTGTGAGTCATAAAAAGATATGTGCGGCAGGCACAGTGGCTCACGTCTGTAATCCCACCACTTTGCGAGGCTGAGGCGGGCGGATCACAAGGTCAGGAGTTCGAGACCAGCCTGAGCAACATGGCAAAACCCTGTCTCTGCTAAAAATACAAAAATTAGCCAGGTGTGGTGGTGGACGCCTGTAATCCCAACTACTCAGGAGGCTGAGGCAAGAGAATCGCTTGAACCCAGGAGGTGGAGGTTTCAGTGAGCTGAAATCGTGCCATTGCACTCCAGCCTGGGTGACAGAGTGAGAGTCTGTCTCAAAAAAAGAAAAAAAAGATGTGCATGTCCTCACCCTCAAAATGTAGAAACAGGATCTTATTTAGAAATAGGTTCCTTGCAGACATACTTAAGTGAAGGATCTTGAGATGAGATCATCCCAGATTTAGGGTGGGCCCTAAATCCAATTACTAGTGTCCTTACAAGGAGATAGAGATTTGGAGACACAGAGGAGGCGGCCACGTGGAGATGGAGGCAGGGATTGGAGTGATGTGGCCACAAGCCCAGGAACACCTGGAACCCCCAGGAGCTGGGAGAGGCAGGAAGGATCCTCCCCTAGAGCCTCCAGGGTAGCGCAGCCCTGCTCACGCCTAGATCTCAGACTTCTGGTCTTTGGAACGGTGACAACGTCAATTTTCTTTGTCTGAAGTCACCCAGTGAGTGGTGACTAGCTGTGGTAACGTGATCAATTTCTCACTTCAGAAGGCATCAGAGTGACCCCGTCTGGGTCAAGGTATCCTGAGGTCTGTGTGGCATTTCTTCTAATCATACCGGTGAATGACCAGTGTCTGAAAAGCTTCCCCAGTGTGCCCTCCCTAAGATGACAATTTCTTCCCTTGCAAAATTCTCCAGAGCATCTCTTTAGTGTGGTATCCATTGTGGCATCTCCTCTTTCCAGAATTAAGATGTTTGAGCCCAAAAATGTGATCATTACTATTAGTTGTTTTTTTTTGTTGTTTGTTTTTCTGAAACAGTCTCACTCTGTTGCCATGCTGGAGTACAGCGGCGCGAGCTCGGTTCACTGCAACCTCCACCTCCTAGGTTCAAGCGCTTCTTCTGCTTCAACCTCCTGAGTAGCTGGGACTACAGGCGCCCGCCACCACACTCGGCTAATTTTTTCTATTTTTTTTTAGTAGAGACGGGATTTTGCCATGTTGGCCAGGATGGTCTCAATCTCCTGACCCCGTGATCCACCTGCCTTGGCCTCCCAAAGTGCTAGGATTACAGGCGTGAGCTACTGCACCCGGCCAGCGTTAGGCGTTTTTAATAAATAAAATTGGAGAAGCATCATTTTAGCTACAGGATACTAAGAAAAACTTCATTCTTGAGCTGAAGAAAAAAAAAAAAATACCTGGCTGGGCATGGTGGCTCAGGCCTGTAATCCCAGCACTTTTGGAGGCTGAGGCAGGCGGATCACCTGAGGTCAGTGGTTCAAGACCAGCCTGGCCGACACGGTGAAGCCCCGTCTCTACAAAAATATAATTAGTCAGGCATGATGGCAGGTGCCTGTAATCTCAGCTATTCAGGAGGCTGAGGCAGGAGAATCACTTGAACCCGGGAGGCAGAGGTTACAGTGAGCCGAGATCGTGCCACTGCACTCCAGTCTGAGGGACAGAGCGAGTCTCTATCTCAAAAACAAAACAAAACAAAACTCTTGACACTAGAACAATTGTGTTGTCAAGTAAATTAGAGGATGCTGGGACAGTGACATTCTTTCCCTCTCTCCTGGACCCTGGCAGTAAAGCACTAGAGGGGTTCACATGCACCTGAATCATGGGAAAGGTGACCCAGGGGCCGCTTTTTCACCCAAGGACATTTCCAGCCTCACAATGGCACTGTGGTTAGAACTTCATCAACAAGAGACACGCGTAACACCAAGGAATGTGGCACAATTCAGCAGTCCCGAATACAGCGGCATGAATGGTGCCTTCTAAGAGCATTCAGAGCAGCTAACGAGCAAGAGATGACGGCTGGCATTTCTCAATAAACAACTGCAGTACGTTACCCTTCGTCCATCAAGCAATATTTTTCAACATCTCCTGGTGAGAAACTTAGATAAGGCCTGATGAGAACACACATGGCAGCATAGAGTACATTCTTCCATTTGCTTCTTCTAGGCAGGGATGTTTTTCCTCTTGGAACGGACCCCAGAGTTCTAGCAGAGGCCTTGTTAAGTGGGATGGAGAATTGTTGAGAAACACTGATGACCAAGGTATGCATTTTCACATTTATATTTGTTCTCTCCGGAGCTACCAGACACCCAGTGCAACAAAACCAACCCAATTCTATGGAAAGGAAGGGAAATGTATTAGCCACACGCCTGTGGGCTCCAGGAATCTTGGCTCCGTAGCTGCCTGAATTCCAAAGTAAGAGCTGCAGTTAGGACGGGCACGGTGGCTCACGCATGTAATCGCAGCACTTTGGGAGGCCGAGGGAGGCGGATCACCTGAGGTTGGGAGTTCGAGACCAGCCTGACCAACACGGAGAAACCCCATCTCTACTAAAAATATGAAATTAGCTGGGCATGGTGGTGCATGCCTGTAATCCCAGCTATTCAGGAGGCTGAAGTGGGAGAATCGCTTGAACCCAGGAGGCGGGGGTTGCGGTGAGCCGAGATCACACCATTGCACTCCAGCCTGGGTGACAAGAGCGAAACTCCATCTCAAAAAAAAAAAAAAAACAGAGTTGCAGTCACTCGAATCTTCTGTCCTTAGTTGGTTGCATGTTTCTCCAAGTTACGTGGTTCCGTAGATGTTGAGATGTTTGTGCATCCATGTCCCCTTCGACTTTGGTCCTTTGTTTCTGACAGGGGCTGTATGGTTGACTCCAATGACCAATCATCAAATTTCCATTATGCCAAAGTTGCGTGTGCACGTGTGTGTGTGTAACTCTATGTGAGTATGTACGTGTGTATGTGGGTATCTGTGTGCATGTGCATATCCCTGTGTATGTGTGTTTGTGTATATGTGTTTGTGTATGTGTGTAGGTGTAAGTATGCATGTATGTTTGGTATGTATGTACATGTGTATCTGTGTATGTATGTGTGTATGTATTTGTGTGCATGTGTGTATATCTCTGTATGTGTTTGTGTATGTGTGTGTATAGGTGTAAGTATGAATGTATGTTTGGTATGTATGAATATGCATATCTGTGTGTACGTGTGTATATCTGCAGGCTTGTGGATATGTGTGCATGCATGTGTTATGTGTGTATATGTGTATGCACATATCTGTGTATGTTTGTATGTATACCTGTGCATGTATGTTATGTATGTGTATATCTGTATGGTTTCTGTGCATAGGTATATGTGTCTATGTGTGTGTGTCCGCATACATGTGAATGTGTGTCTGTGTATGTGTCTATATTTGTGCATGTATGTGTTTATCTGTGTATACATGTGCATGTATGTATCTGTACGGATGTAACTGTGTATATGCACGTGTATGTGTGGTATATGTGAATGTGATTGTGTATACACAAGGCTTTAAAACTTAGTGCAATAGAACCTTTGTGAAGAACCATGGGGAAACAATTGTGCTTCCTATTGGTACCAGAGAGAAAGAGGAAGAACATTTTATAAAACTCTCTTTTGTTAGTTTTCATCGTATAATGGTAGGAAGAAATATGGCATGAAGGACAGTTTTGTACATGCTGCAGTAATTTCTACCCACCCAGGAGAAACCTGGGACCACATAAATCTCAAAGATAACCAAGGAAATATCTGACTCATATTTTAGACACTGACCAAAGAAGAAAACCTTAACAATTTTATAAGCTCTTCAATGCATCTCTAGTGTATATTAATGGTTTTTATGCTTATATGCCTGATAACAAAAACTATCGTAAGAGACTGCAAAAATCTCACCCTTGCAAAGAAAAATACTTCCACGAGGACATCTGCCCAAAAACTGGCTGTCCAAACTCAGACTGGTGTCACCATGTTATTGATCTTTTTAGCCAAGGATAATCATTTGAAAAGAATTATGGAATCCTCTTCATTATTTCCTTTAAAATCCTTTTTTCCCCTTTACCTCCCTGAATATGAACACAGTTTAATATGGCACATCTATTCTCAGCGCACTACTATACTCCCAAATAAACATCTTTTCTATTACAGAGTGTATTAGTCAGTCCTTACGCTGCTATAAAGAAATACCTGAGACAGGGTAATTTTATAAAGAAAAAGAGGTTTAAATTGGCTCACGGTTCCACAGGCAGTACAGGAAGCACGGCTGGGGAGGCCTCAGGAAATTTACAATCATGGCGGAAGGCAGAGGGGAAACAGGCACATCTTACATGGCCACAGCAGGAGCAGGACGGGGTGGGGAAGTTGTTGCACCCTTTAAACAACCAGATTGGATGATAACTCACTTCCGCCACAACAGCACCATGGGGGACAGTGGTAAACCATTCAATGGAAACCACCCGCATAATGCAGTCACCTCCCACCAGGCGCCACCTCCAAACCGGGGATTCCAACTCAACCTAAGATGTGGTGGGGAACCAGATCCAAACCATCTCTTTGTTGACACCAATACTTAGGTTGACACCAATACTCTGTATCTGTTTCATCCAATTTTATTCTTTTTCATAAAAGCAATGCAGTAAAGATAAAACTAAATGTGGACCCTGGGAACAAGGAGTCCAGAGGTTGCCCAAAGAGTCGCAAAGTGCATCAGGAAACCTGAATGTGAAGATCGGTGACCGAGAGCCTGATGCCAGCCTCCTCTTGGGTCTTGACTGAAATCTTCCCAGGTTGCTATTGGATTTTGCATGTACGAGCCTCCATCAGAGGATAGACTTAGGCATATGGTTTGCCCAGTGAATTGAAGAATCTCCAGAGTTTATGAATTGAAGAGTGGGATGAATACAATACACAGAGCACCGAAGCAAACACATCAGAATCGAGGCAACTCCCCTGGGAGAAAAAATGGAAACCTTGAGCTGAATAGTTCAAAACAGGTTGTCACAAACTGGGCATCTTGGGGACCTTTTACCCCCAAGAACTGGAATCTGGAAAGATCTCTGCCTGTTTACCATGATTTATTTTTCCTGGGAGGTATAAATTCCCAGTGCCCTCCCCTCTATCGTACTGTGGAGGGTATTAGCTCAGTTTTTCAATGTTTAAACAGGTAGCACCAAAAAGCGTCTTCTCAATGCTTCCCACGCTATTCCACGTGGACGTTTGGCTTACAGTTTACTTGCATTTTACCCACTTTTTATCTGTCATCTAATATGTCAATCAATTGCCTATTAATCATCTCTCTCTCAAAATATCTTCTATCATTCATATATCTATATACCCATTTCTATCATTGATCTATCTCTGTGTATATTTATCTATCCATGTCTTCATCTATCTACCCACCTACCCTGTCTATGTACCTATGTATGTATTGGCTCTATCTATATCATGTATCTAGCCATTTATTCATTTATCCACCCATCCTGTATATATATCCATATATCTATCAGGTCTAATCTATGTATCTATATATCTATCTAATCTCTATCATCTATCAATCAATCATGTATCTAGCCATTTATTCATTTACCTACCAATCAATCAATCATGTATCTAGCCATTTATTCATTTATCTACCAATCCATCAATCCATCAATCATCAATCCATCAATCAAGCCATTTATTCATTTATCTATCCACCCACCCTGTATATATCAGGTCTAATCTATGTATCTATCTATCTATGTAATATCTATCTATCTATTTATTCATTTATCTATCCACCCACCCTGTATATATCAGGTCTAAGATATGTATCTATGTATCTGTGTAATATCTATCTATCAATCATCTATCATGAATCTATCTATCTGTATCAATGTATTTGTCTGTCTGTCTACCTATCTTTATTAACTTATTGACCACAAGTAACTTGAACAAGATAAATTCACAAATTTTCTGGGAGAAAATTTCAAGTTGATTCCAGCAGGTAGCAAACATAAAAGCTGTCTTACACCAGGAAACAGGGTTAAAGACCCAAAGGAGGAAGAACTTTTTCATCCTTTGATAAACGACCAACAAGTCTGATGGGGAAGCTGTAGCTGTACCTTCAAGTGCAAAGTGACTCAGAGAACAAGGTGCAGGTTAAAGAAGAAAACTCATAAGGTCAGAGGTGGGAGAACCAACAGAGCTCGCTTAGATGGAAACTTTTTTTTTTTTTTTTTTTTTGAGACGGAGTCTTGCTCTGTCGCCCAGGCTGGAGTGCAGTGGTGCAATCTCAGCTCACTGCAACCTCTGCCTCCAGGGTTCAAGTGATTTTCCTGCCTCAGCCTACAGAGTAGCTGGGATTACAGGTACCCGCCACCACGCCTGGCTAATTTTTGTATTTTTAGTACAGATGGGGTTTCTCCATGTTGGCCAGGCTGGTCTTGAACTCCTGACCTCAAGTGATTGACCTGCTTCAGCCTCCCAAAGTGCTGGGACTGCAGGCGTAAGCCACCGTGTCCAGCCAGATGGAAACTTTTTTTTTTTTTTTTGAGATGGAGTTTTGCTCTTGTGGCCCAGGCTGGAGTGCAATAGCACGATCTCGGCTCACCGCAACCTCCGCCTCCCAGGCTCAAGCAATTCTCCTGCCTCAGCCTCCAGAGTAGTTGGGATTACAGGCATGTGGCATCACGCCCGACTAATTTTGTATTTTTAGTAGAGATGGGGTTTCTCCATGTTAGTCAGGCTGGTCTCGAACTCCTGGCCTCAGGTGATCCACCCGCCTCGGCGCCCCAAAGTGCTGGGATTACAGGCATGAGCCACCACGACTGACCAAAACTTTTAAATCATTTAAACGAGCGCCCTGTCTGCAGCCCAATGTCCTCTGCACCTTTTCATCCTTGAAGGGTGACAGCCAAAATCCCACTCTAGGCTGACGGAATGAGGAAGCTCCATGAAATCTCTGTTTTCAAGCTGTCCCTGAGTGAAATGACCTATTTCCTTGCTTTCTTCACTGGTAGAGATGACTGGGCCAGCCAAAACCCTCCGATGCCCTCAAGCCAATGCTGAATATGAATTTTACCATTTAGTTAATATATTATTTTAGTCATTTAAAAATAAAATCCGGTCAATAGCCAGACATGCTAGCCAGAAGCAAGCTAAGGCAATGTGCCGTCTCTGTTCCGTGTGTCTTGAAAGTGTGCCTTTTTTGGATAATGAAAATCTCTACAATATTTTCTTGGGCTAATGAGAAGTGTTTATTTGTATTTTTAATATGAAAGAGAACATCTTTGCCTCTGGGAAATATTTATGAGGAACATAACTAAATGGAGACTAAGCTTTCCTTTTCATTTCCCTTCTGCGTCACAGATTCTTGTGTTTCTTCCAAGCACTAATGAAATATTTAAAGCTGTTGTCAATGCAGAAATGTTCCTCCCTAACATGTTTCAATGAGCTGGAAAAAAGCGGAGAATAATTTGCTATTGTCTACATATTCATAACATAAGGATGTCAGGAGGTATTAGAGTCACTTTCGATGTGTCTGACTCCACAGCATTGGTAATATTAGAACACTTTCAGCTTTCAAGGTGTAAATTTTTCATCTCCTCCTTTTCACTTCCTTCCATTGGTATCCAGGCCCCTTGGAGAGGTGGCTGCAGGTCACGTTTTTATATTATTTGTTTTAATTGTATTTATATTTATTTATTTTTTTGAGACCGAGTCTTGCTCTGTCGCCCAGGCTGGAGTGCAATGGTGAGATCTCAGCTCACTGCAACCTCCGCCTCCCGGGTTCAAGTGATTCCCCTGCCTCAGCCTCCTGAGTAGCTGGGACTATAGGTGTGTGCCACCATGCCTGGCTAATTTTTGTTTGTTTGTTTGTTTTTGAGACGGAATCTCGTTCTGTCGCCCAGGCTGGAGTGCAGTGGAGCCATCTCAGCTCACTGCAACCTCTGGCTCCCAAGTTCGAGCAATTCTCCTGCCTTGGCCTCCTGAGTAGCTGGGATTACAGGCGCCCGCCACCACGCCCAGTTAATTTTTTGTATTTTTACTAGAGACGGGGTTTCACCATGTTGGCCAGGATGGTCTTGATCTCCTGACCTCAGGTGATCCACCTGCCTCAGTCTCCCAAAGTGCTGAGATTACAGACGTGAGCCACCACTCCCAGCTGGTCACATTTATTTTTTAGCCAGTTTCTGTGCACCAAATAAGGGACAGCCTTCTGGAAGCATTTTAAAAGGGAGGCAGTAAAAAGCTATATGAAGTTCATTCCAAGACATATCTCCCAGATTTCTCAAAGAACTAAAAAGAGAACTACCATTTAGTTCAGCAATCCCATTCCTGGATACATACATAATGGAAAATAAATTATCCTACCAAAAAGACTCCTGCACAAGCATGTTGATCACAGTACTATTCCCCATAGCAAAGACATGGAATCAACCTAAATGCCCATCAAGGGTGAACTGGATAAAGAAAATGTGGTCCATAGACGCTGTGGGATACTACACAGCCACAGAAAAGAACAAAACCACGTCCTTTACAGTAACGTGGATGGAGCTGGAGGTTCTTATTGTAATCAAACTAATCCAGAAACAGAAAACCAAATATTGCACATTCTCATTTATAAGTGGATCTACATATTGGGTACTCATGGACACAAAGAGAGGAACAGACACTGGGGGCTCCTAGAGGGTGGAGGGAGGGATAGGGTAAGAACTGAAGAACTACCTATTGGGTGCCATGCTCACTACCCGGGTGATGGGATCGGTCATACCCCAAACCTCAGCATCACACAGTCCACCCAGGTAACAAGCCTGCATATGTTCAACAAGTCAGCAAAATAAATCATGATGAAAATAATGAAATGTTCTTAGTTTTATTTCAACCACAAATTAGAAATCAGACATTTTTCAACTATCTGCCTTGGACCTGATTCTAGGGAAAATATCCTAGGTCTGTGTTTTATAAAGATATGTGTAAATATATGTGTGTGTGTATGTATATGTGAGTGTGTATATATATATATATTACATATATGTACATAATGTGGGTATGCTTGCATATGTATATATATATGCTTGTATATGTGTATATACCTATACATATGTCTGTACATATACATATGTATACCTATACATATGTCTGTACATATACATATGTATACCTATACATACCTATACATACATGTAGAGGTATACACACATATGTATGTATATATACATATACGAGCATACACACATAAATAATCAACAGTATCTTAGTCTTCACATTGAATTTATTGTTCTGCAAATAGAATAACTGTCGATATTTTAAAATAGGACATGCATTTGCTATTATATTTCATCCATATTTTTTTAACCCCTTCTGTGTTTCAGGCAGTGTCCTAGATAGATCTGGGGATTTTGGAGTTGAACAAAACACAGTTCCTTCTTGAAACTGACATTTAGAGACCCATATCTGAGAGATAAACAAATAAAGTCAAGCATTAATAAGGCTATGAATAAATACATCAAAATGCTGAGTAAGAAATATTTATTTAAGTATTACTCATCTACTTGACAGAGAAGAAGAAAGAACATGAAAACTTGAAAGCCAACCTATCTGGTCATCAGGGAAATGCAAATCAAAACCACAATGAGATAGCCCATCATACACACTAGGATGGCTCTAATGACAAATATGGACAGTGACAAGTGTTGGCTCAGATGTGCAGAAACTGGAGCACTCTTATATTGTTTGTGGGATGGTGCAATGGTGCGGTTGCTTTGAAAAGCAGCCTGGCGGATCCTTCAATGGTTAAACATAGAGTTATCATATGACCCAGCCATTCCCCTCCTGGGTATTTACCCAAAAAATTGAAGACAGTTACTCAGACAAGTATGTACATAGAAGTCTTAACCGTATGCTAAGTGCTAAGCATTATTCATGGTAGTTACACAGTGGAAATAACCCAATGCCCAACAACAAGTGTATGGATAAACAAAATGTGGTCTACCCATACAATGGAATGTCATTCTGCCATCAAAAGGAATGAAATTCTGATGCATGGTACAAAATCGATGGACCTCGAAAATATTATGCTGAGTGAAAGAAGCCAGGCACAAAACCACATGGGAGGCCGTTTGAAATGCCCCTGATAGGCAAATCCATGGGATAGGAAGTAGATTTCTGAGTGGCTGCATAGGGCTGGAGCAGATGGCAGGATGGGGGTGATGACCCAGGGAGTGTTGCAACTATCCTTATGAACCAGGAAGTGCTACAATTATCCAGATGAACCAGGAAGTGTGGCAATGTCCCTACGAACCAGGAAGTGCTACAATTATCCCTATGAACTAGACGGTTCCAAATGTCGTTATGAACCAGGAAATACTACAATTTTCCATATGAACCAAAAAGTGTTGCAGTGTCACTATGAACCAGGAAGTGTCACAATGTCCCTCAAACTAAGAAGTGCTACAATTATCCCTATGAACCAGGAAGTATTGCAATGTCCCTGCAAACCAGGAAGTGCTACAATTATCCATATGAACCAGGAAGTGTCACAATGTCCCTATGAACCAGGAAGTGCTACAATTATCTGTATGAACCTGGAAATGTTACAATGTCCCTATGAACCAGGAAGTGCTACAATTATCCGTATGAACCAGAAAGTGTTACAATGTCCCTGCAAATTAGGAAGTTCTACAATTATCGGAATGAAAGAGGAAGTGTTACAATGTCCCTGTGAACCAGGAAGTGCTATTATCCATATGAACCAGGAAGTGCTACAATTATCTGGATGAACCAGCAAGTGTGGCAATGTCCCTATGAACCAGGAAGTGCTATTATCCATATCAATCAGGAAGTGTGGCAATGTCACTATGAACCAGAAAGTGTCACAATTTCCCTATAAACCGGGAAGTGCTACAATAATCCAGATGAACCAGGAAGTGTCACAATGATCCTAAAAACTAAGAAGTGCTACAATTATCCATATGAACCTGGAAATGTTACAATGTCCCTATGAACCAGGAAGTGTTACAATGTCCCTATGAACCAGGAAGTGCTACAATTCTCCATATGAACCAGAAAGTGTTACAATGTCCCTGCAAACTAGGAAGTTCTACAATTATTTGAATGAACCAGGAAGTGTGTAATGTCCCTGTGAACCAGGAAGTGCTACAATTATCCATATGAACCAGAAAGTGTGGCAATATCCCTATGAACCAGGAAGTGCTACAATTATCTGGATGAACCAGGAAGTGTGGCAATGTCCCTATGAACCAGGAAGTGCTACTATTATCCACACGGACCGGGAAGTGTGGCAATGTCACTATGAACCAGAAAGTGTCAAAATTTCCCTATGAACCAGGAAGTGCTACAATTATCCATATGAACCAGAAAGTGTTACAATGTCCCTGCAAACTAGGAAGTTCTACAATTATCTGAATGAACCAGGAAGTGTTGTAATGTACCTGTGAACCAGGAAGTGCTACTATTATCCATATGAACCAGGAAGTGCTACAATTATCGATATGAACCAGAAAGCGTGGCAATATCCCTATGAACCAGGAAGTGCTACAATTATCTGGATGAACCAGGAAGTGTGGCAATGTCCCTATGAACCAGGAAGTGCTACTATTATCCACATGGACCGGGAAGTGTGGCAATGTCACTATGAACCAGAAAGTGTCACAATTTCCCTATGAACCAGGAAGTGCTACAATTCTCCACATGAACCAGAAAGTGTTACAATGTCCCTGCAAATTAGGAAGTTCTACAATTATCTGAATGAACCAGGAAGTGTTGTAATGTCCCTGTGAACCAGGAAGTGCTATTTTCCATATGAACCAGGAAGTGCTACAATTATCCATATGACCCAGAAAGTGTGGCAATATCCCTATGAACCAGGAAGTGCTACAATTATCTGGATGAACCAGGAAGTGTGGCAATGTCCCTATGAACCAGGAAGTGCTATTATCCACACGGACCAGGAAGTGTGGCAATGTCACTATGAACCAGAAAGTGTCACAATTTCCCTATGAACCAGGAAGTGCTACAATTATCCATATGAACCAGAAAGTGTTACAATGTCCCTGCAAACTAGGAAGTTCTACAATTATCTGAATGAACCAGGAAGTGTTGTAATGTACCTGTGAACCAGGAAGTGCTACTATTATCCTTATGAACCAGGAAGTGTGGCACTATCCCTATGAACCAGGAAGTGCTACAATTATCTGGATGAACCAGGAAGTGTGGCAATGTCCCTATGAACCAGGAAGTGCTACTATTATCCACATGGACCAGGAAGTGTGGCAATGTCACTATGAACCAGGAAGTGTGGCAATATCACTATGAACCAGAAAGTGTCACAATTTACCGATGAACCAGGAAGTGCTACAATTATCTGGATGAACCAGGAAGTGTGGCAATGTCCCTACGAACCAGGAAGTGCTATTATCCACACGGACCGGGAAGTGTGGCAATGTCACTATAAACCAGAAAGTGTCACAATTTCCCTATGAACCAGGAAGTGCTACAATTATCCATATGAACCAGAAAGTGTTACAATGTCCCTGCAAACTAGGAAGTTTTACAATTATCTGAATGAACCAGGAAGTGTTGTAATGTACCTGTGAACCAGGAAGTGCTACTATTATCCATATGAACCAGGAAGTGCTACAATTATCCATATGAACCAGAAAGTGTGGCAATATCCCTATGAACCAGGAAGTGCTACAATTATCTGGATGAACCAGGAAGTGTGGTAAGGTCCCTACGAACCAGGAAGTGCTACTATTATCCACATGGACCAGGAAGTGTGGCAATGTCACTATGAACCAGAAAGTGTCACAATTTCCCTATGAACCAGGAAGTGCTACAATTATCCAGATGAACCAGGAAGTGTGGCAATGTCCCTATGAACCAGGAAGTGCTACAATTATCCCTATGAACCAGACGGTTCCAAATGTCTTTATGAACCAGGAAGTTCTACAATTATCCATATGAACCAGAAAGTGTGGCAGTGTCACTATGAACCAGGAAGTGTCACAATGATCCTAAAAACTAAGAAGTGCTACAATTATCCATATGAACCAGGAAGTATTGCAATGTCCCTGCAAACCAGGAAGTGCTACAATTATCCGTATGAACCAGGAAGTGCTACAATTATCCGTATGTATGAACCCGGAAATGTTACTATGTCCCTATGAACCAGGAAGTGCTATTATCCATATGAACCAGAAAGTGTTACAATGTCCCTGCAAACCAGGAAGTTATACAATTATCAGAATGAACCAGGAAGTGTTGCAATGTCTCTGTGAAACAGGAAGTGTTGCAATGTCCATGTGAACCAGGAATTGCTACTATTATCTATATGAACCAGGAAGTACTAGAGTTATTCGTATGAACCAGAAAGTATTACAATGTCCCTATGAAACAGGAAGTGCTACAATTATCCCTATGAACCAGGAAGTGTTGCAATGTCCCTGGGAATCAGGAAGTGCTAACAATTATGTGTATGAACCAAAAAGCGTTGCAATGTCCCTGTGAACCAGGAAATGCTACAATTACCCATAAGAACCAGGAAGTGTCACAATGTCCCTGTGAACCAGGAAGTGCTACTATTATCCATTTGAACCAGGAAATGTAACAATGTGAGCCAGAAAGTTTTACAATGTCCCTATGAATCAGAAAGCATTACAATCTCCAGATAAACCAGGAAGTGTTATAATGTCCCTCTAAACTAGAAAGTGCTGCAACCTTCCAATGACCCAGGAAGTTCATTTATCATGTCTAGGAAGCAGGAAGTGCTACAACCTCCCCAGTGACCCAGGAAGTTCTCTTACCATCCCCAGGAAACAGGAAGTGCTACAAACTTCGCTAGTGACCCAGGAAGTTTATTTAACATCTCCAGGAAGTTCATTGACCATCTCTAGGAAGCAGGAAGTGCTACAACCTCCCCAGTGACCCAGGATGTTCACTGACCATCTCTAGGAAAGCAGGAAGTGCTACAACCTCCTCAGTGACCCAGGACGTTTATTTACCATCTCCAGGAAGCAGGAAGTACTACAACCTTCCCAGTGACTCAGGAAGTTCATTGACCATCTCTGGGCAGCAGGAAGTGCTACAACCTCCCATGTGACACAGAAAGTTTATTTACCATCTCCAGGAAGCAGGAAGTGCTACAACTTTCCCAGTGACCCAGGGAGTTCATTTACCATGTCTAGAAAGCAGGAAGTGCTACAACCTTCCAGTTGATGGGGTACAGGACACCCCACCCTGAATAAGAATGTAGATCATTACGTGACACTCTGAAATATGCCACCTTGGCATACTGATTGCCTTGAGCAGAAATAAATCAAGAACCAGCCAAAGCACAACCCACGGTCTCTTGACTTCATCACAGTGCTCTTGTCTGACATTTCTTATTGACTTTAAAAATGTCCTGTCTGTGACATTTCTTAGGTCCAACAGGAAACCCCAAGCCAGGTAGCGGGAGCCAGGCCAGCCCCTGGATGTCAGCGGCTGCCTGCTTCTCTCACCATGCACTGAATCTTGCAAATTTGCTGTGACCTCACGTACAGGGGGGAAAAGCTGTTTTTTCCTTTGACATGCACACCCCTCTCCCCTCTCATCCTTCACTTCTGACACTGAATGTGTAGGAACAACTGCTTTTTTCTATACATACACTCAAAATATCTGTGACCAGAAGTCACAGAGATTCTGGGACTCTGTGCTGATAATCATTTTTTCCAGCCCTCTCATCCATGTGACCCAGGGCCCAGGTAGCCAGGAAAACCAGCAATTACTCAGCAGTAAACGACCACTCATTCAATCCTTGTTGTCATGTATTGGGTCCAGGTTACTGGGTCCTCACAGGCTAGATCCACCCTCCAACAGCTGCATCTAAGCTATCCAATGGGCTGGTGCATCTTCCAGGGAAAGATCATTTGGGGCTTTAGGAGAATTTGAAGGGCTGGGGGCAGCCATGGCAACCTGGGTGCCAAAGTCTTTCAATGACTTTTTTTTTCAATGGTCCTCTCCACTTTTATTTCTGTCTCTTTCCACATGTGAACAACTCCTTCATCCTCTGATGCAGGCCTCTCTAAGGAACCTGTGATTCCACTGTAATTACACAGCTCATCCTAAATAATCGTCCCATGTCAAGATCCTTAATGTAATCCCATTTGCAAAGTCCCATGTGTTGCATAAGGTCACACATTTACATGATCAAGGGGTTAGGATGTGGGCATCTCTGGGGACCAGTATTTCACCTATCACATGGGGTTTCAACACCTGATGGGATCTGGGAGCCTGATGAGGGAGGGTATCACCCCTGAAGAGCTGGGTCAAAGTGAACCAAGTAGCTAGAACAGGTGGGCACAGGAAGTTGGGGATTCCCAAGGGCACCACTTTGGCAGAAGTTAAGTGGGACCGTTGGGACCCCTCTACCTCTTGGGTCATGGATTTGTAGACAGACACTGAGAGCCTCCCACCAGAAGAGGGCACTGTCTGCATATAAAGAGAAAGATACACCTTGCTAATGCAGCAAGAAGAGGCCTAAAAGCAACTAACACTAACGGAGAGGCTTTCAAACCTCAGGGAGGTGGACCCAAATGGTATCACTGGTTTCTTTTGAGGGAAAGTTTGATTTTTTTTTTTCTCTTTAACTGCACTCTTTTGGGTCTCCCAGTTGATTGTTATTAGTACAGACTGCTTTTCAAATGGGAAATTAACTTTGCACTTAGCTGCCGAAGGGAATGATGACATTAGCAATGGGTACATGAGTGTAAGCAACAGCAGCGTGGGATCAGAGCCAGGATCTGAGACGCAGAGCTGGGAGGCAGGAGACAGCTCTCTGGGAGCAAGCAGAGGGGAGCAGGGGTAATAAGCACTGAAAACAAGGATGGCCCCTAGGGACACTCGAAGGGACATTTTCAAGACTGGGCACTGACTGTAGCCTCACTCTGTTCCCCTCCATCCCATGCCATGCCTGACTTCCTCTTTTCCCCCTCACTGAGCCCCACAGGCACCCTCAGTTCCACTGACCACAGGCCCTTTGCACATGCCACACTTGCTACACAAAACACCCTTTGACCCACTCCTTGGGATATAAGTCATCCTCATTCCTCAGCTGTTAGCTCAACTGTCATGTCCCCCCAGGGGTCCACATGTGTGCCCCTGCCTGAGCCCCAGGCAACTAATATGGAAGCATCTAGAAGCCTCAAACCTTCATCACTGCTCTTCCTACAGCACTCCAAAAACACAAACAAACTATAAGCAATTCGGCAACAGAGGAGACTTTAAAGAGTTACTCACTGTTTCGTTCACCATGAAGAAACATCTGTGAAATCAAAGTCATCCCCTAAAGAAGGGAAACAGGCTGTTAACACCAAAGTTCTGAGAGAAATGAGGAAGAAATGACCTGGAAGCAGATGGAGAAAACACCACAGGCCTAAGTTCTTAAGTGTTTTCTAAGTATCACTGTGACCAGGACCTCATAAGAAAAAGTGAATTCCTGATCATTTTCACATCACTCTTCTCTCAGACACAAAGAGTAAAAGATGAGAGCAAGAGTCAGGGGTGGAAAGAGAGGGAGAGAGAGAGAGAGAAACAAAGTAATTTATAAATGAACTGTGCTGGCTGGACGAAGTTGGAACTCTAACTCTGCCAACACAGGATTCCCTCCTGTTGATTTCCCATCCCATCACCATCTCCCTTCAGGTAACCAACACCTTCCGCCACGGAGGCCCTAAGAGGTGGGGACACATGACTATGATCAGATTTGGGCTAGAGGGTGTCTAAAAGGTGGCTCTATCAACCCAGACGTACTGGACAAACTGACGTGAAAATTCACCGTGGTTTCAGAGGTTGCCTTCTAGTTTTAAGCTTTTCAAATCCTGACTAAGGCTGGAGAAATTTTTACACTGAAAGGGGATAATAAGGAGGCTTAAATAAAAGAAACATGAGGGGCTACATCAAATCCGACATTTTTCCAAAACCATGTAAGAATATACTTACATGGTTTCAATGAGTAATCAATAACTTACGTGGTTTTAATGAGTAATCAATAAAAACCAGATGATTATCCAAATATATATATATAAAGAAATAAGAAACCTCATGGTATGAAAACCAATAATATTATATATTTGGGGAAAAATGTATACCAGAATAGAATGACCCTTCCTGAAATGACTACATTTTTTAAAAAGGCAATTTATTTTATTTAAAGGTGAGTATCTTTGGGTTTTTGCTTTAAAGTCAGGAATTTAAAATATCTGCTCTCTTCACTCATATTTAAACCTGTCCTGGGTTTACTATCAAAGGTAATACAACAAAAATACAAATAAAATGTAAAGAGAACATATAAAGATAGAAAATTGAAAAATATTTAAAAATCATGTGCAAATAATATGATTGTCTTCTTAGAAAGATAAGAAATGAGAAAAAATAGAAATTTAATAAGGGATCATAGTTCAGGATATAGTAAGGAAAAATATATTAAATCCTTTCTATGTAACAAAAATAAACAGAAAGATAGTGGGCATAAAAATATATCCAGAAAAATGAAAAAAAAGAAAAAACTAGAAATGCATTAAAAGAAATCATCAGGGAAAGAGGTACATCGAATATCAAGAAAAATCTCAATTTTGCAGGCATGTTGGTTCTGAAGTTCAAAGGAAAAAACGTCAGCTGGGCACGGTGGCTCACGCCTGTAATCCCAGCACTTTGAGAGGCTGAGGCAGGTAGATTATGAGGTCAGGAGTTCGAGACCAGCCTGGCCAATATGGTGAAATCCTGTGTCTACTAAAAACACAAAAATTAGCTGGGCGTGGTGGTGGGTGCCTGTAGTCCCAGCTGCTGGGGAGGCTGAGGCAGGAGAATCGCTTGAACCTGGGAGGGAGAGGTTGCAGTGAGTGGAGATCGTGCCACTGCACTCCAGCCTGGGCGACAGAGCAAGACTCTCTCAAAAAAAAAAAAAAAAGTCACCAAAATCAGAAAGCTCCGACAAATATAAGACACCATGAATAAAAATTTGAAGACTTGCCTGTCAAAAAATACTGTTAAACTATTCAATGGCAAAAATAAGATGAAAAAGCATTTTCATAGTAAATGGTTGGCAATATTTAATGTCTATAAAAAAATGAGGAACGTTTATAAAACAATACAGACATATCGGAAGATAAGAATAAAGGCAAAGTAATCAATACATATAGAAGAAGTAGGCTGGGCGCAGTGGCTCATGCCTGTAATCCTAGCACTTTGGGAGGCCGAGGCGGGTGGACTGCCTGAGCTCAGGAGTTGGAGACCAGCCTGGGTAACATGGTGAAACCCCATCTCTACTAAAATACAAACAAACAAACAAAAAAATTAGCCGGGCATGGTGGCATGCACCTGCAGTCCCAGCTACTTGGGAGCTGAGGCAGTAGAATTGCTTGAACCCGGGAGGCAGAGGTTGCAGTGAGCTGAGATGGTGCTCCTGCACTCCAGCCTGGCGACAGAGCGAGACTGTATCTCAAAAAAAAAAAAAAAGAAAAAAAAAGAAGTATACGTGGCAAATTGATGTACTATTTACTATTTTTTTTTAAATTGCAGAACTAAAGAACTGAAACTAGGCAAAGATTAATGTTACATGTGATAGTACATGACAAAGGTTTTCTAGGTGATCAGCAGCAGTAACGATGGTGGGAAGAAAGGGACATTTGCACATATCCCTGGCATCAAAATAAATTCATATAATTCTGGGCCAATTTCAGAACCAGGTCAAAACTACAGAAGTACTCATACACATTGATCTGAACAATTTGCATTCTAGAAATTGATTCGAAGGAATAAAAACAAGTGCATAAAGTTGATTCAAATTGACTTTGAAATCCATAATTCTAAAATGTTAGAAGAAACATAACATTGTCAAAATTAAATATTGAAGTATATAATTATGTGGGAAATAAATAAGGACATAAAATGGACAGTAAAAGTCATGTTAGAAAGACTTAAATGACATAAGAAAATCATCAAGAAATATGAATATGCCAAAAATAACGTTACTAGCACATAACTATCAAACTGTCAACAGGATTTGGACACTAGTTATATTTTTCTGTGTTACAAGTTAAACAAGCATGTAAACAAAAAAAAATCACTAACGATCTAACTATTTGAAAAGCACTCACCTCTCCACTGGGAATGCAACTATCCCTTCCTTCATATCATGTCTGTATTTAAAACCTCGTATTCAACTTTTTAGAGGTGGAATCCAAAAAATCTCAGAATTTAAGATTCTATTTAAGATTTATGACTTAAATCTTAAAATCTTAGAAGTAAAATCAGGACGCTAAAAATATAATCCAAATCAAAATTATATAGTTGAAAACTAGGTTTTGGAATTTCCTTGTACAAGGAGTGAAGAGTGAGCACAGGTTTCATGTGAAATCTCCCAGCTGACATGGATATCACTGTCCTGTAAACAACATACAGATGACCCATAGGGTTAGAGGCTCTTACCGGTGGAATCAGGCTGCTTGGGGTTTGGATTTGGCTTTGGTTTGGGTGGGTTCAGTGGTGCTGGCTCGTCTGTTTGTAAAAGATGAGAGTTGAGATTATGAGTGCCTTGAAGTGAAGAAAATGAAACATCAATTTGCATGCAGACGTTCACTAAACATATAAAAATTGGACCTTGTTCTTTGTCATGGTGGGGATACCCATACACACAGCCTCCTGCCAATATCCTTCCAACATCTTCCAGCTACAGTACTGATAAAGCATTTTCAATAAAACCTATCAGGCAGCTTTTCAGATCAGCTACAGAATTGGCAAGGTACTGTGTAAAATGAAAATGCAGAAATCCTTGCTCAACTGAATATTAAGAATTTCAAGATGACAACTAAAGACTCATAAACCAATATGGCACCCTTGTAAGCATGGGTCCCTGGGTGATCGAACAAGTCACACACTCATGAAGCCTAACTTGGCCAGGGGAGTCAGATTTGCCTTACATCATTCCAAAGACTGTGAGAGTTTTAAAATAAAACTATGCATACTGGTAAAAACAAAAACAAAGTCCAACAATATCCAAAACAAACAACAACACACCTACTCCCTAACTTTCCACTGTGCAAACAGGTTTCATTTATCATTCACAAGAGATACGTTTTTTGGAAACAATAATAATTTGGTGATAATAAGCAAGTCAGCCACAGTGGAGAGTTTAAGGAGTTACTCACAGTTTCCTTTGTCATGTAAGGCATCTGCTAAGTCAAAGTCATCCCCTAAAGGAGGGAAACAGGCTGTTAACACCAAAGTTCTGAGAGAAATGAGGAAGAAATGGTCTCGTAAACAGATGCAGAAAACACCATAACCCCACGTTCCTAAATACTTTTCTGGATATCCCTCTAACCAGAATCTCAATAGAAAAAGTGAATTCCTGATCATTTTCACATCACTCTCCCTTCTGATGAAAAGAACAAAAGATGAGAGCCAGAGAGAGAGAAATAAAATAATTTATAAATCAATTGTGCTGCCTGGACAGAGTTGGAATTCCAACTCTAACCTGCACATGGTTCTCTCCTGTTGATTTCCTGTCCAAATATCATCTCCCCCCAGGTAACCAACACCTTCCACCAGGGAGGCCCTAAGAGGGGTTAGAGGGTGTCTAAATAGTGACTCTGCCAACCCATTTATGCTGGACAAACTGACGTGAAAACTCACCATGGTTTCAGAGTTTGCCTTCTAGTTTTAAGCTTTTCAAATCCCAACTAAAGTTGGGAAAAACTTTTTTTTTTTTTTTGAGACGGTGTCTTGCTCTGTTCCCCAGGCTGGAGTGCAGTGGCACAATCTCGGCTCACTACAACAACCTCCTCCTCCCAGGTTCAAGCAATTCTCCTGCCTCAGCCTCCCGAGTAGCTGGGGCTACAGGTGCCCGCCACCACAACCAGCTAATTTTTGTATTTTTAGTAGAAATGGGGTTTCACCATATTGGCCAAGCTGATCTCGAACTCCTGACCTTGTGATCCACCCACCTCGGCCTCCCAAAGTGCTGGGATTACAGGCGTGAGCCACTGTGCCTGGCCAGGTTGGGGAAATTTTTATATTGAAAGGGGATAACAAGGAGACTTAAATAAAAGAAACATGAGGGGCTACATCAAATCCAACATTTTTACAAAACTATGTAAGAGTACATGAGTAATCAATAAAAATCAAATAATTAGTCAAATATATTATATATAAATAAGAAATTTCATGGTATGAGAAACTATACTATTATACGTTTAGGGAAAAAAAAGTATACTGGAGTAGAAAGAGGCTTTTTGAAGTGATTTACTTTATTTAAAGGTGAATCTCTCTGGGTTTTTGCCCTAAAGCCTGAAATAAAAGCTGTTTACTGTATTTACAATTCTACATATGAAAAGCTGTCCTGGGTTTATCTAGCAAAGACAGTACAACCAAATTACAAATAAACTGTAAACAAAATGTACAAATATAGAAAAGGGGAAATTAAAAAAAAATAATTTGCAAACAATTTGTGGATCGTAAAGAAAAATACACAAAATCCTTTGTATATTATAGTATAAACAGAAAAATAGTGGACTTAGAAATAGATTCAGAGAAACAAAAAACAAAAACAAAAACAAAAAACAATTGAGAAATCCATTGACAAAAATCATCAGGAGAAACAGATGCATCAAATCTCAAGGAAAAAGCTCAACTTTGAAAATGTTTCACAACTTCTTTGATCAACTTATGTTTGAAGACAATTCAAATGAAATTAAAAAGACAGTTTTACTTCTCCCAAGCAGGAGACACAATGGCAAAATTATTCTCCATTAAAATAAAAGTCACAAAACCAGAAAACCAACACAAACATAAGACACCATAAAAAAATAGGTCTTGCTTATGAAACATTCCTGTTAAAAATATTAAAAGGCAAAAATAAATAGCAAAAACATTTTCATAGTAAGTGGCTGATAATCTTTAATATCCATAAATAACTGAAGAAGACTTATAAATCAGTAGGTACATATGAGAATTTAAGAATAAAGGGGATAACATCCAATACACAAAAGAAGTAACCATGGCCAACTGGAATGCACTATTTTTTTTTAAATTTCAGAATTAGAGATGCGAAACTAAGACAAGTTTGATATAATCCTTACACTATGTGACAAAGGTTTTGCAGGTGATAACCAGTATAGAGATGGTGTGAAGACAGACATCTGCACACACCATCATCAAAATAAACTGGGACGATTCTGGGGCAAATGACGAACCAGGTCAAATACTATAAAAGGACTCATATACATTCATCTAGACAATTTGAATGCCAGAAATCTCTTCAAAGGAATAATAAAAAAAAAAAAAGTAGATGAAGTTGACTCAAATTTGCTTTGTAATTCATAATTCTAAAAAGTCAGAAGACACAATATTTTAAACATTAGGGATTAAATAAATTAATGTATTATATATTTATATAGAATATAATTGACAGTAAATGTCATATGATATAAATGATAAAATGACATGAGCAAATGTTCAGTGACTATTAATAAGTATAAAATAGGCCAGGCTCAGTGGCTCATGCCTGTAATCCCAGCACTTTGGGAGGCCGAGGTGGGCAGATCACCTAAGGTCAGGAGTTCGAGACCAGCTTGACCAGCATGGTGAAACCCTGTCTCTACTAAAAATACACACAAAAAAATTAGCCGGGCATGGTGGTGCATGCCTGTAATCCCAGCTACTCAGGAGCTGAGGCAGGAGAATTGCTTGAACCCAGGAGGCAGAGGTTGCCGTGAGCCGAGATCACGCTACTGCACTCCTGCCTGGGCAACACAGCGAGACTCCATCTCAAATAATAATAATAATAATAAAAATAATAATAATAATGTTACAATGCAGTATGAACAAAAGACTGGCTTTATTACTTAACGTTTGCTTCATTTAAACTGATATATAAAATATAAGCGCAAATAACCATCACAATGCCAAGAGGATATGAACATTATTTATGTTTCTGTGTTAAAAATTAAAAACAAAAAAGAACTAAAAACCTGAATGTTTCACAACAATTCAGTTCAAAAAACAGTTGCTAGTCAGATTACCTGAGAATGCTGTCATGTGTCAAAATAGCTGATACAAATATTCAAGGGCAAAAACATCAAAAACACCCAAGTTTCTCTACAGGGAATGCACAGGCCATTTTCTCTATACCAAGTTCATAAGAAAATCTTGTGCTCAGTGTTTTAGAAGTTCCATACAATCTTGGAAGTAAAATCAGCAAACTAAAAATAGAACGCAAGTCAAATATCTATTTCAGAAAACTGTATTTCACTCCCTGCCCACTGGAGTAACTGTACAAAAAGTCAATAGCAAGCACCTGCTCATCTGAAAGCCTGTCGTCCATCTGATGTGGATACCACTCTACCGTGGACAACATACAGACAACCTATAGAGTGAGAAGCACTTACCAATGAATCCAGGCTGCTCAGGGTTCGCATTTGGCTTCAGCTTGGGTGAATTAAGAGGTGCTGGGTCGTCTGTTTGTGACAATGAGAGTTGCAATCATGAGTGTCTTGGAGTAAAGAAATGAAACATCAATTTGCATAGAGATGGCTGACGGACCAGGTAAAAGTTGGAGCTTGTTGCTTGTCATGACAGGGATAACCGTACACACAGCCTCCTGCCAACTTTCTTCCATCATCTTCCGGCTACATTGCTTAATATCAAATTAAACTAAAGCAGGTGTCTAGATCAGTGACAGAGTTGGCAAGGTCCCGTGCAAAACAAAAATGTGGGACCCCTCGTCTCAACTGTATGAAGAAGAGCAACATGGTAACTACAGACCAGTAAACCAATATGGCGCTTTTGTAAACACAGGTCCCTGGGTGACTTCACAAGCTGCATGCCCGTGAAGGCTGACCTGGCCAGGGGAGTCACATTTGCCTTACATCATTCCAAAGACTGTAGGAGTTTCTCAACAAAAGCAAGTGGACTGGTTAAAAAAAAAACAAACAAAAGTCCAACAACATCAAAAACAGACAACAACACACTTACTCCCTAGGTTTCCACTGTGCAAACAAGTTCCATTGATCATTCTCAAGAGGTAAGTCTCTTGCAAATGATAATAATTGGGCGATAATAAGCAAGTTAGCAAGAGAGGAGACTTTAAAGAGCTACTCACTATTTCCTCCATCACGAAAGGCATCTGCTAAGTCAAAGTCAGCCCCTACAAATAGGAAACAGGCTGTTAACACCAAAGTTCTGAGAAAATGAGGAAGGAATGAGCTTGTAAACAGAGAAATCACTGGAGCCCCACGTGACTAAATACTTTATTGAACATGACTCTCACCAGGATCTCATCAGAAAAAGCAAATTGCTGACCATTTTCACATCGCTCTTCTCTCACATGAATGGATTAGAGATCAGAAGGTGGCTGGGGGGAGAGAGAGAGAGAGAGAGAAAGAAGAGATAGATACAAAGAGAGAAAGAAAGAAATTCATAAATCAATTCTCCTCCCAGACTGAGCAGGAACTCCAACTTCGCCTGCACATTATTTGCTCCTGTTTATTCCCATCCCATCAACATCTCGTCCAAGGCCCCCAACACCTTCTGTGAGGGAGACCCTAAGAGGTGAGGAAGAATGACTGTGATCAGATTTGGGCTAGAGAGTGTCTAAAAAGTGGGTCTACCCACCCAGGTGTGTTCCACAAACTGCTGTGACATTCTTGATAATTTCAGAGGCTGCCTTCCAGTTCTAAGCTTTTCAAATCCTAACTAAAGTCGAGGAACCATTTTTGTTTTGTTTTGAGACAGGGTCTTCCTCTGTCACGCAGGCTGGAGTGCAGTGGTGTGACCACGGCTCACTGCAGGCTCCGCCTCCTGGCCTCAAGCAATCCTCCTGCCTCAGCCTCCCAAGCAGGTGGGACAGCAGGTATGTGCCAACAAGCCTGGCTAATTTTTCATTTCATTGTAGAGAGGGGGTTTTGCTATGTTGCCCAGGCTGGTCTTGAACTCCTGGGCTCAAAAGATGCTCCCATCTCAGCCTCCCAAAGTGCTGGGATTATATGTGTGAACCTCTATTCCTGGCCATCATCAACTTTTTATATGGGGAAGGGAGAAAAAAGAGGCTTAAATGAAGGAAACTTTGAATCCAACACTTTTCAAAACCATGTAACAGTACATTAGTAATCACTAAAAAACCAATGACTTTTCAAATATATTGTGTATAAAGAAATAAGAAGTCTCACAGTATGAGAACCTATACTATTGTATGTTTAGAAAAAAAAGTATACTAGAATAGAGAGATCTTCTTGGAATGAGTATCTGGTTTTGTAAAGACAATTTATTTTATTTACAGGTGAACCTCTTTAGGTTTTTACCTTGAAATCAGGAATAAAAAATGTCTACTCTCTTCACTCATACTTAAAGCCATCATGTGTTCTCTAGCAAAGCCAATTCAACAAAAATACGAATGCACTCTGAAGACACTCTGAAGACAACGAAAAAACATAGAAAAGGAGACAAATTTTAAAATCACTTACAAATAATATGTCGGTCTTCTCAGAAACATTAAGAAATGAAGAGAAAACAATTGGAAGTTCACAAGGGTTCATCATTCAGTGGAGAGTAAGAGAGAATGCACAAAAATGTTGCTATAGTTCAGAAACAGAGAGACAAATAGCGCACATAAAATCGTACTCACCAAAACAAATCAATACTGACGGGAAAACACCTTAGAAATCCATTTAAATAAATCACCAGGAGAAAAAGGCACACAGAAGAATCTGCTCGATTTTACAAATATTTTAGCACTCTATAAATCAATTCATAGTTGTAAGTAATGCAAATGAAAAGAAAAAGATGGTTTTCTTTTTCCCAAGAAGGAAGAGAGACAGTGATAAAATGGTTCTGTTAAAAGGAAAAATGTGTTACACAAAGGTGGAAACTCACACAAACCTAAGACAACATAAAAAAGAAAAATTCAAGCCTTGCTTATAAAAGCTTCTGTTCAAAATGTTTTCAGAGGCAACAATAAAGTGGAAACACATTTTCATAATATATTGGGCAATGTTTACTGTCTATAAATAATTCAAAAATGACTAGAAATCAGGGAGGACATACCAGAATAGAAGAATAAAAGACACAGTATCCCATACACAGAAGAAGAAGTCTCCATGGCCCACTGATGCATTGTTTTTGTTTCAAGTTTCAGAATTAAAGACGTGAAACTAAGACAAGGTTAGCATGACATTTTGCACTACTGGATAAAGATGTTTTGGTGAACACCAATATCGGAGACGGTGTGAGGAAAGGGTCATCTGCACACCCCGCCGCCATCAAAATAAATTGGTGCAATTCTGGGGCAATTTCAAAACCATGTCAGAAGCTACAAAAGTACTCACACACATCGATGTAAACAACTTGCACTCTAGAAATATATCTTCAAACATAAAGGAAAGTGCATGAAGGGCAGTCAAATTTGCTTTGTAATTGATAATTCCAAAACATCAGAAGAAACATAACTTCAGAATTAGGGATTACTTAAAGAAACCAAAGTATGTAATTAAGTCTGTAGTATAATAATGTAAAGTCGTATGATACAAACGATTAAATGACATGAGAAAATGGTCAAGGAATATTCTTATGCCAATAATAACATAACCAGCAAAAAACCATAAAAATGTCAACAGGATTTAGACCATCTGGATAGATTTCTGTGTTAAAAATTAAACAAACATGTAAAGAAAAACACTCAGTAAAAATCTAATTGTTTAAAACAAGTTGGCTTCTCCATGGGAAACACACAGATTCTTTTCCTCATATCAAGTCTACATCTAAAAGCTCTTATTCAATGATTTGGAAGTTCCATTTATCTTTGAAGTAAAATCAAGAAAAGGAAAATAAAATCCAAACCAAAAACATATTTTCGTAATCTAGGTTTTCCACTACTTGAACACTGGAATTACCTTGTAATTCAACAGTAGGAACAGGCTCACCTGAAATCTCCTCTTCTCAGATGACACGGACATCACTGCCAGGTAAACAACATAGAGACCACCCCGTAGGGTTAGAGGCTCTTATCAGTGAAACCAGGTCAGTTGGGATTTGGATCTGGCTTTGGTTTGGGGGGATTAGGTGGTGCTGGGTCACCTGTTTGTAAAACATGAGAGTTGGCGATCATCAGTGCCTTGCAGTCAAGAAAATGAAAAATCAATTTCCATGGCGACCAGAAAAGGAAATGAAAAATCAATTTGCATAGAGACCTTTCACTAAACAGGTAAAAAATGACCCTTGTTTTTGTCGTGGTGGGGATGCCCATACACATAGCCTCCTGCCAATTCCCTTCCATCATCTTCCAGCTACAGGATTTAACTTCAAGTATTTTCAAAGAAAACTAAGCCAGGTGTCCAGACCACCTCCAGAATTTGAGAGGCCCTGCACAAAATGAAAATGCAAGATTCTGTTCCAATTTTATGACGAATTTCAAGATGGCAGCTACTGAGTAATACACCAATATGGTGCCCTTGTATGCACAGGTCCCTGTGTGACATCACATGTCACATGCCCATGAAGTCTGACCTGGCCAGGGAAGTGACATTTGCCTTATATCATTCCAAAGTCTGTAACAATTTTAAAATAAAAGCCAGCATATTGGTGGGAAAAAAAACAAAAATCCAACAACAACAAAAATAAAACACAACAAGGCATATACTTCCAATATTTCCACTGTATAAACCCAATCCATGGATTATGCAAAAGAGATAAGTCTCTTGGAAATGACAGTCATTTGGTGACAATAACAAATCAGCAACAGAGGAGACTTTAACGAGTTACTCACTGTTTCCTCCCTCACCAAAGGCATCTGCTAAGTCAAAGTCTGCCCCTAAAGGAAGGAATCGGTCTGTTCATAGTAAAGCTCTGAGAAATGAGGAAGGAATGACCTCGGAAACAGATGGAGAAATCACCAGAGACCCACATGACTAAAGACTTTTCTGAATATCACACTGACTAGGATCTCATTTGAAAAAGTAAATTCCTGATCATTTTCACATCATTCTTCCCCCAGATGAAAAGAGTAAGAGATGACAGCAAGAGAAAGAGGGAGAGAGAAAGAATGTCATTTGTAAATCAACTGTGCTGCCTGGACCCAGTTGGGACTCTGAATCTGCCTGCACACAACTCTGTCCCGTTGATTCCCCATTATCTCCTCCCAGGTCCCCAACACCTTCAGCAAGGCAGACCGTAAGAGGTAGGGCAGGTGACTGTGATCTGATCTGTGACTGACGGATTCTGATCTGTGTCTGAAAAGTGGCTCTACCCACCCAGCTGGGCTCCACAAACTAATGTGACATTCATGCTAGTTTCAAAGCCAGCCTTCTAGTTCTTTTTTTTTTTTTTTTTCATATGGAGTTTTGTCCTTTTGCCTGGCTGGAGTGCAGTGGTGTGATCTCGGCTCACTGCAACCTCTGCCTCCCGGGTTCAAGCCATTCTCCTGCCTCAGCCTCCCGAGTAGCTGGGATTACAGGCATGCACCACCATGCCAGGATAATTTTTGTATTTTTAGCAGAGGCAGGGTTTCTCCATGTTGGTCAGGCTGGTCTTGAACTCCTGACCTCAAGTGATCCAGCCGCCTTGGCCTCCTAAGGTGCTGGGATTACAGGTGTGAGCCACCTTACCTGGCCCAGCCTTCTAGTTCCAAGCTTTTCAAATCCCAATTAAGGTCGAGGCACATTTTATATTGGGAGTGATAAGGGAGGCTCAAATGAAAGAAACATGAGGGGCTACATCAAAATGAATCTTTTTTTCAAAACCATATTAAAATACACAAGCAATGAATAAAAAGCACATGATTTTTCACATACATTGTATAGAAATAAGAAATCTCATGGTATGAGAACCTATGTGTTCAGAAAAAAAGTATACTAGAAGAGAAAGACACTTATTGAAATGACTTATTTTATTTAAAGGTGAATCTCTTTGGGTTTTTGTCCTAATGTCTGGAAAAAAAGTTGTCTACCATATTTACAACTCTACATATTAAAAGTTGTCCTGAGTCTTCTAGCAAAGGCCATAGAACTAAATTACAAATAAACTGTAAAGAGAACGTATAAATCTAGGAACAGGGAAAATTTTAAAAACCCATTACCAAATAACATGACCAACTTCTTAGAAAAGGTCAGAAATGAAGAGAAAAAAAATTGAAATTTAACAAAGGGTCATCATTTCATGGATTGCAAAAAATATATACACAATCTCTTCTACATGACAGAAATAAACAGAAAAATAGTGGACATGAAAATGGATTCAGAGTAACAAAAACAAGGAAAAAACACTTTAGAAACCCATTGACAGAATCAACAAGAGGAAGAGACAAATCGAATCTCAAAGAAAAAGCTCAGGCCGGCATGGTGGCTCACACCTGTAATCCCAGCACTTTGAGAGGCTGAGATGGGCGGATCACCTGAGGTCAGGGGTTCAAGATCAGCCTGGCTAACATGGCAAAACCCCGTCTCTACTGAAAATACAAGAATTTGCCGGGCATGGTGGTGCATGTTTGTAATCCTAGCTAATTGGGAGGCTGAGGCACGAGAATTGCTTGAACCCAGGAAGTGGAGGTTGCACTGAGCCAAGATCACGCCACTGCACTCCAGCCCGGGCGACAGAGAGAGACTCTGTCTCCAAAATAAAAAAAGGAAAGAAAATAAAAGAAAAAACTCAACATTGAAAACGTGTTACCATTCCTTCAATCAACCTATGGTGATAAACAATTCAAATGAAATTAAAAAGAAGGTTTTACTTCTCTGAAGAGAAGGGACAATAGCAAAATGATTCTCAATTTAAAAGGAAAAAAAGTTACAAAAAGCAGGATATCCACACAAACATAAGACACCATAAAAAAATAAACATACCACTTGTAAAACATTCCTGTTAAAAATATTCAAAGGCAAAAATAAAGTGCAAAACCATTTTCATAATAAGTGGCTGGTAATCTTTAATATTGATAAATCACTGAAGAAGGCTCATACATCAGTAGGTAGGGAGGCTGAGGCAGGCAGAACATCTGAGGTCAGGAGTTCCAGACCAGCCTGGCCAACATGGTGAAACCCCATCTCTACTAACAATACAAAAATGAGCTGGGCCTGGTGGCGGGCACCATGAATTGAAGGATCAAAGCCAAAGCATCCAATACACAAAAGAAGAAGTCTCCGTGGCCCATTGGGATGCATTATGCTTTTTACATTTCAGAATGAGAGATGTAAAACTAAGACCGGTTTGATATAATAATTACACTATTTGACAAAGGTTTTGTAGGTGATAATTGCTACTGGAAAAGGTTCGAAGACAGGGACATTTGCAGACACCCTGGTATCAAATCAAATTGGTGCAATTCTGGGGCAAACAACCAACCAGGTTAAAAGCTATAAAAGTACTCATGAGCATTGATCTAGACAATTTGAATGCCAGAAATCTCTTCAAAGGAATGAAAAAGAGTAGACAAAGTTGACTCAAATTGGCTTTGTAATTCATAATTCTAAAATGTCAGAAGACACAATGTTTTCAACATTAGGGATTAAAGGAATTAATGTATTTTATTATATATTTAGATAGAATAGTATTTGTCAGTAAATGTCATATGATAGAAATGAGAAAACATGAGAAAATGTGAATTAATATTCTTATGAATAAGTATAAAATAAAGTTACAATAAACAATATAGAGACCACCCGTAGGGTTAGAGGCTCTTACCAGTGAAACCAGGTCGGTTGGGGTTTGGATCTGGCTTTGGTTTGGGGGCATTAGGTGGTGCTGGGTCACCTGTTTGTAAAACATGAGAGTTGCAATCATCAGTACCTAGTAGTCAAGAAAATGAAAAATCAATTTCCATAGCGACCAGAAAATGAAAAATCAATTTTGATAGCGACCAGAAAAGAAAATGAAAAATCAATTTCCACAGCGACCAGAAAATGAAAAATCAATTTCCATAGCGATGAGAAAAGAAACTGAAATATCAATTTGCACAGAGACTGTTCACTAAACAGGTAAAAACTGGCCCTTGTTTTTGTCATGGTGGGGATACCCATACACGTAGCCTCCTGCCAATTCCCTTCTGTTGTCTTCCAGGTACAGGATTTAACTTCAAGTATTTTCAAAGAAAACTAAACCAGGTGTGCAGACCACCTCCAGAATTTGGGAGGGCCTGTGAAAATGAAAATGTGCGACCCATTGTTCCAACTGTATGAAGAATCTGAAGATGGCAGCAACACAGCAATAAAGCAGCATGGCACCCTTGTGTGCACAGGTCCCTGTGTGACTGCGCAGATCTATGCCCACGAGGCCTGACCTGGCCAAGGGAGTCACATTTGCCTTACGTTGTTCCAAAGACTAACCATTTTAAAATAAAAGCCAGCATACTGGCTGGGCGTGATGGCTTGCACCTATAATCCCAGCACTTTGGGAGGCCAAGGTGAGTGCATAGCTTGAGTTTAGGAGTTAGAGACCAGCCTGCTCCACATGGCAAAACCCAGCCCCTACTAAAAAGACAAAAATTAGCCGGGCGTGGTAGTGGGTGCCTGTAATTCCAGATGCTCAGGAGGCTGAGGCACAAGAATCGCTTAAGCCCAGGAGGCGGAGGTTGCGGTGAGCCGAGATCGCGCCACCGCACTCCAGCCTGGGCCACAGAGTGAGACTCTGAACCTACACTTCAAAAAAAAAAAAAAACAAAAAAAACAAAAAAACCAGCATGCTGGTAACAAAAAAAAAATATATCAAAAATCCAACAACAAAAATAAACAACACATATACTTCCTATGTTCCCACTGTCCAAACTCAATCCATTTATCACGCAAAAGAGATGTCTTGAAAATGATAATAATTCAATGACAATCAGCAAAGTCAGCAACAGAGGAGACTTTAAAAAGTTACTCACTGTTTCCTCCATCAGGAAAGGCATCGCTAAGTCAAAGTCAGCCCTTAAAGGAGGGAAATGAGCTGTTAATACCAATGTTCTGAGAAATGAGGAAGGAATGACCCAAAAACAGGTGGAGAAAACACCACGGCCCCACGTTTCTAAATACTTCAGAAAACGTGAATTCCTATCTTCTCATCACTCTTCCCTCAGGTGAAAACAGTAAAAGATGAGCATGAGACAGAAAAAGAGGGAGTAAGAGAGAGAGAGGAGAGAGAAAGAGGGGGAGAGAGGAGATAGAGGAGAGAAAGAGGAGAGGGAGGAGAGGGGGGAGAGAGAGAGGAGATAGATGAGAGAGGCGGGAGAGAGACAAGAGAGAGAGGAGAGAGAAGGAGAGAGTGAGGAGATAGAGAGAGGAGAAAGGCGAGAGACAAGAGAGAAGGAGACAGGAGAGAGAGAGATGGGAGAGAGAAAAGAGGAGAGAGAGGAGAGGAGAGAGAGAGGAGAGAGGAGAGGAGAGAGAGACGAGAGAGAAAAGGAGAGAAAGAAGAGGGGGAGAGAGAGAAGAGGGGGAGAGAGAGAAAAGGGGAGAGAGGAGAGAGGTGAGAGAGAGGCGAGAGAAAGAGGAAAGAGGGGAGAGAGAGGGAGAGAGGAGAGTGAGGAGAGAGAAAAGCGAGAGAAAGAAGAGAGAGAAGAGAGAGAGGGAACAGGAGAGAAGAGAGAGAGAGGAGAGGAGAGAGAGAGGAAGAGGGAGAGAAGAGGAGAGAGAGAAAGGAAAGAGAAGAGAGGAGAGACAGAAAGAGAAGAGAGACTGCAGTATCCATAAGATCCATAAGAACGTCACCAGGGTTGGGGGGGAATCGGATGCCACCTCTTCCCCAGGTTCCCCTAAATTTAAGAGTTTGCGATTCTGCAAACTGTAGAAGGAAAATTAAAACTTGGAACCCCAGTTCACTCTGCCAAAATAATTAATAATAATAATAATAAAGCTGGAAGCTGAGTCAGGCAGGAAGCTGTCTTTCCTTCTGTTCCCAAGCAGACAGTGCAATAACTCTCTGTTGACCTTATCTTAGTAAAGTGCCAATTTAGTGAGCGCAAGACAAATACATAATTGACTATTCTACCTGCTGCTTTTCTTTTGCAACAGGTGAATTCGGTAAAATGAGCCTTCCTCCTTCTTTCCCCTCCAGCGTGCTTTCCCCCTTTAAATACCGAAGCTCTCAATAGTATCTTTGGAGAAAGGCATAGACCCGTCTCCCGGGCTCCTTCCTGATCTTCGCCGAATCAACTCAAAAGGATTGGGACTTGTCCCAGATACTTTTTGGTTTACGAAAGAAACGCTGGCTTTTTCCTCTGAAACGGCTCCCACCTGGCCCCAGGAAGAGCGCTGGGGAGAAAGTGGGCGCCTCCTCCGGACCTGGGTCCCCGTGGGCACAGCGCGTCCCGCCGGGCACGGAAGAGGGGCCGGGTGTCCCCGCGGGGCGCCCCGCCCCTGCACCCCACATCCCCAGGCGGATCCCCAGGCCCAGCCCGCGCCACCCCCCGCGTCCTCCCACCCGGATCCCGCCGCTCGCTCACCGGGGCGGCCACCAGACGGCGGAGCAGGCCGAGGAGCCGCAGCGCCAGCACGGCCCCGCGCGCCACGGCGCGCCCAAGGCGAGCAGAGATCGTCCGCGAGTGCAGCGCGCGGGCGAAGGCGGCGGGACGGAACCTCCCCCACGGGCCGGGTGGGGCGGAGCCCGCGGAGGACTCGAAGGGGTTGGGTGAGGGGAGCAGCCCTGCAAACTCAGCCCAGGCTGCGCCTGCCCCGCCCCGCCCCACCCCGGCCTCCACTGGCGCACGGAAGGGGAGGGAACGCCGGGCCCGGGGAGGGGACAGAGGAGGGGGCGGGCGGAGGTGGCTCGGGCCGCGCCGAGGGGACCACGGGACGCCCTCCTTCCCTTCTCAGGAAACTGTGAGTGCCCCCCGCCCACAAGCCCGTCGCCAGGATGCCGCCAACTAGAGCAAAGTGAAACCCCCAACATTCTCGGGAAAGTGCGGGTCCCTCCCTCTCTACAGCCCCTTAAATGCACGCCCCAGGGCGGCCCCTACCTGGAGCCAAGAGAAACCGCTGCCCTTCTTGGAGAGGTGTGGGCCTCTCCGCGCCCGCCCTTGCTGTCCCCTCTCTGTTCCTAACAGGCACCCCCCCCAGGCAGCCCCAACGGGGAGGAAATGAAACTCTTCCTGCTCCTCTGCTCGGAAAACTATGGGGCCCCCTTCCAGCTGCTCACGGGGCGCTCAGGGCGATCCCCAAGGGGTGCAAAGTGCAATCCCCTCCCTGCTTAGAAAGGCGTAGGCCTTGACAGGCAGCCACGGCCCCTGGTCCTTTCTGGAGCGTCCGAGCTGGGGGCGCTCAGTGGTGAAAGATGGCGGGGGTGGGGGGCTTTGAGACACACTGCGGATACCCGCTCTGCGCGGGACCAAGGACGTTCTGCCGCAAGCTCAGAGACAGGGTTGGGAGTGAGGACTTGTGGTCGTGGTTTGGGGTTGGGGGTAAGACCCCTATCTGGGTCGCCTGGCTGAGTCCTGGTCCTTGGCGACTCACCCCAGCAGGCTGCGTCAGGGGCCCTTCGGTAACACTGGTCTTGTGCTGTCTCAGGCCTGCGGGTGACTCCGTCTCTCCCCAGGCCACCTGTGCCCCTGGATCAGACACAGGCAAGGCCAGAGGGGCTGGCCCCGCACCCTGGGGCCCACCTCAGGGGTTTGAGGAATGCAGCAGTCTAACTATGCACTCCACTCCTGGAGGCAGAATCATTTTTCTTTTTTCTTTCTTTTTTTTTTTTTTTTGGTCTTTGCTTCATCCTGAACCTGCCTGGGATAATGACGTGATGGCTGGAGTCCCAGCAGCCAGTTCGAAGCAGGAAGTCTCCTACAGGATAGAAGTTGTCTGTGTGTTGTTTGTTTGTTTATTTGTTTGTTTTGAGATGGAGTCTTGCTCTGTGGCCCAGGCTGGAGTGCAGTGGCACAATCTTGGCTCACTGCAACCTCCGCCTCCCGGGTTCAAGTGATTCTCCTGCCTCAGCCTCCCCAGTACCTGGGATTACAGGCATGCACCACCATGCCAGGCTACTTTTTGTATTTTTAGTAAAGACAGGGTTTCACCTTGTTGGCCAGGCTGGTCTCGAACTCCTGACCTCATGATCCGCCCACCTCGGCCTCCCAAAGTGCTGGGATTACAGGCATGAGCCACCGCACCCGGCCAGAAGTTGTATTCTAAGCATGGCAGAACACGTTGAGCAAAGGTATCAGGGTGGCTGATGATACAGCAGGACGGCTGTGCCAGCCCGACTCACATTCCCAACTTCTTTTACAGGACAAAGGAGTACATTTTTATCTTACCATTTGCTAAAGTTAGGTTTCTATCAGCTTTCTTTAAATCACTTTTATTTCTGGTTTTCATTACCAAGGTCTGAGCCCAACTTAGAGACCTCCCGTGAGGTTCTTGTGGGCAACCAAAGCACTTAAGAGGTGTCAGAGCATCACACACCATGTCTGCTGCACAGACGATCAAATGAAGCTTTTGAAGTCAGTGGATGATGGGTGGATAGATGGGTCTGGGGGTAGGAAGTGGTGGATGGATGAATGAATGGACAGACAGCCATCTGGATGCGTGAATGGATGGATCACTTGCTGGAAGGATGGATAAAGAGATAGATGGCTGGATGAATGAATAAATGGGTGGATGGATGGAAAGATGAGTGGATGATTGGATGGATAGATAGTTGGGTGGATGGATGAATGGATGGATACATAGATGAATAAATGGATGAATGGATGGGTGGGTGGAGGAATGGATAAATGGACAGATGAATAAATGGATGGATGAAAGGGGGGATAGACGGATTGATCTATGGATAGATGGACAGATAGATAAGTGGGTGGATGGGTGGGTGGATGGATGGTTGGAAGGATAGGTGGATGGACAGATTACTGGGTGGCTGGAGGGGTAGAGAGAGATGGGTGGGTGGGTGGATGGATGGATAGATGGGTGGACAGATTACTGGCTGGCTGGATGGATGGGTAGAGATAGATGAGTGGGTGGATGGATGGATGGATGGATGGACGAATGGATGGATGGATAGATAAGTGGACAGACGGATAGATAGCTGGATAGATGGGTGGGTAGAAGAAGAATAGATGGATGAGTGGATGGATGAGTGAATAGATGGATTGATGGACAAACAAGTAAATTTTTACCTGACATTTTTGTATTGTGTAACTTTCTGTGTGTTCATTCATTGGGAAACAATTGTGATACATGGATATTGGACTTATTAGCTCACGTCTGCTGATAAGAAAACAACACAGGGCCATAGAGTTCATTAGCAGTGGACTGGGATCAAAACGAAGGGCTCTTTGATTTTGAGTTCAGGCCATTTGGACCACTTTGCCTTGTGACTGCCCCCAAATCACTGGAATTTTCCTCGGGGTTCACAGCGCCCAAAGGTAAACAGTATTTGGTAGCCTAGAGTTCATACATTGGAAATTTCATGGTCTGTGCCCCCTCAGTGGTGCAAAGCATTTTTACAGCAATAATTAATTTGGCAATAACTTAGTGTGTGAGCCTGTGTATGCGTCTTTTCAGCTGGCTAGTACAGTACCAGTGATGCCATGTTTGCACACTAAATACCAGCCAGAGACATGCAAGAAAAGAAGGGCAGGCCAGGCACAGTGGCTCATGCCTGTAATCCCAGTACTTTGGGAGGCCGAGGTGGGTGGATCACCTGAGGTCAGGAGTTCGAGACCAGCCTGGCCAACATGGTGAAGCCCCATCTCTACTAAAAATGCAAAAATTAGCTGGGCATGGCAGTGAGTGCCTGTAATCCCAGCTACTCTGGAGGCTGAGGCAGGAGAATCACTTGAACCTGGGAGGCGGATGTTGCGGTGAGCTCAGATCACACTACTACACTCCAGCCTGGGCGACAGAGCAAGATTACATCTCAAAAAAAAAAAAAAAGAAGAAGAAGAAGAGGGGCACAGCCTACCAGATCTGCTGAGACACATGTTTTTTATCTGAACTTTTGGGGGTCAACTCAAAATCCAATCAACAGATGACAATGACATCCTAAAAACTGTTCCCAGATCAGACAGTAAAATTTCACAGATTCTGTCTTTGAGTCATGGGGATTTACGTCTCTGTAGATTCAGGAGAAACATCTCATGCATACAGTTCCAGAGAGTCAGGGACCAGCCTCTTCTGTAAAGAGGGAAACAAAATGAAATTGCGCATTGGCATGGACCGGACGCAAGAAGACATCACTGATTTAAGCTCCTTTACAAACTCTATCCTAGGAAGCACTTTCCTTCTTCACTTTCAGCAGTCAAGCCTCTCCAATGTCATTGCGTCTAAACCTGTTGACATGATGGGGCTGTGGTTCACCTGGAAGATGGGCTCTATTCCTGACCATTCTGAAGGCAAAGAACTTGAAATAAGTTCAAATTCAAGTTGCAGCACATCCACGGAGCAGCTGGAAGTGCTGCCTGTGGCCTGTCGTAATGGCAGGGTAGCAGTGAGAGAGAAATATATTTCCTCACCCATCATTGGGTTCATGACTAAGGCCCCTAGAACAAAAGACAATAGCAAGAGAAAAGCAGGCCCATGTATTTAGGTTTTACGTGACACAGAAGCCATCATAAAGAAAGAAACAGGAAAATCTGAGTATTTTTACGCTTAGGTTTTCTGGTTTTTTGTTTGTTTGTTTGTTTGTTTTTGAGACGGAATCTCACTCTGTCACCCAGGCTGGAGTGCAGTGACGGGATCTCAGCTCATTGCAACCTCCACCTCCTGAGTTCAAGCGACTCTTACCATGTTGGCCAGGCTGGTTTCGAACTCCTGACCTCAGTTGATCCACCCACCTCGGCTCCCAAAGTGCTGGGATTACAGATGTGATATGCTTACTTTTAATGAAGAGTGGACAGTGATGGAGAAGTATGACTATTGGACAAAAACGTTACAGGAATGGGGTCCCAATCCAGACCGCAAGAGAGGGTTCTTGGATCTCAAGCAAGAAAGAATTCGGGGTGAGTCCATAGAGTAAAGTGAAAGCAAGTTTATTAGGAAACAAAAGGAATAAAGAATGGCTACTCCATAGAGCAGCCCCGAGGGCTCCTGGTTGCCCATTTTTATGGTTATTTCTTGATGATATGCTAAATGGGGGGTGGATTATTCATGCCTCCCCTTTTTAGACCATGTAGGGTAACTTCCTGACGTTGCCATGGCATCTGTAAACTGTCATGGTGCTGGTAGGAGTGTAGCAGTGAGGACGACCAGAGGTCACTGTTGTGGCCATCTTGGTTTTGGTGGGTTTTGGCTGGCTTCTTTACTGCAACCTGTTTTATCAGCAAGGTCTTTATCACCTGTATCTTGTACCAACCTCCTATCTCATCCTGTGACTTAGAATGCCTTAACCATCTGGGAATTCAGCCAAGTAGGTTTTAGCCTCATTTTACCCAGCTCCTATTCAAGATGGAGTGGCTCTGTTTTACATGCCTCTGGCAAAAGGATCTGATCTAATGAGAATAAACTGCGGGAACTTAGCAGGGCCTGTTTGTTCAGATTCTTCTGTGTCCCTGCATGTTCAGAGTTAAGGATATTCTCTTCCTCCTGGTATAGGGAGGGCGCCTCTGGAATGAGGGTCCCCTGACCTGCTTCAGGGTAAGGTCAGAGAGTCCTTCCGAGGTTTTATGGCCTATGCTAAAGAAGAACCATGAGGGTAAGGTGAAAGTGACCTTCTTACTTAAATTGTTTTCTCAAATGCCACAGTTCCATATTTTGGTGGAATGTTTTCTGAACCCCATCAGGAAAAGCAAAGCAATGAGAAAACAATCTGGGGGGACAAGACAAGGAGATATAACAGATGGGGGAGGTTTGTGGTTGACTACATCACTCTTGGAGGCATTCGACCGAGGAATATTTCAGAATCTCTGGTAACACACACCAGGAACAGCCTAATCTACTCCCTAAAAGGAGTCTAGTTCATTACTGAGTTTATGGCTTCCCTACATTTCCCTGTTTCTGACCACAACCATTTTTTTTTTTTTTTCTGGAGACTGGGTCTCCCTCTGTCGCCCAGGCTGGAGTGCAGTGGCGCAATCTCGGCTCACTCCAACCTCCGCCTGTCGGGTTCAAGCGATTCTCCTGCCTCAGCCTCCCGAGTAGCTGGGAGTACAGGCATGCACCACCACGCCCAGCCAATTTTTATATTTTTAGTAGAGATGGGGTTTCACCATGTTGGCCAGGCTGGTCTCAAACTCCTAACCTCAGGTGATCCCTCTGCCTCGGCCTCCCAAAGTGCTGGGATTACAGGCGTGAGCCACCATGCTCACCTCCCCCGCCTGCCCAATTTTTTTTTTTTTTTAATTAGCCAGGCATGCTGATTGCTTGAGCCTGGGAGATGAAGACTGCAGAGATGTAATTGCACCACTGCACTCCAGCCTGGGCGACGGAGACCCTATCTCAAAATACAACCAAATAAAACAAAAAACAAGAATGCAGACTCAGAGTCCAGCCAAAACCAGGTTTTAGCTGCAAGACAGGTTATAGGAAGGAGAAAGGAAAAGGCTTTCCTAGCAAAAGTGGGCTTGTTATGTACATGCAGCTTCACAGGTAGCAGCCCCCAGAGAGAAGAGATGCTGAATATTTCTTTTCAGGTCTTTAAAGGCACCATACTCTCAGTTAATCTCTCCTAGATCCGGACAAGAGAAGAGTTGGCTGCCTTACAGGAGACCCTCTGCAGATCGACAGACGCAAGGTCCCCCACAAAAGACAGTGTTTCTTCTTCTTTTTTGTTTTTCTTCAAATTTTATTGTAAATTCAAGGGTGCACGTGCAGGTTTGTTACTAAGTAAACATGTGCCATGGTGCTTTGCTGCACAGATCAACCCGTCACTCAGGTATGAAGCCAGCATCCATTAGCTCTTCTTCCTGAGGCTCTCCCTCCCCCTACCCCCGACCTTTTCACAGACCCTAGTGTGTGTTCTCCTCCCCGTGTCCATGTGCTCTCATTCTTCAGCTCCCACTTATAAGTGAGAACATGCAGTATTTTATTTTCTGTTCCTGCATTAGTTTGCTGAGGATAACGGCTTCCAACTCCATCCGTGTTCCTGCAAAGGACACGAACTCATTCTTTTGTATGGCTGCATAGTATTCCATGGTGTATATGTACTATTTCTTTTTTTTCTTTCTTTCTTTTTGAAATAGAGTCTTGCTCTGTCACCCAGGCTGGAGTGCTGTGGTGCAATCTCAGCTCACTGCAACCTCCGCTTCCCGGGTTCAAGCGATTCTCCTGCCTCAGCCTGCCAAGTAGCTAGGATTACAGGCACCCACCATCACACCCAGCACATTTTTGTATTTTTAGTAGAGACGGGGTTTCACCATGTTGGCCAGGCTGGTCTTGAACTCCTGACCTCAAGTGATCTGCCCGCCTCAGCCTCCCAAAGTGCTGGGATTACAGGTATGAGCCACTGTGCCTGGCCACCGCATTTTCTTTATCCAGCCTATTATTTAGGCATTTAGGTTGATTCTATGTCTTTGCTATTGTGAACAGCGCTGCAATGAACATACGCATGCGTGTATCTTTATAATAGAATGATTTTTCCTTTGGGTACATACCCAGTAATGGGATTGCTGGGTCAAATGGTAATTCTGCCTTGAGGTCTCTGGGGAATCGCCACACTGTCTTCCACAATGGTTGAATTCATTTACACTCCCACCAACAGTGTCACAGTGTTTCTATTTCTCCACAACCTCGCCAGCACCGGTTGTGTTTTGACTTTTTAATAATCACCATCCTGACTGGTGTGAGATGGGGTCTCATTGTGGCTTTGATTTGCATTTCTCTAAGAATCAGCGGTGCTGAGGTTTTTCCATATGTTTTTTTTGGCCATATGAATGTCTTCTTTTGAGAAGTGGAAAGATAGCATTTCAGGAGTATTCCCCAATATATTAAAGAAATATATTTTGAGATAAAATATTTTTATTTCCTTTAGTACATTTTATTTATTTATTTATTTTTCTTTGAGACAGGGTCTTGCTCTGTCACCCAGGCTGGAATGCAGTGGTGTGATCTTGGCTCTCTGCAACCTCCACCTCCCGGGTTCAAGCAATTCTCCTGTCTCAGCCTCCCAAGTAGCTGGGATTACAGGTGCCTGCCACCACAGCTGGCTCATTTTTTTCTATTGTTAATAGAGATGGGATTTTGCCATGTTGGTCAGGCTAGTCTCAAACTCCTGACCTCAGGTGATCAACCCGCCTCCCAAAGTTCTGGGTTTACAGGTGTGAGCCACTGTGGCCAGCCTGTTTCTTTTCTTATACAAACAAACCTATAATGGTAAGGTTTAATTTATGAATTAGGCACAGTGAAAGATTAACAACAACAGACTAATAATAAAATAGAACAATTACAACAATATACTGTAGTAAAAGTTATGTGAATGTAATGTGCTCTCTCTCTCTTTCATGTGTGTGTCTCACTCTCTCTCTTGAAATATCTTAGTATTTTCAGCCATAGTTGACCAGTGATAACGGAAACCACATGTTGTAGGCTGTTCTTGCATTGCTGCAAAGAAATACCAGAGACTGGGTAATTTATACGAAAAAAAGAGGTGGGCCGGGCACGGTGGCTCACGCCTGTAATCCCAGCACTTTGGGAGGCTGAGGCGGGAGGATCACTTGAGATCAGGAGTCTGAGACCAGCCTGGCCAACATGGTGAAACCCTGTCTCTACAAAAAATACAAAAAATTAGCCGGGGGTCATGGTGGGTGCTTGTAATCCCAGCTACTTGGGAGGCTGAGGCAGGGGAATCGCTTGAACCTGGGAGGTGGAGGTTGCAGTGAGCTGAGATCACACCACTGCACTCCAGCCTGGGCGACAGCAAGACTCCTGTCTCTCTCACACACACACACACACACAAAGGAGGTGTAATTGGCTCATGGTTCTGCAGGCTATGGAGAAAGCACGGCACCGGCATCTGCTCAGCTTCTAGGGCCTCAGGAAGCTTCCAGTTATGGTGGAAGATGAAGTGGGGGTAGGCACATCACACGGGAAAAACAGGAGCAACACGGGGGTGGTGAGGGTGCCACAGCACTAAAACAGCCAGATCTGGCAAGAACTCACTCACTATTTCGAGGACAGAAGTAAGCCATGAGGAATCTGCCCCCATGACCCAAACACCTGCCACCAGGCCCACCTCCAGCATTGGGCATGACAATTTGACATGAGATTTGACAGGGACAAATATCCAAACTCTTTCACCGTGGAAAGCAAAACCACAGATGGGGCGGGAGGGCTACTGTACATTGTGCAGAAATGCAGCTCCTCGGAGCCGGCTGGGGGAAGGAGCAGGTCTCTCAGCTGCTGAACAGTTTTGGGAGATTACCTACCATCACTTCTCTCTGTCCCAGAATCACACAAAATGGTCAGCTGTGCCAAGTGCCTTGCCCAGTTCTCTGCACCTTTCCTTCTGTCTCCTTCCACGTGTGACCACCCCCTTCACCATCCTGTCGTCGCGTCTAAAGCTCCCTCCACACATTGCGTGATAGCCAGTAAGTCTAGACACAAGGTGTGAAGGTAAGGACAGCAACTTTATTTTGAAGAACCAGCAAGTCAAGAAGACAGAAGACTGCTGTCCTAAAAAGCCATCTTTTTTTTTTTTAATTTATTATTATACTTTAAGTTCTGGGACACACGTGCAGAATGTGCAGGTTTGTTACATAGGTATGCATGTGCCACGGTGGTTTGCTGTACCTGTGAACCCATCATCTAGGTTTTAAGCCCCGCAGGCATTAGGTATTTGTCCTAATGCTGTCCCTCCCCTTGCCCCCCACCCTGCAACAGGCCCCGGTGTGTGATGTTCCCCTCCCTGTGTCTATGTGTTCTCATTGTTCAGCTCCCACTTATGAGTGAGAACATGTGGTGGTTGGTTTTCTGTTGCTGTGTTAGTTTGCCGAGAATGATGGTTTCCGGCTTCATCCATGTCCCTGCAAGGGACATGAACTCATTCTTTTTTACGGCTGCATAGTATTCCATGGTGTATATGTGCTACATATTCTTTATCCAGTCTATCACTGATGGGCATTTGGGTTGAAAGAACCATCTTAATAGAATTTTAGGCTGCTTTTATGCCAGGGGGAGAGGGAGGGTGGTAGAGGGCAAGAGGTGAGCAATGACCACAGACATCTGGGCGGCTATTATGGTCCAAGGGGCCTTGTGGAACTTCCTCATCCTTGGTCAGGTCACAGTGCTCTTATAAATCTTTGACATAACATTGTTCCTTCTGCGCACATCCTCCTGATCCCCTCGGGGGTTATTTTTGGGAAGGGACTATGATCATTCTTGCTTTAAAGTTAAACTGTAAACTGAATTCATGATTAGCTTGACCTATTTGTAGGAATGAGCAAATGCAGTTAGCTTGTGAGGTGAGAAGCAAGACAGAGTGAACTATGTTAGAATTTTCTCACTGTTACATTCACACATAGGTTCTTGGCCAAAGAAGCAGACGACCAACACATTCTCTCTTTTTTTTTTTTTTTTTGAGACGGAGCTTCGCTCTTGTCCCCCAGGCTGGAGTGCAATGGTGCGATCTTGGGTCACTGCAACCTCTGCCTCCCGGGTTCAAGCGATTCTCCTGCCTCAGCCTCCTGAGTATCTGGGATTACAGGTGCCCGTCACCACGCCTAGCTAATTTTTTATATTTTTAGTAGAGACAGGGTTTCACTATGTTGGCCAGGCTGGTCTCGAACTCCTGACCTCAAATGTTCCACCCACCTCAGCCTCCCAAAGTGCTGGGATTACAGATATGAGCCACCACGCCCGGCCCAACATGTTCTCTTGTTAGAGGCATTTGAACCAGAGCAACTCAATCTTGAATAGGAGCTGGGTAAAATGAGGCTGAGACCTGCTGGGCTGCATTCCCAGGAGGTTAGGCATTCTTAGTCACAGAATGAGATGGGAGGTCAGCACAAGATACAGGTCATAAAGACCTTGCTGATAAAACAGTTTGCAGTAAAGAAGCCGGCCAGAACCCACCAAAACCCAGATGGCGATGAGAGTGACCTCTGGTCATCCTCGCTGCTCATTATACCCTAATTCTAATACATTCGCTTCTCAAAAATACTCCCAACAGTGTTGTGACGGTTTACAAATGCCATGGCAACATCCAGAAGTTACCCTATATTGGCTAAAAGGGGAGGAACCCTCAGTTATAGAAACTCCCGTTTCCCAGAAAACTCTTGAATTTAGCATATAATATGGCATTCAGATTATATGCTAAATGCCCTTTGTTTAGCATATAATCAAGAAATAACCATAAGTATACTCAGTCAAGCAGCCCACGCTTCTGTTCTGTCTATGGAGTAGCCATTGTTTTACTCCTTTACTTTCTTTTTTTTTTTTTTTTCCCTGAGACAAGGTCTCGCTCTGTTACCCAGGGTGGAGTCCGTTGGCACAATCAGAGTTCACTGTAGCCTCAACCTGTTGGGCTTAAGCAATCCTCCCACCTCAGTCTCCCAAGTAGCTGGGACCATAGGTACATGCCACCACACCCAGCTAACTTTTTTATTTTTGGTAGAGACGGAGTTTTGTCATGTTGGCAAGGCTGGTTTCAAACTCTTGAGCTCAAGCATTCCGCCCATCTCAGCCTCCCAAAATGTTGGCATTACAGGCATGAGCCACCCTGCCCAGCCCTTTTACTTTCTTAATAAACTTGCTTTCACTCTGTGGACTTATCCTGAATTTTTTCTTGCATGAGATCCAAAAACTCTCTTGGGGTTTGAATTGGGACCCCTTTCCAGTAACACTTTGACTCCTCTCCTGTTCAGATGTCATCACTCCCTCCAGCAAACCTGGAGTGTTCAAACTCTTTTCCATCCATCCTTTCCTTTCAAGGCAAAGAGGCAACTTGGCTATTCTCATAGACACACAGATAGGAGATGTAGGAATTCATAGGAGACATTCAACTCAGATGTTAGATCTATTGATAAACAAGATGGCAGCTTGTCTTGCTGCTTAGATATAAAAGATGCTGTTGCTTGCTTGCAAAAAAAAAAATGAAGCACGTTCCTGGAGTTCACCAATATGGCGTGGACTTTACCTCCTCAACACTGTCAGTCAGTGCAAGATGGTCCAACCTCTGGGTGCCAAGACACGTGATCATTTTCCCAATGCCATTCTCTTATCCCTTGAGCCTGCTTTCCCACCTGCTAAGGTTTGGATCTGTGTTCCCACCCAAATGTTATGTCAAATTGTAATCCCCAACGTTGGAGCTGGGGCCCATTGGGAGATGGTTCGGTCATGGGGGTGCTTTTTCATGAATGGTCTAGCATCCTCTTCTTGGTGCTGTTCTCATGCTAGTGAGTGATTTCTCACAAGATCAAGTTGTTTAATAGTGTGTGGCACCTCCCTTCTCACTCTCTCTCCTGCTCCTGTTCTAACCATGTAAGATGCACCTGCTTGCCCTTTGCCTTCTGCCATAATTGTAAGTTTCCTGAGGCTTCCCCAGTCAGGCTTCCTGTCCAGCCTGCAGAACTGTGAGCCGATTAAACCTCTCTTCTTTATCAATTACCCATTCTCAGGTATTTCTTTATAGCAGTACAAGAAGAGCCGAATACACCACCCATTGAGCAGATTGGAAGTGCAAGAAAACTAGCATATGCCCCCATCCTGGAAGCAACCTCAGCCAACACATGTTGGGAAACGACAGAAAAAGACCCCGGCCTTCCTCACTCTTCCGGTGGGATGACCCTGAGTCTCCAAGCTCTCATTGCAGTCACTGGCCTGATAATATCTTCCACTCTCTGTCTTCACTCCCTCTCCCCTCCCACTGCTCCCTGGGACTCACCCCCGCCCACCCTCCCCAAACACAAAAGCTTTGCGGTAAAATCACGGTCTCAAGGTCTGCTTTGGGGAGAAAAGAGTCACCTCCTTGAAATCTAGACTTTCTGTGCTTCCAGAAAACATGTTGAAACGTTACCTGTCAATTAAATTCCGGGAAGCCTGGGTGTGTCACACTTTGAATCATGTGGACAGACACCATGAAGAGCCTGGAGTTTGGTGAACTTTGTTGAAACCCCTCCATCACTCTCGTGGTCGAATCCAATCCAATCCTCATGTCCTCATGAGTTCGTTTTCATTTCCTAAATGACATCCATGGAAAAATAATGGGGAGAGAGGAAACACAATTTTACATTTGTATCTGACAGGCTCTGAAAGGGAGCTAGAGAATGTAGTTAGCATCCATAAATTATGGAAGAGGGTATTTCCCATCTTCTTAACACATGCAACACTTCTAAGGGGCCTGCAAAAACCCCAGCAGCCTTTCAATGTCCCCCACATCTTAGCACACATAAATATTTACATCTGTCCTATCAAGAAACAAATATGCATGCATATCATTATTTTGGAGATATAGCGTGAGCACTTTGTTTGCAAGAAAAAAATATGCATGCATATCATTTTGGAGATATAGTGTGAGCACTTATATTTGTTTGCAAGAAACAAATATGCATGTATATCATTATTTTTGGAGATACAGTGAATGCACTTTTCAGTTACATGCTCAAAATGGTATGCTAAACTGAAAGTGGTTGTCATTACCCTTAATTTCTGCAAGGAATAAACAAGTATGTCCTGGTGGCACATTGCTATGAATAAAGCAGACTATTTCAGGGCTATGGGAGTTCTATGGAAAGCGTGAGCCAAAACATGGTTTTTCCTGTGTCTTGTTTATGATGCTTATTCATAATGGGAGGGAACAGAATATTGGCTTCATTCATGTCCTTGATTTATGATGGAATCCATAGGAATCTGCCACCTTGGGTGAATGAGCAATACCTAAAGGAATGTCCTATAAGATACCGAGATATGCCACCCAAAATATGACTTAGGAGACCAAGATACGCCACCCAAAATATGACTTAGGAGACCAAGATTGCGATTTTTATAAAAAGCTCATCAGCAATCATTAGGGTTAGTGGGCTTTTTTGGTTTTTTTTTTGTTTTTGTTTTTGTTTGTTTGTTTGAGACAGAGTCTCACTCTCTGTCACCCAGGCTGGAGTGCAGTGACATGATTTTGGCTCACTGCACACTACAACCTCCATCTCCCAGGCTAAACCAATTCTCGTGCCCCAGCCTCCCGAGTAGCTGGGAGTACAGGTGTGCACCACCGCACCTGGCTAATTTTTGCATTTTCCTTTTAGTAGAGATGGGGTTTCACCGTGTTGACCAGGCTGGTCTCAAACTCCAGGCCTCCAGGAATCCACCTGCCTTGGCCACCCAATGTGTTGGGATTACGGGAAGGAGCCACTGCACCTGGCCAGTGTATGTTTGTAAGGCTCACCCACACTGTAGCATGTGTCAGCACTTGAAACCTTTTTCTGCCTGAATCACATTCCACTGTATGGATATGCCATATTTTGTTAAATCCGTTCATTGGCTGAGGGACGTTTGGGTCACCTTCACTTTTTGGCTATTTTGAGTAGTGCAGCTATCAACATTACGTGTATAAATGTACAAGCTATTTGGTGGACACGTGTTCTCGTTTTTCTCTTGAGTATGTGCCCAGAAGCAGAATTGCTGGCTCATAGGGTGATGTGGTTTGGCTGTGTCCCCACCCAAATCTCATCTTGAATTCCCATGTGTTGTGGGAGGTAATTGAATCATGGGGACAGGTCTTTCCCATGCTGTACTCATGGTAGTGAATAAGTCTCATGAGATCTGATGATTTTATAAAAGGGAGTTTTCCTGCACAAGCTCTCTCTTTGCCTGCTACCATCCATGTAAGACGTGACTTGCTTCTCCTTGCCTTCTGCCATGATTGTGAGGCCTCCCCAGCCACATGGAACTATAAGTTCATTAAACCTCTCTTTCTTCTGTTAGTTGCCCAATTTTGGGTATGTCTTTATCAGCAGTGTGAAAACAAACTACTACATATGGTATGTCTTCGGTTAACCTTTTGAGGAAACATCAGACTCTTCCATCTCTGTATCTTTCCAATTTCAATCTAAACGGACTCAAATCTGACTCTTAGACTCCACTCCCCTGGGAAATGTGATGTCGGCTATTATTGCGGTTCCCTCTCCTCCCTAGAGTCTCCTAAGAATTTGGGTCATGCTCCATTTTCAGACAATTTGAAAATTGGTCTGTTATGGTCTCTGCTCTGAAAAGCTTCATTCTCATCCCACCTCCTGCCCCGGCTTCCAGCAGCCTCCCTTAAAATTCTGGGGATGCAGACATCTGTGCTGAGGCTGAGAAGCCAGGAGCCTGGAGACCAGCGTCCCTGGGCAGGTGCAGTGGAACCAGCTGGCCATGTGCCAAAATTCCTGTGACCCTTCCCTGGTACTGTGCTGTCTTTGCTGAGAGCTGGCCGCCTGCTCAGGGGTCCCTAAGTCTTACACTGGACAACTGGATGAGTGAGAAATAATTATTTAATTGTTAAGCCACAGAAATTCCAGGGCTCATGTGTTACAGCCAGTCATTTCTCATGAACTAATACAGTAGATGGCTTGGATCAACCCCCTCTGATGGGATGCTGCTTCTCTTCTCGGTTGGTGGAAAAAGAATTTCCATCAGTCTCTCTCTCCTTGTCTCTCTCTCTCTCTCTTTATTCCTTTTCCTTTCTGTCTCCATCTCCCTCTCCCTGACTCTTCTGGCCCCTCCCTACCATTGTCAGATAAAATATCAGGTTGCACACGGTAACGCACGTCTGTAATCCTAGCACTTTGGGAGACTAAGGCAGGAGGATTTCTTGAGTTCAAGAGTTCAAGACCACCCTGGACAACATAGTGATACCTCGTCTCTACAAAACAAACAAACAAACATATTAGCTGAGCATGGTGGCACACGCCTGTGATTTTAGCTGGTCTGGAGGCTGAGGTGGGAGGATTGCTTGCCCCCAGGATGTCAAGGCTGCAGTGAGCTGTGATGGCACCACTTCTTTCTAGCCTGGGTGACAGAACAAGACCCCCATTTCAAAAAAAAAAAGACACAACATCATCAAAAATTGTACTTAAATATAAAAGTTTGAATACTGAAAAGTCTCCCACAGCAAGCAGGCTTTAAAACTCCAAAATCTATCTGTACACAGCACTTTTTTTTTTTTCACTCTTCTCAGATCTAAGAACGATGACAGGTGGCCATGGTGCCTCGTGTCCCCTTGCAGGGGTGCAGGGGTACACACACCTTTTTTTTTTTTTTTTTTAATTTGAGATGGAATCTCGCTCTGTCGCCCAGGCTGGAGTGTAGTGGTGAGATCTCGGCTCACTGCAAACTCCGCCTTCCGGGTTCACGCCATTCTCCTGCTTCAGCCTCCCGAGTAGCTGGGACTACAGGCGCCCGACCATCACGCCAGGCTAATTTTTTGTACTTTTAATAGAGACGGGGGTTTCACCATGTTGGCCAGGCTGGTCTCGAACTCCTGACCTCGTGATCCTCCCGCCTCGGCCTCCCAAAGTGCTGGGATGACAGGCGTGAGCCACCGTACCCAGCCTCGGTGAAAACCTCAGAGGCAGGCAGCATATTCCCTGCCGAGCCGGTAGGTGGCGCAGTCAGATAAGCATTAACTAAATCACAGCTCCCTCTCCCCATCAGAATCTTTATCTAGAGGGTAACCCCAAACCTGAGAATTTGGTCAGGTCCGCACACACACAGGCATCATCATTCTTCAGCGCCATCATGAAGGGCTCTTCTCCCCCTGTTAAAGGAAACTATCACATAGTCTTCCGAAACAGCCAGTCAAAAACTTTGTGATGCAGGAAAGAACAAAAAAAAATTAAAGGACGATTACAGAATAAATATTTACATTTCTGCCTGTAACACGGACTCTGAAGCATTGGAATAATGAGGACTTGCACACCGCAAATGGGCATCAAAATCGGGCTTTATACTTGAAAAATGAAGTTTTGTGTCAAAGAAAAGGGACATTTCAAACACCACATTTATGTTTGACCCACATATACATGTGATTTTAGCTGGTCTGATATTATATTATATTATATATATATATATTTGTTTGTTTGTTTGTTTTGAGACAGAGACTCACTCTGTCGCCCAGGCTGGAGTGTTGTGGAGCAATCTCGGCTCACTGCAGTCTCCGCCTCCTGGGTTCAAGTGATTCTCCCGCCTCAGCCTCCCGAGTAGTTAGGACTACAGGCGCCTGCTTCCGTGCCCTGCTAATTTTTGCATTTTTAGTAGAGACGGGGTTTCACCATGTTGGCCAGGCCGGTCATGAACTCCTTGACTTCAGGTGATCCACCTGCCTCGGCCTCCCAAAGTGCTGGGATTACAGGCGTGAGCCACTGCACCTGGCCAGTACCTTTATACCCTTCTGGAAAGAGAACATGTTCCTTCCCCTGTTGACACTGAATTATGTCAACAGTTCTCCCCCAAGTAATGCATGGGTTTAAATCACACAGGTGATTTCAACTTGCTGCCCCCACTATTTCATTTGACAAAGGACACAGTCCTGCCTACCTGAGAGGCAGTGGCTCTACGTAAAAAGTTTTAACACACAGGAAACACCATTAAAGGGTTAGTGACTAACCCATATTTCCTGTTTTTTTGGTTTGTTTGTTTGTTTTCCCCACACATCCCCACTGGCCTGAATGAGACCTCAAGGTGTCTCATTCTTACTTTATCTTACAATCACTCTGATGGTCAAGAAGCTTGAGCACATGGGAATTCTTAAATCAAGGCACATGATTGTTACAAAGAATAGACGCTGAGGTGGGCGGATCACCTGAGGTCAGGAGTTCAAGACCAGCCTGGCCAGTATGGTGAAACCCCGTCTCTACTAAAAATACAAAAATTAGATGGGTGTGGTGGCACGTGCCTGTAATCCCAGCTACTCAGGAGGCTGAGGCGGGAGAATCGCTTGAACCTGGGAGGCAGAGGTTGCAGTGAGCGGAGATCATGCCACTGCACTCCAGCCTGGGTGACAGAGTAAGACTCCATCTCAAAACAAAAACAACAAAAACAAACCAAAAAAACAAGTTAATTAGAATGCATGGCCAACGTTGTGTTCCCCAGCTCTGTTGGTTTTCACATTTTTTTCCACAAACGAAATAAAAATGAAAGCAAAGCTTAAAGCTAAAAAGCATACCCATTTAGACAATCTGTAAATATATACTTTGTTGAAATAACACTGTGAGAGTTTGTGCACATTTCTTTGGTTGTTTTCGTCATCTGAATCCATGGCTGACTGGCTCCCACTCTGCTATTTTAAAAATAAAATGTCCTTTCTTCTATCGTTTCTGTGGTTTTGTCGCCAACCCATATTTGCTGGAATAAGGTAGTAAAAAACATACACTAAAGTCTGAAGTCCCCATCAGCTCTGCTAACTTATTACTAGTTTTCACACACACTGAGTTTAATGAATCTATGTTTTGGAACAAAGCAGTTACCTTAGGAACTTGAGAGATGTTTCCGGCCAGGCGCGGTGGCTCACGCCTATAATCCCAGCACTTTGGGAGGCCGAGGAGGGTGGATCACAAGGTCAGGAGACCGAGACCATCTTGGCCAACATGGTGAAAGCTCATCTCTACTAAAAATACGAAAATTAGCTGAGCGTGGTGGCACACACTTGTAATCCCAGCTACTTGGGAGGCTGAGGCAGGGGAATTGCTTGAACCCAGGAGGCGGAGGTTGCAGTGAGCCTAGATTGTGCCACTGCGCTCCAGCCTGGCGACAGAGTGAGACTCTGGCTCACGAAAAAAAAAAAAAACCTAGAGAGATGTTTCCTTGTAAAACCACCCCATTCTAAAAAGCAGGTGGGTTACATCTGCTTCCCTGTAAAGAGAACTCTTTCTAGTGTTAGCTGCTCTGTTCATAGATAAAAAATGCTGGACACCTAAAATGTTAGTTTAAATTTATTAATAGCATCTACATAAAATCTTAGCTATTTCACACAACACTACCCACTATCATATTTGAAATAATCTGAGCAAATAGTAAAAAGACATATCCCAAAGACAACAACACTGGCAGACTAAAGAAAAGCAGAAACCATGAACTAAGAAGGTAAAATGCTTTTGAACCTCTAAGCGACTCCTGCTATTACGGAAACATCCGTTTTCGTCCATTGGGTTTTATCGGTTTTTATCATTGGCTTTGTGTTTTGCCTAAATTAGCAAATATAGCAAGTCTGTTTATGCCTCAGTTAACCTGTAGACTTAACCTCACTAAAAATAATAACACATTAGGAAAAACTATCAGAAAAAACAATAACCACACCTCCGCCCCAACACAAAGGCACACATAAAGAGGGACTGGACACAAATCCATACCACAGACTTGATTTGGTTTACAAACTTGATTTTGTAACCCAAATCCTTTTTGTTTTTGAGACACAGCCTCACTCTGTCGCCCTGGCTGGAGTACCCTGGTGTAATCTCAGCTCACTGCAACCTCCGCCTTCCGGGTTCAAGCAATTCTCCTGCCTCAGCCTCCCAAGTGGCTGGGACTACAGGCACATTCCACCACGGCTGGCTAATTTTGTATTTTTAGTAGAGACGAGGTTTCACCATGTTGGTCAGGCTGGTCTTGAACTCCTGACCACAGGTGATCCACCCACCTTGGCCTCCCAAAGTGCTGGGATTACAGGCATGAGCCACCAAGCCCGGCTGCAACCCAGATCTTGATTTTTGACCTTGATTTGACCCACAGATTTGGGAATGAGAAGTGATTACAGAGTTGGAGCCTTGGAGGGAGAGAGGGTTTCTCATGTGAGCAGGGCATGGAGAAACAGTAGTCAAAATCCTGATTTTGACCAAGATTTTTTCCAAATCTTGATTTTTGACCTTGATTTGTAAACCAAATCAGTTTTGTTTTGTTTCCTGCTTTTTTGTTTTTTGTTGTTTGAGACGGAGTCTCGCTCTGTCACTCAGGCTGGAGTGCAGTGACGTAATCTCGGCTCACTGCAACCTCTACCTCCTGGGTTCAAGCGATTCTCCTGCTTCAGCCTTCCAAGTAGCTGGGACAACAGGTGCCCGCCACCATGCCCAGCTAATTTTTGTATTTTAGGAGAGACAGAGTTTCACCATGTTGGCCAGGCTGGTCTCGAACTGCTGACCTCAAGCAATCCACCTGCCTCAGCCCCCCAAAGTGCTAGGATTATAGGCATGAGTCACCATGCCCGGCCAAATCAGTTTCATATAGCAAATTGCGAAAGCTGGTCACTGGATCACCTGAGTTTGAATTATTTTGAATACTGATGACCCAACGTGCAGATCCAGGAGACAGAGCCAGGACCCAAGATTTTCAATCCTCCAAAGGAGCCCAGGATTGTCAAGAATTTGGGCAAGTTTCCTCTGGTTAAAAAACAAAACGCATGTTTCAGCATTCAAAGTGAAGCAGAGGAAAAGCACTTATTATTCAATTACTTTAGGCAATTGAGTCAAGCCAGAGATAGACACGATCCAAAAACTCTTGGGAAAGATGTTCCATCTTCTACATGGAATGCTGGACCTATCCCAAAGTTCTCCAGGGATACCCTGAAGAGTTGTAGCACATTCAAGAAAGTACACACGTTTCTTCAGTAAACAGACCCAGAGATAGCTGTCCACCTGGAGCAGATTCTGGTCAGCCCATGAGCAGCTCTTACTCACACAGATACTGAGCCAATCAGAAGTGATAAAATCCTTCCAATACTTCTAATCACCCAGGAATGAATTAGTCAATGGGGAACTTTTCCTGTCCTCATCTGCCTGCCCCAGGGCTCATGGTTCATCTTGTCCATGAGTTTCTACATGCAACTATGAGCTAAAATAAAAACAAACCGGCCCAGGCATGGTGGCTTACACCTGTGAGCACTTTGGGATGCCGAGGCAGGCAGATGACTTGAGGTCAAGAGTTCGAGACCAGCCTGGCCAGCATGGAGAAACTTCATCTCTACTGAAAATACAAAAATTAGTCGGGTGTGGTGGCGCATGCCTGTAGTCCCCGCTACTTGGGAGGCTGAGGCAGGAGAATTGCTTGAACCCAGGAGGTGGAGGTTGCAGTGAGTTGAGATCGTACCACTGCACTCCAGCCTGGGCGACAGAGTGAGACTCTGTCTCAAAAACAAAAACAAAAACAAAAACAAGCAAACAAAAAACCCATATACACAGATGAAAAAGGAGAAGTCCTAATCACTGATAGTAAATCAATAGATTACCGTCCACGTTAGAAGCTCTGTATCTCAGGACCAAACAACCACAAGCCACATATGGAGAGAGCGTTTAGTAGTTCACACATTGTGATTTAGGAAGCAACCACTTCTCTGATTCTAAAATAATTCACTCTAGGGAGAGTGGCTGCCCTGAAACATTGCCTTCCCACCATATTTAGTTCAAGAAGTCACTCAGGGATGAGGAAAATGAAGGATATGTACATGACTGAAGGATTAAGTGGCAGAAACAGCATTTTATTTTTATTTTTATTTTTGAGACAGACTCTCGCTCTGTTGCCCAGGCTGGAGTGCAGTGGCGCAATCTTGGCTCACTGCAACCTCCACCTCTTGGATTCACCATGTTGGTCAGGCTGGTCTCGAACTCCTGACCTCAAACAATTCACCTGCCTCGGCCTCCCAAAGTGCTGGGATTACCGGCATGAGCCACTGCACTCAGCCACTAGCTTCTAATAATGATAATTCTACTCTCTACTTCTATGAGCTTAACTTTTTTGTACCTCCCACTTACGAGTGAAAACATGGGGTATTTATCTTTCCATGCCTGACTTTCTTCACTGAAGATATTGTCTTCCAAGTTCATCTGCGTTGTCGCAAATGGCAGATTTCATTTTTTATGGCTGAATAGTATTCCATGATGGATAGATACCACATTTTCTTTGTCTAGTCATGTGTTAATGAACATCTTAGCTATTATGAAGAGTGTTGCAATAAACTTGGGGGTGCAGATATCTCTTGCATAGACAGACTTTCTTTTAAAAATGTATACAGTAGTAAGATTACGGAATCATATGGCAGTTCTAGTTTGAGTTTTTTGAGAAAGTGCCATACAGTTTTCCATCCTGGCTGTATTCATTTACATTCCCACCAACAGTACATGAGTTTCCGTTTGTCCCAATCCTCACCAGCGTTTTTCACTTTTTGTCTCTTTGATAATAGTGATTCTAACTAGGGTGAGTTGGCCATGAATCTGCCTTTTCTGGGGGAGATTTGTATTCAGATCCTTTGATTTTTTTTTTTGAGACAGAGTCTCACTCTATCGCCCAGGCCTGGCACCATCTCGGCTCACTGCAACCTCCGCCTCCCGGGCTCAAGTGATTCTCCTGCCTCAGCCTCTCAAGTAGCTGTGATTACAGGCACCCACCACCACACCCAGCTAAGGGTTTTGCCATGTTGGCCAGGCTGGTCTGGAACTCCTGACCTCAGGTGAGCCACCTGCCTCAGCCTCCCAAAGTGCTGGGATTGCAGGTGTGAGCCACCGCACCCTGCCCTTTTGGTAATTTTTAAATTGGATTACTGTTGTTTACTCTTGAGTTGTTTGAGATCCTTGTAATTTTCCAGATTCATCCCCTTTCAGATGAGTCATTATTATCCCCAAATATTTGTAAATATTTTCTCCTATTCTACAGCTTGTCTGTCCACTCGGTTGATTGTTTCCTTTGCTGAGCAGAAGCTTTTCTGGTTTAATATAGACCCATTTATCTATTTTTGGCTGTGGTACCTGTGCTTTCAATTTGTTGCCCACAAAATCGTGGCCTAGACCAAGGTCCTGAAGCATTTCCTCTTCTTTTAGCTTTAGTCATCTCATCGTTTGGGGTCTTATATTTCAGTCTTTAATTCATGCGGAGTTTGTTTTTGTATATGGTGAGGGATGGGGGCTAGTTGTGTTCTTCTGAGTACAGTATCCATTTTTTCTAGCACCATTTATTCAATAGAGGGTTCTTTCCTCTGTGTACTTCCCTGCTGCTTTTGTCAAAAGTCACTTGGGTGTAAATCCATGTTTTTTTTTTTTCCTGGGATGTCTATTCTGTTCTGTGTCTTCCTACATTAAAAATCACATTATAGGCCGGGCACAGAGGCTCATGCCTGTAATCCCAGCACTTTGGGAAGCCAAGGTGAGTGGATCACCTGAGGCCAGGAGTTCGAGACCAGCCTGATCAACATGGTGAAAACCCATCTCTATTAAAAAATACAAAAAATTAGCCAGACATGGTGGCGGGCGCCTGTAATCCCAGCTACTCAGGAGGGTGAGGCAGGAGAATCACTTGAACCCGGGAGGCAGAGGTTTCAGTGAGCTGAGATCGCACCACTGCACCCCAGACTGGGTGACAGAGCGAGACTCTGTCTCAAAAAAAAAAAAAAATCAAATTCTATTTGTGAGAAAGGAATCGTGGTGTATTGGCTCTGACACCTGCCTTATACCTTTCCATCTGGATGTTCTTTTTGCTCTTGGCTTCACTGTGGGTGTCTGATAAATTGTACAGACAAAAGTAAGTTTACAAACTGTCTGAAACTTTGGTGTTTCTTCCCCTGAGGAATTCCCCTGAGGAATACCAACTCTTCATGTGCAGAGAAGTGGAAGTATAGAAATTCAATTATCCATCTTCTCTCAGCCGATGAACAGCTAGAGGCTGGAAACGCAGGTTCAATTGAAAGTTAGAAGCTGCTGCCCTGGAAATGTACACACTATCGCTGAGCGAGGACCTTTTCATGCACTGTGTGGGCACGTGCACACACACCCACCCACACACACGGGTACGCGCGCGCGCACACACACACAATTGATTTCCTCTCTAAAGTGGCAAGAAGAAGCTGCCTGGCTGCAAGCCTTGCTGGCATGGGTCATGCCATCTACAAAACTGTTCCCTTGCTCCCCACTTCTGCTCGAAAACCTTTCACAGACTGCAGATTCAAGGGAAAGCCACGCCAGCCACCCGGCTATCTGCTGGGAGACCCTGAGGTGGGCTCTTCTCTTTGCCGTCAGCAGGAAGAGGGTCTCCTCCCTCCCACCTGTGTCATCCTGGGGGAAGAGCTGTCTCTGGAATGGAAACACCGGGTAGAAGGGTGCAGAGGAGAGATTGCATCGCCACTTTAGTGCTTGATGAATTCCTTTTTCCCCGACCCACACAGCCCTCTGATATCATGGTCCATTTTCCTGGCATCCTTCCTCAGCTGCAAATCCATCCTAGACCATAGCAGGGGAGGCTATTTTTACCTGGGTCAGGTCCTATCTTCTCCTTTGTTCCTGTTTCTGAAGGTCAGGAATGCCTTACCCTCGGGAGCCAGGCTCTCAGACAAAGGCTCTCCAACCCTGAAGCTCTTTCTGTCTCCCAGAACCATGGGGCATCGGTGCTGGGGTCACTGCATGCAGGTATAAAATTTTCCCTCAGTAGTGTGTCACTGCAGGCAGGCGAAGACTTCTACCAGGCATCGTGGAACAGCTCCTGCTCACCGGTGTTAGGGGCCACAGGGAGCGGAGACAAAAATCAGGGCATGAAAGGCCTGAATTGTGTATTTGCTGGGAAACTGGGTGGTCCCTGTTCTTACCATGTCATGGATTCCTGGTGCAAGCCCTATGCCCCTGTCCAACAGCCCCAGCTCCCTCCCTCCCTTAAAGAGAGTATTCAGGATGCCCAGCTAGGGAGGAACTACCTCCTTTCCCAAGAATTTGGGCTCCTTCGGCCTTCTGTGCTGTGCCCTGACCTGTTCGTGTCTCCACCAGACATCAGCCCTAAACACAGCTCACACTTCAGGAAAAATGTGTGTGCACCCACGTGCCACCATGCCTGTCTCTCCATTCCCCAGGGCTAAGCCCCAGAGAGTAAGGGACAAACGTGGGGTGGAGGGCTTTCTGTGATGCGAGGGCAGAAACCTGGATCCTTACACTAAGGCGTCTGTGTGCATCGCCCCTTTATCACGGGACTGAGTCTCACACCAAGACGTCTGCCTCACCCCTTCATCACAGAACCCAGTCTCCCCCTTCCCCTTATAGAAGCTGTGACTCTGGGCAAGGGTGTGTACTTTTTTCCTGCCTGGGCCCATCCTGCTTGGTATCAGCAATGAGTTAGTTGCAACTTGAAACCCCCTTCCCTGTACAAGAGACACAGAGAGAGAGAGAGAAAGAGAGAAGGGGCAGCTTCTCTCCATGAGCACCTTCATTCTTTGATGAGAATATCGCAGCTCACCCATACCGGGGTGCAGGGTGAGAGTGAGGAAAAGAGGAAAGGAAGGGGACTCCCAAAGAAGGGGTGAGATGCAAGACCTGGACGAGAGAGATATCCACCGCTGCGCTGGAGAGAGGGGGCCGGGAAAAGCAGAGAGGTGGGAGAGGTGATGGAAAGGCGCGCAGTCGGGGACGCCTGCTCTCCCCCGACCCTCCCCATCTGCAAAGGGAGGCCCCCCGCCCAGTGCCGCAGCCCCTCCCCGCGCGCTCGCCCCCGCGCCTCCCTCCCGCGCCCCCGCGCCCCCCGCCGCCAGTGGACGGCTGCGCGCTGCTGCCCGCGGGGCTGGCGTTTCCACCTGTCACCGCGCCGCCTCCGCCCCAAGTTTTCGGGGGACTTGCCCGGCGCGCCGCCTTCCTCCAGCTCTCCCCCATGGCCGCCGCCCCCTCCTCCCGGCCGCCCCCAGGGCCCCCCGTGCCCCCAGCCCAGCCCAGCGGCCGCCGGGCCCGGTGAGCGCCAGCAGCTGGGGGGACCCGGGCGGTGGGAGCCCCGCGCGCAGCCGCCTGCACCCGAGCGCGCCGGCCTCCGAGCAGCCACCACTGCCACCACCGCCGCCGCCGAGCAGCCACCCAGGCAGCGTCTGTCCCGGGCACGGAGCATTGCGGATGCGGCGCGGGGCCGGCGCGGGGCTCCGGGCGCGCTCGGGGGTCGTGAGCGCCGCGCCCCGCGCCCCCGCGCGCCCCCCGCCCTCCCGCGCGCCCCGCTGGGGCCATGCAGTCTCTCATCTCGCCGGTGACCAAGGCGATCCTGGTGGCCCTCTTCATCTTCGCCATCCTCCTCATCCTCTACGTGATCCTCTGGTACATCTGCCGCGATGTGGACTGTGACCACGGCATCTGAGCGCCGCGGACCCCCGGGGTCGCCAGGCGGGGGGCGCCCCCAGCGCCAGGGCCATGGGGACTGAGCCGTCCCGCGGTGCCCCCCAGCTCGGCGCCCGCGCCCCCTACTCCGGGCCCCACCGCCCGCCCTGCACCTCCACCGCCTCCTGGCCTTGACCTTCAGGGACGCACCGGGGAGAGCGGGTGAGTGCGCTCGTGCGGGCGCTTTGGGGGGCCACGGTTGGGGAGCCCCAACTTCGGGGAGGACGCGGAATCCGGACGCGGGACTGAACCCGAGGATTCACGGAGCCCGGGGCTCCCCTATGGGGCACGGGAAGCGGCAGATGCGCGTGCAGAGAGGTGGGCGCAGGCCCCCCCTGTACCCCCTCCAGGTCCGTCCCACCCACCCCCTGGGCGCCTTGGGTCCAAGGCGCATAGGCGCTCCCGCCTGTGGCCGCCACCGGTGCAGCAGAACGCGGGCTCTCGGGTGGGTCCAATGCGCTATGGCACACCAGGCGCTATCGGGTCCCTAGCCCTCTGCTCCGGCGGTGGGGACCCCGCACTCAAGTTCCCTATAACCTCCATGGACAAACACGGTGAGCGCGAGGCTAGGAACAGAGTGAGCGTTATCCACGGCCAAGGGACACCTCTAGGGAGCAATGGGAAACAAAATTTCAACCAGGTCGGAAGGCGGTTTGCCTTTCTCACACTGCCAAGCCCCCCCTGGGAAGCCGAAGCCTTGGGGGTGGGGGGAGTAGGTGTCCTCCAAAGTCCTCTGGCCCCTGCTCCAGAGGGGAGAGGGACAGATGTGACAAGGATGAGGCTTTGCCCTACACCAAGTGTGCCGGGCAAGTTTGGGAAGGTGAAGCAATCTGTGACTTAAATAAATATCTTCTTAGCCAGAAAAATGCCTGCCTTTGAATATTTCTCTGGGAAAAAAAAAAAACTGTGAGGAAGAACACCCAGTTTAAATAGACTGCCAATTTATGCGTGGGCATGGCTTCCTTTGGTAATCAGGGCAGACAGAAGCTGTTTGGGGGCTCACTTCGGATCAGACGGAGCTCGGCTTGGTGTTATTTATGTTCATTCCTCTCTGATTAACAGTTTCCAGCCACTTGAGGGTTAAGGAAACTAAAAATCCTAGGACTTTTTTTTTTCTGGTCCCAGGATAATCTATAGATTGCTTGTCCGGGGAATCTTTGGAAATCCCGTGGGACTGCAAATGTCTGATTTGGGATGGTTAGGGTGTGAGTGTCAGTGTGACTGTGACTGTGTGTGTGTTTTCCGTAGTTAATACTGTAGTTGACACAGTGAGTGGTACTGCAGCACCTAACTCATGTCCACAGATGCCAGTGTCTGCAAAGGGTTGGGGAGGGAGCGGGGGGGCGTTAGGGGGAACAGACACCACTTTCAGGATAACAGATATGATTTGAGAAAATGAAAACATTTGCAAAGTCCCTCCACATTCTCCATTAAAATACATTCTCCTGGGACTCTGTGGCTGGGTGCGTGTATTACATCTCCCAAGATGCCAAGTTTGTCTCTGGAATTTGTTGCTTCTCCTCAGCCTGGCCCCCCAACTCCCAGCTCACATACCCAAATGTAGGACTTTTACATCTCAGTCCAAAAAGACTCTCTGACACCAGAACGGACCAATATTTTTGAAGTACTGCGTGTGCTCCAGGTATTAAATTAACTGAAAAGAAACGGGGTAGAAGCTTGATTATGAAAATCCAAAATAGGACGCTTTGCAAATTATTCCCGGCACAGAGGAAAAGCTACTGGAGCTTCACGCAAGCACATCCCACCCAGGGGGCCCAAAGTTACGCCAAGCACAAACCCACCGGGCTAGTCGAATAGGAAAAGGAAGATTTAATCCAAGAAGCCTGTTTCTCAGGTGAGGGTTTGGGAAGAAACAGGGTCGTGGAGTCAGTCACTCGCGGGGCTTGCCTGGGAACGATATGAAAATACAGTTGCAGCTGAAACTAGATGTGAGCCACTAACGAAGCTCACCCTAAACATGATAGCTGAAGTCCTGTTCACATCTGATGATTCCTTAGAGCTTGTACATTCTCAGCCTCTCTCGGATTATTTTTCTTATATAAAATTTCCATATTCCAATCGAGCACTGTTTATTCAATTTCCCAGAGAATGCCTTCTCATAAATTAGAAACTAGCCGTCTACATATTGATTCTATGAACGATTGCATTAAAATGCCTACTTAATAGTCACTACCATGTCTGCTGAAAGGCTCATCACCAAATGAGAACAAAACGCAGGGATTCAGAATTCAAATGGTAGGGCGCTCACGAAGTCACAAAGTGAACAGCTAATTAACGCTCTTGGAAAAGAACGCTCATCTCCATCACAGATAGTCTCCTTCCCCCAGATAGACAAGGCTAGAACCAGAAAGAAACCTTTAGACAAAAGGAAATCACAGTAACTCATGTCTGTGTAGCCTCCTGTGTGATCTACAAAAGACCTTCCCGTGAGGTGTTCCTCCAGATCTGCGCCACTGTCCTGGGAAGATGCCAGGTTGGTGCTAACATCCCTGTTTCAGGTCCACAAACCAAGGCAGGTAGAAGTGCTTCTTGCCCAAGGTCACGCAGTGAGTCAGTGCAGAGTTGTCACTGGAAGTGACACAGACTCCCACTTGGAGCTTTTGGCTAGAGATTGGGGGGCATTTCTTTCTACAAGTGTGACTCTTCTCTGTGGTCCTGTTTTATGTCCATCAGTGCACACTGACATCCATCAGTTCTCCAAGGGAGTGCTTAGATCATGGTGACCATTTGGGTATTTCTTTTCTTTCTTTTTTCCTTTTCTTTTCTTTTCTTTTTTTTTTTTTTTTTTTCTGAGATGGAGTCTTGCTCCGTCGCCCAGGCTGGAGGGCAGTGGCGCAGTCTCGGCTCACTACAACCTCTGCCTCCCAGGTTCAAGCGATTCTCCTGCCTCAGCCTCCTGAGTAGCTGGGATTACCGGCACGTGCCACCATGCCTGGCTAATTTTTGTATTTTTAGTAGAGATGGGGTTTCACCCATGTTGGCCAGGCTGGTCTCAAACTCCTAACCTCGTGATCCTCCAACCTCAGCCTCCCAAAGTGCTGGGATGACAGGTGTGGGCCACTGCTCCTGGCCCGTTTGGGTATTTCACACCTAAAGAAGATATGAGTATTAAAACAGCAGCATGATCCCTCAGGATGCTTTCCTGGAACCTAGAAAGATAAGCCCTGACTGGAAAAAAGGACAATCTCAGTGAAGCTGGGAAGAGCATGATGAGACAGAAACCTCTGCGCTATTATCTTAATTTTCTATGGACAACCCACACATGCAAGGGTGGTTATGATTACTGTCAAAAGACCTACAGTTTCCTATAAATAACAATTACACCTAATAGTTGCTGAGTGTTTTACTAAACACCAGATCTGGAGTGAAAATAATATTATATACATTGTATTTTACCCTCCTGACAGCAACATGAATATAATTAGTATCCCAATTACACAGAATGGAAAAATAAGGCTGGAAAAAAACAGGTTATGTAACTTCCCCAAGAATAAAAGAAAAAAACTCAATCATCAGTAACCAAGCTTTTACCAACGGACCTGTGGCACACATGTGTGTTTATGGGGTGTGTGTGTGTGTGTGTGTGTGTGTGTGTGTAAAATCTCACATCCATTGCAGTGATATTACACAAAAGTTTTAAATTATATTTCTACTTGCAACTCTCCTTTAGGGTTTAAAATTAATCATTCTCTTTAAAGTTTTTAAAAAATTGATTACAGAATAACTGCTAATTATCTGTTTCTAGACACTGCTCACACAGGTTTCCATTTTTAAAACTTTTTATGTATTTTTTTTTTAAAGACAGAGTCTGGCTCTGTCATCCAGGCTAGAGTGCAATGGTGCAATCTTGACTCTCTGCAACCTCCACCTTCTGGGCTCAAGCAATTCTCATGCCTCAGCCTCCCGAGTAGCTTGGACTACAGGCCTGAGCCACCATGCCCAGCTAATTTTTGGACTTTTTAGTAGAGACGGCATTTCATCATGTTGGCCAGGCTGGTTTCGAACTCCTGACCTCAAGTGATCCACCCACCTCGGGCTCCCAAAGTGCTGGGATTACAGGTGTGAGGCACCGCGTCCAGTCAATATATTTTATGTGTTCCAAACTGTAAAGATTTTTATGAGTCTTAAAAAAAAAAAAAATGAACCTTAAAGCGAAGCTGCTGAAAAAGTGGCCCTAAATGCATTTTTCTTGGGATCCCATATAGTGCAAAGACCCTCCTAAAATCTCCTTTACATGGTTTTGGCAGCTTCCAAACTTAAGGGGAAGGTCCCCCAAGGGGTAGAGAGGGCCTCCTGGAAACCTCAGCTTCTGTGCAAGAAGAGTTGAGGGAAGAGGGTAAATTCGATCTGTAATGAAGCTTGAGATGTAGCAAGACAAAACATCTAGACACCATAATGAGGGACATTTGGTGGCAGTGATGAGAGGGGGACGTGGTCAACTAGATGAGAGAGAATTTTCTCAAGCTGATCATTAAGGACAGGGTGAGCACAGCGGCTCACGACTGTAATCCCAGCACTTTGGGAGGCCAAGGTGGAAGGATCGATTGAGCCCAGCAGTTTGATACCAGCCTGGGCAACATAGTGAGACTCTATAAGAAAAAAAAAAAGCAGGGAGAGGGAGCGGACACAGTGGCTCACACCTATAATCCCAGCACTTTGGGAGGCCGAGGCGAGCAGATCACCTGAGGTTAGGAGTTCCAGACCAGCCTGGCCAACATGGTGAAACCCCGTGTCTACTGAAATACAAAAATCAGCCAGGCATGGTGGCACACATCTGTAATCCCAGCTACTCAGGAAGCTGAGGCAGAAAAATCGCTTGAACCCTGGAGGTGGGGGTTGCAGTGAGCCGAGATCGCGCCACTGCACCCAGCCTGGGCGACGGAGTGAGACGCCATCTCAAAAAAGAAAAAAAAGAACAGGCTGCCTCAGAAGTGGTCAGAGGTGTTTGTTTGCCTTGTTGTGTGTACTTCCCCAAGGGAAGTGTAGCGGGGAGGAGAGACGAATACGCAAGTGTTTCGGTCATAGGACTTCACACTGGATAAGAATATTGACATACCTTCCAAATTTATATCACTGAAAAAAAAAAAGATTCTTTAGCAGAAGTCAACATTTTGGAATTCAAGATAAGTGACCTGTGGGAAAAAGAATTGAGTTGAAAATCTCACTGTTGTTTTCAAAGCTGTTCTCAGTTAATGTTGTTTTCAAAGCCTGAGGTTGTGGCTTACGTTATTGAGACGCTTCTTAACCATTCTTCTCCTCCTTCACCCTAAAATTAAGATCCTTTTATATCTCCTCTTCTCAGGCTGTGTTCCACAGATGTTCATATTGGAACTTGCCTGCATTGCAGATGTCTGTAAAAAAAAAGCCGGGGGAGCGGAGAGGCAGGCTGAAAGGTAGTAGAGAATTCCAAGGTGCCGACAGAGAAGGAAAGACCAGCCTGGGTCTTACATATTAGCTCTGTGATACTCCAAGCTCCACAGTGTTAAGCTAAATCCCACTTAGAAAGTGAAGTGGGAAATAGATGTGGATTTGGAGCTAGGAGGGGCAGTGCCGCGGCCTGACTCAGAGAGCTGGGTCCTTTCAGGATGTAAGAGACACGAAACGGAGGACTCCTAAGAGGAAGAGGAGGCTGCGTTCACTTTCACGCACTTCCCAAGGCAGCATGTCAGGCCGGGAAGCTGTACAGTGGGAAGAAGAATCTGTAACAGCGCCTCAAAGCAGGAAAACAACACCGTACCATAAGCCAAACCCCTGCTGTGCTTTCTGAGTAATGCCATTTCTAAAAAGATCATGTTTCCATGAGTTATTTTTTCCCCTCCGCCGATTTGGTCTAGCAACATGTAAAGTGTAAATTCAAGGGAAACATGAGTGAAATAGAAAGGGTGACTTTGGAGGTACCTACAGTAGATGCAGTGCTGTGATGGGGCGTGCTGACCTAGAGGGGGATATTCCCCCATCAGAGAAAGGTCCCAGGGCCCTGCTGCTGTCTCACAAACCTGAGCACTTCCTTTCCGAAACTATCCCCAGAGGCAGGATCTTTCAAGAAATGTCGTCCTTGGTCCTTGTCTTGCATCCTTAGCTGGGGAGCCTTCCAGGCAGAGGCTAGGATTTTTGGAAATACCTAAGCCTCCTTCAGCGCCAAGTCTGGGGGATAACTTTAGAAGCCAATTTAATCAATATGGCTTTTAGCTCAAAATAGCGCCAGTGTAAGGTAAGGTCTAGACAGGCGCTTGGAGGCAATTCTGAAACAGTTCCAAAAATAGTTTGAAACAAACTGGGCCCTTTGAATGAGTAGCCGGCCTTCTGGAGGAAAGGGATCAAACTCACTCGTGTGCAAAACCTCAGGTGCAATTTGTGTTGTAAACTCTCCTCGGTCACCTCCTAACTAGGATTTTTCGGGTGTGGGAACAAGATGTATGCATTTATTGAACACCTACTGTGGGTTTATGACAATTTTACGCTTTTATTACGAAACCTTGGGATAGGCTGTTATGTTTTCCTCTGGGGAAGGTGAAGACTGTCTGTAATTATGCGCTCAAAAAGCTGTCCATGCCCGGGCGCGGTGTCTCACGCCTGCAATCCCAGCACTTCGGGAGGCCCAGGCTGGAGGATCACTTGAGGTCAGGAGTTCAAGACCAGCCTGGCCAACATGGCGAAACCCCGTCTCTACCAAGAATACAAAAATTAGCCAGGTGTGGTAGTGCACACCTGTAATCCAAGCTACTTGGGAGGCTGAGGCGGGAGAATCGCTTGAACCCTGGAGGCAGAGGTTGCAATGAGCCAAGACTGTGCCACTGCACTCCAGCCTGGGCGACAGAGTGGACCCTGTCTCAAAATAAATAAATAGTAAATAAATAACTGTCCACTAGGGATCTCAAGGCCAGGTTGCCAGTGGTCAGTGGTGGCTATTTTTCATGTCATTGTACTATCTCTTACCATCTGACCAGACTCATCCTTCCATTCCATCCGCCTACCCCCTGTCTCTGAGTCATCAGATGACTAAGCATACCTATGGGTTGGTACTGTTGGCGTGAATGCGGTGATTCAGGTCGTAAGTGGGCCCACCACACAGAAGGCTCCCGAAAAGATCCTCGGGGAAAATGGACAGACATCATTAGTGAAAGAGAAAAGCAAAGTATCCCCAAAGCCTACCCATTAATAGTGGTCTGAACACAGGGCATTGCCGCATTACTCTTCCTGGCTCCCTAATTCCCATGTGTGTGAAGTGTGACTGTAATTACGATGAAAGCTAAATGAATTAAATATGATTTTCTTTTTTTTTTTTTTTTTTTGGAGACGGAGTCTCGCTCTGTTGCCCAGGCTGGATGTGGCGTGATCTCGGCTCACTGTAACCTCTACCTCCCGGGTTCAAGCGATGCTCCTGCCTCAGCCTCCTGAGTAGCTGGAACTATAGGCACCCACCACCACACCCAGCTACTTTTTTTATTTTTAGTAGAGATGGGGTTTCACTATTTTGGCCAGGCTGGTCTCGAAATCCTGACCTCAGGTGATCCACCTGCCTTGGCCTCCCAAAGTGCTGGGATTACAGGCATGAGCCACTGCTCCCAGCCAATTTTCTTTAGTATCTCATCTTTTAGCATGACACCAATGGACAAGTCTAATGGGAATTACAATAACATGGAAATTGGATCTTTCCTACCGTCAGCAAAAATGTCAAGACCACAAAAGACAAAACAAACAAACAAAAAACTATCTAAGCGAATAAAATAGTAGAGGCAAACAGAAATATGAGAACAAAGGCATCTAAAAAAGATGCTTAAGAAAAAAACTTTGGGGAGGCCGAGGCAGGCGGGATCACTTGAGTTTCAGGAGTTCGAGGCCAGCCTGGCCAACATGGTGAAACCCTGTCTCTACTTAAAAAAAAAAAAAAAAAAAAAAAAAAAAACAAAAATTAGCTGGATGTGGTGGCAGGAAACTGTAATCCCAGCTACTCAGGAGACTGAGGCAGGAGAATCACTTGAACCCAGGAGGTGGAGGTTGCAGTGAGCTGAATCTGGTTCAAGCGGTTCTCCTGCCTCACCCTCTTGAGTAGCTGGGACTACAGGTGATTCTCTCACCTCAGCCTCCTGAGGAGCTGGGACTACAGGCATGTAGCACCATACCAGACTGATTTTTGTATTTTTTTGTAGACATGCGGTTTTGTCAGCGTTGCCCAGGCTGTTCTCAAACTCCTGGGCTCAACTGATCCTCCTGCTTCAGCCTCCCAAAGTGCTGAGATTACACGTGTGAGCCACCCTAACCACTGCAAACATCATTTCTTTTTCTTTTTTAATTTTTAACTTTTTTTTGGTTTTTGTTTTTGAGACAGGGTCTCACTCTGTTGCCCAGGCTGGAGTGCAATGGCACAATCTCGGCTCACTGCAACCTCTGCCTCCCGGGTTCAAGTGATTCTCCTGCCTCAGCCTCCCGAGTAGCCAGGATTACAGGCATGTGCCACTGCACCTGGCTTAATTTTGTATTTTTAATAGAGACAGGGTTTTGCCATGTTGGCCAGGCTGGTCTCAAACTCCTGACCTTAGGTGATCATCTCGCCTAGGCCTTCCAAAGTGCTGGGATTACAGGCCTGAGCCATCCTGCCCAGTGCAAACATCATTTCAATATCCCCTTGCATCCTGCAAGGGTTCTCCATCTGGGGACAGATGGTGGGGCAGTAAACCTTCAGAAGTGCGGAGAGACAACGGGTGCTTTCCTCAGGGGCAGGGGAGATGAATTCAACCAAGAACACGACTCTTGAGGAGGAAGGCAACTGCAATGTTGGAAGCACCAACCACAAGTGGCTGTTGAGTATGGTTTCATTCAAGGCTTGAATATTTATTTTTATTGAGCTATATTGATTTAAACGTAAACAGCCACATGTGGCTGGTGGCTATTCTATTGGATAGCACAACTAGAATTGTAATACATGTGCTGTTTGATTCATTCATTGTATTAGTTTGCTAAGGCTGCCATAACAAAGGACCGCAAACTTGGAAGCTTAAACAAGGGACATTGATTCTCCTGGAGGCCTGGAGGCTGGAAGTCTGAGATCAGGGTATGGGCAAGGTTGGTTCCTCCTGAGGCCTCTCTCCTGGGCTTGTAGACGCCATCTTCTCCCTGTGTACACACAGGGTCGTCCCTCTGTGTGTCTGTGTCCTCATCTCCTCTTCTTATGAAGTGTCTTAGTCCATCTCAGGCTGCTATCACAGAATACCATAGACTGGGTGGCTTATAAGCAACAGGCATTGATTCTCCCACAGTCCTGGAGGCTGGAAGTCCGAGATCCAGGTGTGGGCAGGGCTGGTTCCTCCTGAGGCCTCTCTCCTGGGCTTGTAGACACCGTCTTCTCCCTGTGTCCTCACAGGGTCAACCCTCTGTGTGTGTCTGTGTCCTCGTCTCCTCTTCTTATAAGGGCACCAGTCCTGTTGGATCAGGCCCTACCCTAATGACATAATTTTCGCATAATGACCTCTTTGAAGGCCTTATCTTCAAACACCGTCACAAATGAGGGCTAAGGTTTCAACATGGGCATTTCGAAGAGACACAATTTAGCCTGAAACACTCATTTAACAAACCTTTCCTGGCTCTTATGTACCAGCAGTTATAATACTGGACAAACCTGGTTCCTGCTCTGAGTGTAAATTCCCAGCTGGGGAGATGGCAAGGTTATTTGATAATTGTGGTACATTTTGATCCAGGGTATAACAGAAGTCCGGGCCACATGCCGTAAAACAGCTGGCAGACAGATCTCAGAGTCTCTGTGCTACAGGAACATGGAGGAAGAACCCAGGTGGGCTTGGGAGGAGATGTTTAAGGCATCGTGATGCTTGGTGTAGCCCTGAAGGTCAAGATACAGTTATCCAGATAACGCTAAGGTGAAGATTCATTTCAGGTAGAGGAAGCCACAGCACGTGAGATCATGCATGCACACATACATATGTGCGCGTGCGTGCGCGCGCGCGCGCGCGCGCGCACACACACACACACACACACACACACACATACTTCCATGCCCAAAGGCAGCAAATTCTGCAGCCCAATTTGTATTCCAGAGCCTGCTGTTGACCAGGTTGAGATATGTCCTGAGATCAAATCATGCCTCAGTGCCTTTTTTTTTTTTTTTTTTTGGAGACAGATTCTCACTCTGTCACCAGGCTGGAGTGCAGTGGTGCGATCTCAGCTCACTGCCACCTCCGCCTCCCGGGTTCAACGATTCTCCTGCCTTAGCCTCCCGAGTAGCTGGGACTACAGGTGCACACTGCCACGCACGGCTAATTTTTGTATTTTTAGTAGAGATGAGGTTTCACCGTGTTGGCCAGGATGGTCTTGATCTTTTGACCTCCTGATCCAACTGCCTCAGCCTCCCAAAGTGTTGGGATTACAGGCGTGAGCCACCACCACCCCTGGCCGGCTTAGTGCCTTTTTAAACGGGCTTCCCTCCCTCCCTCTGCAAATGCTCTATGTCTTTGAATCCCAACCTCAGTCTCTGTGTCTGGGGAACCCACCTTATGACAACACCTTATCCACACATAAGCTTTGGCAGGTAAGTAACATGATCATCACTCGACAGACATGCTGCCTTAGGCCCAAGTCACCTGGCCAAGGTCCAGCACTCATTGAGCACCATGATTCTCCATGTTGGACCTCTGCCTCAAGGATTCATGAAGAAACAGAGAAAGTAAGGGGCTGATAAATGTTCTTGTGTACTAAAATTGCACATCTGGAAACTGACTCTGAAAGCGGTGCCATACCTAGAACATAATTAGTGCAGGTCAAAAGCAAACCCATCATCCTGCGTGTTGTTCCCTCTGGCGCTTCTTCCTGCTCCCTGGAGCCATGTTGGCATTAAACAAGACAGCATGAGTGGGTATGTTTACACCTCTTGCAGTATTTTGGGGTTTTCCTGGGGCCTCCCAGAATCTCTGTGTGTGAGAGCAAGCCAGGGATGCTTTTGTGAAGGTGGCAACCCCAACTCTAAGGCCAGCCGAAAGAGTACTCTCTGTGCCTCTCAAATTACCCCAGCTTCCTGGCCGTCTGACTCAGCCCTGTTGGGCGTCAGTCTCATGGAAAGACACAGTAATGGGTGGAGACCTACCCATTCTTTTTGTTTGTTTGTTCTTTGTTTTGAGATGGAATCTAGCTCTGTCGCCAGGCTGGAGTGCAGTGGTGCGATCTCAGCTCACTGCAACCTCCGCCTCCCGGGTTCAAGCAATTCTCCTGCCTCAGCCTGCTGAGTAGCTGGGACTACAGGCGCATGCCACCACGCCCAGCTAATTTTTGTATTTTTAGTAGAGACGGCGTTTCACCATGTTGGCCAGGATGGTCTCGAACTCTTGACCTCAAGTGATCCATCCGCCTCGGCCTCCCAAAGTGCTGGGATTACAGACGTGAGCCACCGTGGCCAGCCCCCACCCATTCTTAAAGATAAGATTTATAGAGTTACAGGTGGGGAAGAGACAGACAGGAATTAGATTCCTTGCAAAAGCTGAATTGGATGCGGCTGGTTCCTGGGGCTAGCAAGTGTGATCATCATTATAATTTGTGGAGATCAACCCATTATCTTACCAATAGCAGCGATTCAGGAGGTGGTAGATAGCGTTCCCAGATGAATATTTGAGATACTCAAGTGAAGGAAAGCCCTTTTCAGTAGACTTTGAATTCTTTGAGAAGGTATCAAGGAATTCCCTATACCCCCAAGCTTCGTCCCAAGTGCTCAGAATAAATATCTAGTCACTTCCAAGTTGCTCCAACTGATTTGCCTGGAGCAAGGACAGGTCCCTGGGTCACTGAATCTTCCTTGACCCAGATGTTTGGGTCATCCTAATTGGGAAGAGTCTTTATGCCACTGTGAAAGGTGGAGGGACTGGGGTTCAAAGAGGTGAGAGGTGGAATAGCAGCCTGCCCAGCCCGGTGTCCCTGGAGATCATGGGGCTTTTGGGGGCCTCAGGGGAACACAGCTATGTGGCTACAGCCCCACCTAGTACTCCACTGAGGTACCCGGAGCCCTGTTTCTGTATTTTCCCTGGATGCCCCAGGTTTTCAGGGTCTGGAAGAACTCTACCCGTCAGAAATAAAATATAGGCTGGGCACGGTGTCTCACGCCTGTAACCCCAGCACTTTGGGAGGCCAAGGTGGGTGGATCACTTGAGGTCAGGAGTTCGAGATCAGCCTGGCCAACATGGTGAAACCCCCTACTCTACTTAAAATACAAAAATCAGCCAGGCGTGGTGGTGGGCGCCTGTAATCCCAGCTACTCAAGAGGCTGAGGCAGGAGAATTGCTTGAACCCAGGAGTCAGAGGTTGCAGTGAGCCAAGATGGCACCATTGCACTCCAGCCTGGGTGACAGAGTGAGACTCGGTCTGAAAAAAAAAAAAAAGAAATACAATATGATCCACAAAAGCAATTGAAAACTCTTTGTTAAACACATTAACAAAGGAGTAAAATGAAAATGGTGAAATCAATTTTAATAATATGTGTAATCACTATATTGAAACAGTCTCCTTTTAACGGGTATATATATTTATATTTACATAAATATATGAATTTATATTTCATGTATGTTTTTAAATTTATTAAATTTGTACAAATTTTATTAAAAATATATGCAAATACGGTATTTAATAATAAATATGGTATTTAATGACACTATTTAAATAGTGTCATTTTAACATGTATGTATATTTCTATATTTACATAAATATATAAATTTACAGTTTATGTATATTTTAAAATTAAATATATACAAATTTTATTAAAATATATTTTCATATATTTATTTAATCACTATATCAAATAGTCTCATTTCAACATGTATATATTTATATTTACATAAACAAATTTATAGCTTATGTATATTTTTCAGTTTATTAAATTTGTACAAATTTTATTACAATATATTTATATATAAGATATTTATTTTATCACTATATAAAATAGTCTCATTTCAAAATGTATATTTATATAAATATATAAATTTATATTTTATTTATTTTTTAAATGTAAAATATGTACACATTTTATTAAGATATATTTCTGACCAGGCATGGTGACTTATGCCTGTAATCCCAGCACTTTGGGAGGCCAAGGTGGGTAGATCACCTGAGGTCAGGAGTTCGAGGCCAGCCTGACCAACATGGAGAAACCCCATCTCTACTAAAAATACAATTAGCTGAGCGTGGTGGCGCATGCTTGTAATCCCAGCTACTTGGGAGGCTGAGGCAAGAGAATCGCTTGAACCCAGGAGGCAGAGGTTGCAGTGAGCTGAGATCACGCCACTGCACTCCAGCCTGGGCAACAAGAGTGAAACTCAGTGTCCAAAAAAAAAAAAAGATATATTTCTATATAAACATATATGTATAAATGTCATAAATGAATATATATATTTTATAAGTATATAAAATAATTGTATACATATACACAATTTATTTCAAATTTATATTTTAAAAATATATGTGTGAATGTATTTAGAATTGTATATATAGGTATAATTATTTAGAATTATATATAGTTATTTAGAATATATTTATAATTTTATATATATAGTTATTTAGAATAGATTTAGAATTGTATATATAGTTATTTAGAATAGATTTAGAGTTGTATATATCATTATTTAGAATTATTTAGAATAGATTTAGAGTTGTATATGTAGTTATTTAGAATTATTTAGGATAGTATATGTAGTTATTTAGAATAGATTTAGAATAGTATATATAGCTATTTAGAATATATTAGAATTGTATATATAGTTATGAGTGAGATAGCGCGCATTCTTTTTTCACACCAAGTCTTCAAATCCAGTGTCTATTGTACATTTACAGCACATCTCAATTCAAATGAACTGACATCCTTTGGGTGTTTGTCCCTTCCAAATCTCCTGTTGAAATAGCATCCCCCGTGTTGGAGATGAGGCCTGGTGGGAGGTGTTTCCGTCACAGGAACAGATTCCTCATGAATGACTTGGTGCCATCCTCATGGTAATGTGCGAGTTCTCACAGTATTAGTTCATGCAAGAGCTGATTGTTAAAAAGAGCCTGGCTCCTCCTCCTCTCTCTCTTGCTCCCTCTTTCACCATGTGACGCTCTGGTTCCCCTTGCCTTCCTCCATGAGTAAAAGCTTTCTGAGGCCTCACCAGAAGCTGAGCAGATGCCAACACCATGCTTGCTTCTTATAGAGTTTGCAGAACGGTAAGCCTAATACACCCCTTTTCTTTAATAAGTCACCCAGCCTGGGATATTCCTTTATAGCAATACAAAATGGACGAAGACACCACATCCAAATGCCATTTGTGGCTGGTGCCCCCAATCTGGATAGCACAAGTCTCATTTTGTCTTCCAGCTAACCCTATGCTTTTCTTATGGAATTTCTCTCCCCTGGCCCTGAAGAAAGCATCTCTTCCCTCCCTGGCTCTTCTCTCATCTTCACTCTCAACCATCTGGTAGTTTTCCACATGCGATATTTAGCCAGAACTATCCCTGATGGAGGGGCCTCCCCACACACAGCCCAAGCAAATTCACACAGGACTAAAGTCTGTTTCTTTATTGGGTCATTGTCTTTCTGGGTAGACTGAGAGTCGGTGGGGATTCAGAATTTCTGTCAAGCTCCAGACAGGTCTTCTCAGGCTCCAGCACCCCAGATGCTTGTGTCTTGACTTCCATTTGGTTCTACCATATGCAGAATAAAGGCAATCTATAAATGGAAAAATGCAGCCAGGCGCAGTGGCTTAGGCCTGTAATCCCAGCACTTTGGGAGGCCGAGACAGGCAGATCATGAGGTCAGGAGATCGAGACCAGCCTGGCTAACACGGTGAAACCCCGTCTCTACTAAAAATACAAATAATTAGCCAGGCGTGGTGGCGGGCACCTGTAGTCCCAGCTACTCGGGAGGCTGAGGCAGGAGAATCGCTTGAACCTGGGAGGCAGAGCTTGCAGTGAGCTGAGGTCGAGCTACTGCACTCCAGCCTGGGCGACAGAGCGAGACTCCATCTCAAAAAAAAAGGAAAAATGCTAGTTATGCAGGTACTTGTTAGGGTCTCCTGCCCACCCCCCAACCCCGCACCCTTTGTAATCTAAACTCTTCTGTTTACTGGACTTCACTACTTTCCTCCTGATGTCCTCTTTCTGTCCCAGGATCTCCTCCAGAACCCACATTACATTGAGTCATGCCTCCTCTTGGCTGTGACAGTTTCTGAGACTTGCCTTGTTTTTCATGACCTCGAAGCAAGGTCTTGTACATGACTCTTGTATGGGTTTATTTATTAAAAAGATATTTATTTGGCTCACAGTTCTGCAGACTGTTCAAGAGTCAAATACAAGACCTTACTTCAAGGTCATCCAAAGCAAGGCCTGCAGACCATACAAGGGCCCCTTGCCACAAATGGCACTTGGATGTGGCTTGTGTATTAGTCCATTTTGTATTGCTATAGAGGAGTAACTGAGCTGAGTGATTTATAAAGAAAAGAGGTTTATTTGGCTCACGGTGCTGCAGACTATACGAGAAACACTGTCTTGAGGACAACGGGTCAGGTATTTTGTCAAGCTGTCCCTCTGTTGGGATTTGTCTGCAACTTTTCTCATGGTGAGACTAGGGTGGTTGGCTTTGGAGAGGATGACGGCAGCGATGAAGAGTCATTCTTATTACATCATATCAAGGTACATACTGTCAGCCTGACCTACCATTGTTGACTTTGGCCTTGATCACGTCTGAGGTGGTGTTTGTCAGATTTCTCCACTGAAAAGTTATTGATCTCCTGACCATGCTCTTTGAAAGGAAGTCTCTACATGCAACCCACACTTAAAGGAGTGGGGAGTTATGTTTCATCTTCTTGAGAATAAAATATCTACATCAATTACTTGGATGGGACTCTTCTGCACAGGGGATTTGTATCTCCTCCTTCATTTATGTTTTTATTCAATAATTGATTGCTTTGGGTTGCCATCTAATATTATTTTATTTTATTGCCCAAATTGTTTCAGCTTTGAGCACCAGGAGCTCTTTCATGTTGGCTTTTGCTTATCTTTCACGCACCCCCATTTTTTTGTGTATTTGAGCATTTTCTTATTTTCTTGTACTACAAGATGGTCCAGGCCTATCTGTATCACCCAAGCTCCGTTCTTAGAATTAACCATTATTCCAGAGAGCCCTGGTTCTTTTTTTTGAACATGATACTAGGAACCAAAGTGCTGGGTGAAATGACTTCTCAGTAGCATTAAAGAGATGTACTGGCTGGATGCCGTGGCTCATGCCTGTCAGCACAGCACTTCGGGAGGCTGAGGTGGAAGGATTACTTGAGTGCAAGAGTTCAAGACCAGCCTGGGAAACTTAATGAGACAAAAAAAAAAAAAATTAAAAATTATCTGCTTGGTGGCACACACTTGTAGCGTTAACCACTCAGGAGACTGAGATAAAAGAATTGCTTAAGCCCAGGCGTTTAAGATGACAGTCAGCTATGGTTGCGCCAGTGTGCTCCAGCCTAAGCAACAGAGCCAGGCCCCATCTCTAAAAAAGATTAAAAAGTGCAAGGGTTTGAGATTACAGTCAGCTGTGATTGCACCTCTGCACTCCAGCTTGGGTAACAGAGCCAGACCCCGTCTCTAAAGAGAGCAGGAGGCGGCGGTGGGGGGTAACCCTTCATCAGATTACCATTGATTTTTTTTTTCTTACTCTTTTTTTTCCTTCTCTTTGCATCTGCTTAGGGCCCCTAAAGTGATGGAGTGGCTGTGGAGTCTTCAGTTTGCCTGCATGCCAGGTGCAAGCCAAGGAGTTGTAAGAGCATCCCCCTCATAAGCTACCAGTAGGCCAGGACTCCAGTGTGGAGGGATGGATCTCTGAAGGTCACAGCTTGGCCCTTCTCTGAAGAACGTCCACCAGCATGTCAGCCCAGCTGCACTGCAGGAGTGAAGGGTGAGATGACTGTCAATAAGGATAAAGGCCATCTTCCCCACCCGTCACTCATCCTGCCAAGCCATCACTGGGTAACCAGGACTCATGGGCAGTGTCACCTCTGGGGCCATGCTGGCATCTGTAACCTCCATCCATCCTTGTGGTCCCATCCAGCCATCTCTGCCCCCTTGCCTGGCCCATTCTGTTGTGAAGTTTTCGTCCACCTTGCTCTTGTGCAGAGTCGGAATTCACAGGGGTTCCAATGCCCAAGGGAAGCCCATTGGAACTGTTTACTCTTATTACTGGCTAGAGACGTCCACAGGACAAATCAGCTTCAGATTATACCATCGTTAGAGTAGGTGCAACTGGGGGGCTTGCCCTACTTAACTCTCCAATGCAATCCATGCTGCCAGCTTCATACAGACTCCATCCAGTGCAAATGGCTTCCTTCTGTGTGCAGAGCAAATGCTCCAGGGAAGAGATACAGAGGATTCCCCATCATCATTGTTGCCAAGTGACCCCAAATATTCCTATCCTGTCTGTTGTAAAAAGGAAAAATCATGTCTTGGAAGAACAGCATCGCCCTACAGATACAGACTAGGCACTTTGCACATGAAACAAGAGTCCCAGAAATTTCTAGAAGCAAATCTCGCATTCGTGACCGCCAGACCTACGGGATGTGTAAGGCACATTCTCAATCTCATCACTTGTGAGAGTTGCATTGCCTAGTCCAGCAGCCGTGAAGGACTCTCTGCTGTTTTTCCTCTGCTTCATTTGACACATGAGAGAGAAGAGATGAAGATGGAGGCGGGCCCTGCCCCGGGGACATGTATATCTCTCTGAATGTCCTTGACAGACAGCAGCAGCCCAGCAATGCCCAGCCCCCATCCTGTCTGTATGCACCCTGGTGAGCATTTTCTACAGTCTCCTAAACGCTCCCATTATTCTGTTTTGCAGGTGTGATGTGTGGCACCTCAGTGTTGTCATAGCTTCTGCCTCCTCCGTGTGGAGAGAGGGCATAAAGACAGAGCTGAGATATTATGGCTATTCCAGAAAATAAAATATTTTTTGAAACCACATGGCTCAGGTGCACCTCTTTGTGTCATTGTGAAAACAGAACCCTAGCCTGTATACCGTTAGCTTGGTAGCACTTGGATAACAGACAGAGTATTCACTGGCCCTGCAGAGGAGCATGGGTGGAAACGAATTTATCGGCTGATGTTGGCACAGTTTGCTGTTGGTGCATTACTATTATTATTACTATTATTATTATTGTTAGACGGAGTCTCACTCTGTCGTCCAGGCTGGAGTACAGTGGCACGATCTCCGCTCACCACAACCTCCGCCTCCCGGGTTCAAGCAATTCTCCTGCCTCAGCCTCCCAAGTAGCTGGGATTACAGGTGCCCACCACCACGCCTGGCTAATTTTTTGTATTTTTAGTAGAGATAGGGTTTCACCATGTTGGTCAGGCTGGTCTCGAACTCCTGACCTCAGCTGATCTGCCTGCCTCGGCCTCCCAAAGTGCTGGGATGACAGGAGTGAGCCACCGCGCCCGGCCTCTCGGTGCATTCTATAGAATGAGATGCCTCTCACGTGGTCTCCTTAGCTGTGGGAAGGGATGCTTTCTATTAAAACAACAACAACAAAAAGCGGCTGGCAAAGCTCGCATGATGATTTTAACAATTGAGCTATTCTATAGTCATTTTCCTAAAGGAGGTCTGGGTTCTCTGTGTCTCGGAAAAACTCAGGAAGGCTCCTCACCCTCTGCACAGGGGAACACAGCACTCCACCCTCGCTGGTCTCAGCTTTCACTGGGCAGGCGCTCGACGTGCCAGTCAGACCACTAGGCAGAAAAAACTGCTGTAAGATTCACACAAGTACCTCACCGACCCCAGAACAGGGTCAAAAGCTAAGAAACAAAGTTTGAAAAGGCATATTTCATAAGTACAATTTTAATTGTATTTATGATTTAAAAAGAACATGTTTTTCTTTTTCTTTTTTTTTTTGAGTCAGAGTCTCGCTCTGTCGCCCAGGCTGGAGTGCAGTGGCGCGATCTCGGCTCACTGCAACCTCCACCTCCTTGGGTTCAGGTGATTCTCTTGCCTCAGCCTCCTGAGTAGCTGGGATTACAGGCTTACGCCACCATACCTGTCTAATTTTGTATTTTTTTTTTTTTTAGTAGAGACGGGGTTTCAGCATGTTGGCCAGGTTGGTCTCGAACTCCTGACCTCAGGTAATCTGCCCACCTCGGCCTCCCGAAGTGCTGGGATGACAGGCGTGAGCCACCGCATCCCATCAACTCATGTCTTAATACACGTATTTTATTATTAGCCCCAAGAAGGAAAATGTGGCAGACACATGGCTAAGGGTTAGTTTTCATATCTACATGGCTAACAAGATGGCTGGGTGTTTGAGGGAGCTGTGAGGAGGGTACATTCCTCTGGGAAGGGACCTTTATAATCTTGGGGTGACAGATGGCATAAGATAATTTTTGTTCATCTAAGAGAATGTGGGAAGATCATCAAGAAATGGCTGAGACTCGGTGCAGTGGCTCATGCCTATAATACCAACACTTTGGGAGGCCATGGAGGGAGGATTCTTCGAGCCCAGGAATTCAAGACCAGCCTGGGCAACATAGTGAAACCCCATCTCTACCAAAAATTTAAAAAATTGCCCAGCGCAGTGGCTCATGCCTGTCATCCCAGCAGTTTGGGAGGCCTAGGCGGGTGGATTGCCTGAGGTCAGGAGTTCAAGACCAGCCTGGCCAACATGGAGAAACCCCATCTCTACTAAAAATATAAAAATTTGCCAGGTGTGGTGGCAGACGTCTGTAATCCCAGCTACTCAGGAGGCTGAGGCAGGAGAATCGCTTGAACTGGGGAGGCGGAGGTTGCAGTGAGCTGAGATCACGCCACTGCACTCCAACCTGGGCAACAGAGCGAGACTGCATCTCAAAAAAAAAAAAAAAAATTAAAAAAATTAGCCAGGCATGGTGGTGTGCACCTGTAGTCCCAGTAACGCAGGAGGCCAAGGTGGGAGGATTACTTTAGCCTGGGAGGTCAAGGCTGCAGTGAACTATGATTGCAACACACACTGCACTGCAGCCTGGGTGACAAAATTTTAAAAAAAGGAAATAAAAGTGGCGGGCTTGGTGGTAGTATGGGGGCCCAAGCATTGGTGGGGAGAGCACTAGAGGAAGGCAGAGCTTCCCGACGGGTTGACGGAGCATTGTCATAAGACACAGGCAGACTCATGGGTGCGTACCCTACATTCAACATTGTGTACAGACTTGATCTCTCTACTGCTTGTCCTTAGGTATAAAAGAAGGGGAGAAGCCCCTCTTAATGGAAGGAGTCAGGGTCCCCCCAGTACGAAGGTCTGGACAAAGAACATAGTCTGGATCTAGAATCAGGTTGCTTTGGCTTAAAGCCCAGTTTGGGCATACAATTGTAACACAACCTGAGCCAATTCCTTAACCTTTGCCTACCTAAGGTGCCCCAGTTTGAAAAACAATGATAACGATAATATAATGCCTACCACAACACAGTATTTCTACATGCATATCACACAGAAATATGTTAATACGGACCGGGCGCGGTGGCTCACACTTGTAATCCCAGAACTTTCGGAGGCTGAGGCGGGCAGATCACTTGAGATCAGGGGTTTGAGACCAGCGTGGCCAACATGGTGAAACCTCATCTCTACTAAAAATACGACAACAACAAAAAATGTAGCCAGGCATGGTGGCACACGCCTGTAATCCCAGCTACTTGGGAGGCTGAGGCAGGAGAATCTCTTGAACCCGGGAGGCAGAGGTTTCAGTGAGCCGAGGTCGTGCCATTGCACTCCAGCCTGGGCAACAGATTGAGACTCTGTCTTAAAAATAATAATAATAATAAAGAAATATATTAATACATGCAGAATTTGTTTAAAATTTTCTAGCACAGTATAAGCCCAGGATACTCACAGCCATTACTGTTACCATTATTCTGAATATTTTAAATTCACCAAAGAACAAAATGAGAAAAAGTAGATGTGTGTGAACTTAAGTGTGAATCGTGTTGAATTAAGTGGGCAGGATTCTGTAATTAAGCCACAGCTGCAACTTCATCCTTGAATACTAGCTAACAAGATAAGAATTGACACTCCTCTTTAAAAAGTTTATTTTCTTTTTTGAAAAGGGCCTTGAACTTTCTCTAAAACTCTGAATGGCAAAGGTATTTCCTTTTCATTAAAAAGATTCTGTTGAAGATTGAAGTTGTGTTTTTGGCAGCAGCTGTGAAAAGATGGTGTGATGGTTAATACTGAGTGTCAACTTGATTAGATTGAACGATGCAAAGTATTGATCCTGAGTGTGTCTGTGAGGGTGTTGCCAAGGGAGATTAACATTTGAGTCCGTGGGCTGGGAAAGGCAAACCCCGCACCCCGCTTCATCAGCGTGTGCACCATCTCATCAGCAACCAATTTGGCTAGAATATAAGCAGGCAGAAAAATGTGCAGAGAGACTGGCCTAGCCTCCCAGACTGCATCTTTCTCCCGTGCTGGATGCTTCCTGCCCTTGAACATTGGACTCCAGGTTCTTCAGTTATCAGACTGGCTTCCTTGCTGCTCAGCCTGCAGACAGCTTATTGTGTGACCTTGTAATCGTGTGAGTTAATATATAATAAACTCCCCTTTATGTATGTATATATATATATATATAGAGAGAGAGAGAGAGAGAATATATACATATATTCTGTACAGACGGGAAGACAGGTGTATTTGAGATTGACCTGAAAACTCCGAATATGAATGAAAACCGGGCACATTTAAAAAGAAAAGTCATGCATGGGTTATCAGGGGTTTGCTGAAACCCCTATCGTGTCTATGAGCAGCTCTGATGAGACACACTGATTTGGGTATCTCAGATGTACTAAGTATACTGGCTACAGTGGACTCAGCACCCTTCCTATAATTTGCAGATATGATCATAGCAAAAAGAAATTGTTAATGTAATTATTGTTAATAGCTGTTTCATGCCCTATTGGGAGTTTGGAGAAAATGTTTAAAATTAAGTATTTTTGGATAATACTTTTATTTATTTATTTATTTATTTATTTATTATTTTGAGACAAGGTCAGACTCTGTCACCCACGCTGGAATGACATCATAGCTCACTTCATTGTTGACCTCCTGGGCTCAAGCAATCCTCCCACGTCAGCCTCCTGAGTAGCTGGGACTACAGGCACATACCTCCGTGACTGGCTAATTTTTTAAAGATATTTTGAGAGATGGGGTCTTGCTATGTTGCCCAAGCTGGTTTCAAACTTCGGGGCTCAAGTGATCCTCCCACCTCAGCCTCCCAAAGTGCTGGGATTGCAGGTGTAAGCCACCGCACCCAGCTGAGAAAACTTAGAGTGTTGTGAAAAAATAGAAGGGCACCATGGGAACGTGCGCCCTGCTTACTCTGGAAATGAGGAAGTAGAGAGCTCCATTTCCTACCGTCAATTCTAAGAGAGTAAAACAAGGCATCGATCTGGCATAAGCGCTTTCACAGAGCACAGTGTCTGTGGCAACATCATGTTGTAACATGATGTTAAATACAAATGTGTCATTGCAGGCCAGTCATGGTGGCTCACACCTGTCATCCTAGCACTTTGGGAGGCTGAGGCAGGCAGATCACCTGAGGTCAGGGGTTTGAGACCATCCTGGCCAACATGGTGAAACCCCGTCTCTACTAAAAATACAAAAATTAGCAGGGCATGGTGGCAGGTGCCTGTAATCCCAGCTACTCGGGAGGCTGAGGCAAGAGAATCGCTTGAACCCAGGAGGCAGAGGCTGCAGTGAGCCGAGATGGTGCCACTGCACTGCAGCCTGGGTGACAGAGTGAGACTTGTCTCAAAAAAAAAAAAAAAGTATATATATATATATACACATACACACACAAACAAACACACACACACATATAGTGATTGCCACAGTGTAAGAGTCAGTGTTCCCAGGATAAATATAATTTCATTTAATCATCAGCAAGCCTGTGAACCTGCTTGGTAATAACCCCTACCCCTATTCTCACTTGCATTTGGATTTGTTTCATTCATTGGCTGAATGGAGACAGCTTATTTTTCTTCCTGCGTGTTATACAGGGTTATTCATCTTCCACATTGTGGTTGACACCCCTGTGTTTTTATGACATGTCTTATTCCAGATAACTTTGGACTCCTGTTTCTTTTATTGGAAGAGATGTAAATTCAAAAGTAAGGTCACTTACTTTTAAGCGATACACAAATGGACAGGGTTTGCGGTCGGGAAATGACTGACCTCATTTTTTTGAGCCACGGAAGAGGACTGTCCTGAAGCACATTTGAAGAGGCACATTTAATGATCACTCTCTGAATTGTAGTAGCATCCCTTTAGCTCTCCCTACGCCACTGAGACCCAGATTTTCTCACGTCATTCTCGCAGCCATCCTGTCCTCTGCTTTAAAGATGTGACGGGGAGCAGAGAAGTTGAGTTACATGAACAAGGTAACACAGCTGGTCCCTGAGGCTGCTGAGAACAGCACACCTGCTTAGAACTACTGTATGAGACCACCCATTTTGCACCCCCTGGGACCACCAATCGACATGAAAGGTGGAGAGGAGTTGGCATTAAGCCATGAAGTTGAGAATCTTCCATCTGTCCATCCAACCATCTATGCGATTATTTATCTATCCATACATATATTCATCTATTTTTCCATCTGTAATCCATCCAACCAAGTATCTATCCAACTATCTATGCATCCATTCACCCATGCAGTCTGTCCATCTATCATCCCTTTATCTCTCCATATAACCATCTATCCAACTATCTATCCGCCCATTCGTCCAATCAACTATCCAACTATTTATCTGCCCATCATCCATCTACCCATTTATCAGCCCATCCATCATCCATATATCCATCCATTCATCTCTCCCTATAACCATCTATTCAACTATCTATCCATCCATTCATTCAATCAACTAACCAATTATGTATCTACCCATTCATCCATCCACCCATCCATCTGTCCATCCATCATCCATATATACATCCATCCATCTCTCTATATAACATCTATCTGACTATCTATCCATCCATTCATCCAATCAACTATCCAACTACCTAGCTACCCACTTATCCATTTACCCATCTATCTGTCCATCCATTAATCCACCTAATAATTCATCCATCTATGCACCCAACTTTCTATCCAGTTATCCATTCATCCACTTACCCCGCCCATCCATCCATCTATTTGTCTATCTACCTATTACTTTCTGAGACCAAATGTTGGGACCCATATATATGCAGGCCTACTCCAATATCTGGCACAGTCTAGGTCATTAATATTCATTAAATGAATGCAAGCACCCATGAATGAATGAATTGACTTTGTCTGGATCATCCTAGAGAATCTTTGCAGGGATATTCCATTCTTGCCATGGAATAAATTCAAGGAAAGAGAACAATTGGTTGGAGGAAGCCTGAGTTCCCCATTTCATTGGGAGAATTGCATTCCCCTGGAGACAGAGCCAAACTCATGATGCAAAAAGATCATAAAACACATTCTGTGAAATCTACATGAACCTCTTTACAGTTTCCTCTGCTTAACTATTCGTTCCAGCCAGAGGGGAAAAAAACAATTAGATTCCAAAGAGTTTTCATGACTTTATATATTAAACGTTGGCCATGTGTAATTGCAAAATGGATGCAAAAGCTATGGTTCATAAATAACACTAAAAAGAGGCACTGTATTCTCCTGATGGTTCAGGAAATTGGAAACGACAGGTTGCAATACTGAGTATTACTCACTGTTTAATCTCAGTCTAGTTTCCAACAATTGCAACACACTCTACACCAGAAATTTGGAAAATAAAGGAATAATGTTTATACTGTAGTGTTGACAAATGTTTGGATGGGTCTGGAGTACTTTATATGCTAACTATTGCTCATTACATGGTCCCTGGAAGATCTCATGTAATTTTTTAAAGAAATAAAATAGATCTTAATATTAATATCTTTGATTTTAGAATGTCCACCTTAATGCATTTTTTGCCAGTGCCAGTAAGTTTAAATAGCCAATTACCCTGGGTGAAATTAATCATTTCATACCACTGAGACAGAAGGATGTTGAAAAGATGGTAAAGGGTGACATTTTAGCATCTAGATGCTAGATAATTTCAGCATCACTTATTATCATCAGCAAGCACTGACCTTCAGACTTTTCTTTTTAAACCTGAGCCCCCAAGCCCTCTGGGCAAATGCACTTTTCTCAACAAAGAATGGAGCTACCCTCTCTTATCCTCCAGAGAAGTGCATGGGGAGCTCCCACACACCAACTTTGTCTCTACGAACAACGAGTTCTAAAGGCATCAACTTAGCAAGACTCCCTTTTTTGTTTCTTTCTTGGTTTTGGAAATGGTCCCTCTGTGTAGCCCAGGCTGGAGTGTAGTGGCACAATCGCAGCTCACTGCGGACTCAACCTGCTGGGCTCCAGCGATGCTTTCATCTCAGCCACCAAGCCTGGGGGCTCAGCAAAGTTTTCTTTTCTTTTCTTCTTTTTTTCTTTTCTTTTCTTTCTTTCTTTTCTTTCTTCCTTTCTTTTTTTTTCTCTCTCTCTCTCCTTCCTTTCCTTCCTTCCTTCTTTCTCTCTCTCTTTCTTTCTCTCTTTCTCTCTTCCTTTCTTTCTTTTTTTGAGACAGGGTTTTGCCATGTTGTCCAGGCTGGTCTTTAACTCCTGGGCTCAAGCAATCCTCCTGTCTCAGCCTCCCATAGTGTTGGGATTACAGGCATGAGCCACCGTGCCCAGCCAAGACTCCTTTGTCCCTGGGCGACAAGAGCCATTTCTGCTTCAGGGACCAACCTCACATCAGCAGTAGAGGAAGATGCTACCACAGAACATGAATCCAGCCAGGTAGCCATCATTTTAGTTGTTTCTACTAGTACTGATGCATTTGAGTTGATCCATCTGGGGCATTTACTTTGTTTTTCTTGTGATAAATTGCCTGGACCCATGCAATTCCTGCTAAGGGTCAAGAAAGTGGCCATCCCAAGTTCCATGCCTACCTACTGAGTTTAAGCCAACCCAGGGACCCCTAGGTTGCACTCTGCTACCATTTCTAGCCCAGGTCGTTTTCTGTAGTGAGTTTATGCAGGGCATCACCTATATACATAAACCTATATACACCTGTGTTGTAAAACCTCAAGACACAATATATGGTCCATGGATGAGCAGTATCACCATTGCCCAGGACTTAGACACATAGAATGTGAAGCCCCACCCAGATCCACTGAAACAGAATCTGCCTTGTAGCAGAACCCCAAGAAATTCACACACATGATAGACTAGGAATCACCATGTACCTGAGAGGACAAAACAAAATTAGGTAAAAGCATGCTGCTTTCCTGTGAAGATATCCATGCAGACTTTTTAAGGACAACCAAAACCCATCATTATCTTCTCTGCCCAAGACCACTTTGGGAATTTTGGAGAAGAAAGAATAAAGGCAGAAATGAGGATACAGAAAGCATGTCACTTGAAGATCAAGAAGTCAAGCTTGGATGCCAATGGTAAAGTGGTAAGCCTACTGGTTTTGATCTTGGGCATGGAATGAGTTTGCCAGACCTCAACTCTGAAGACGGCTCTAGAAGGACCTAGACTTGCTACAGAAGGAGTATTCCAAGTAGAATGAGAAGTTTGGGTAATGTATGCCACAAGACATTGGTCATTTGCAGAGTGGAGATAATCATTAAGTACTTGGCTCTCAACTACCCTTGATTATCCCAACTAGTCAGGAACTCAGCTACCAGTGATATGGAAATTTCCAACCCTAACCCCAATGGCAGCTGCATGTTTAAATCCAGTAGACAGGTGTTGTAAACGCTTTCCCTCACCAAGTACAACCTGAGTCTTCCATCCTAGACTGAATGCATTACCTAATCTGCAATACTTTGTATTCGTAATTACGTTTATGCCTGACACAGGAGTAGGTAAGATCAGAGGCTTGATTTTGTGGCTGGAATGTAAATTAAGTAGTCATTGAGCCTGTTGGAGAAAAAAACATCTAATTTGGAAGTAATGAGTGTGATGAATGAACACAGCTGTAGAGAGTCGATTCTAGGTGAGTATGGGGTTGGCTTGGTTACTTTGCTATGGAGCCTTGGAAGTTCTGTTTTTTTGGCTTGCAGATTTATAGAAGTTCTAGTCTAAGATGCAATGTGGGAAATATAATTTCATGTCATGACTGACATTGGCCTCCCATGAGTTAGAGAAACGTGTGTTTAAAGGGATAATCTGATTTTGGAAAATAATATTCAAATGCCATCATGTTTTCATGTTGATCCCTCTCCACACTGGCTCAGCGGTCTCTTAGTAAAAACAATTTCCTGCCGAGCACAGTGGCTGACGACTGTAATCCCAGCACTTTGGGAGGCTTAGGTGGGCGGATCACCTGAGGTTGGGAGTTCGAGATCAGACTGGCCAACATGGAGAAACCCCATCTCTACTAAAAATACAAAAATTAGCCGGGTATGGTGGTGCATGCCTGTAATCCCAGCTACTCAGGAGGCTGAGGCAGGAGAGTCACTTGAACCCTGGAGGTGGGGGCTGTGGTGAGCCAAGATCGCGCCATTGCACTCCAGCCTGGGTGACAAGAGCGAAACTCCATCTAAAAAAAAAAAAATCAATTTCCTGCTGATATTAATGATGTTAAGCCATTAAAATACATGTAAAGGTGAAAGACTGGTAACTGTGATTTGAAAATGGAAAGACATTGACAGCTAGACAGATCAAAATAAAGGCTTTGCTTCAGAGAGCCAGAAGAGAAAGTTTTCTGACCCTTATCTTAATTTTGTCAAATCAGATATGTCTGGCTCATGGTTCCATAGCTTAAGGATGTTATGAAGCCATTTTGAGTGGCTGACTGTATTAGCCTGTTCCCGTTACTTGAATACCATAGATCTGATGTAGGATGGATTACCCCTACAATACAGATGTAGGACCCAAGGACCTAGAGGCAAGGTCCATTGTCCAGTGTAATGAGCTAACCAATGGTAGTTCTGGGACCACATACTTATGTCCCCTCACCCTAAACCCAATACTCTTTCCTCTTCTGGTAGAAAAAGTGATGGCCCCAGTGATGTCCATGTCCTCATCCGCATGTGGTAGACAACATAATGGCTCCAGAGATGTCAACATCCTAATCCTAATGTGGTAGACAGAATAATGACCCCCAAAATGTCCATGTCCTAATCTCCATGTAGTAGACAGGTGATGGCCCCAAAGATGTCCACGTCCTAATCCCCATGTGGTAGACAGAATAATGTCCCCCAAAGATGTCCACATTCTAATCCCCATGTGGTAGAAAGAATAATGTCCCCCAAAGAGGTCCACATTCTAATCCCCATGTGGTAGACAGAATAATGACACCCAAAGAGGTCCATGTCCTAATCCCCATGTGGGAGACAGAATAATGACCCCCAAAGATGTCCATGTCCTAATCCCCATGTGGGAGACAGAATAATGGCCCCAAAGATGTCCACATCCTAATCTCCATGTGATAGACAGAATAATGGCCCCAATGACGCCCACATCCTAATCCCTGAAATCTGTGAATATGTGACCTTATATGGCAAAAGTGACTTTGCAAAAGTGATTAAGGATTTTAAGATGAGAGGATTATCCTGGATCATAATGAGGGTATCTCAATGTCATCACAAGCACCCTTATACCGGAAAGAGGACGCACGAGGGTCAGAGTCAGACAAGGAGATGTGGGGATAGAAACAGAGGTCTGAGAGGAGGGAAATGTGCTGATGTCTTTAAGGTAGAGGAAGGGGCTACAAGCCAAGGCATGGCAAAACAGCCTCTACAAGCTTCAAAAGGAAAGGGAGTAGGTTCTGCTCTGGAGACTCCAGAAGGAATCAGCTCTGACAACAACTGGGTGTTAGCCCAGCAATACTAATTTCAGGCTTCTGAACTCCAGAATCAGAAGACACTACATTTCTGTTCTTTTAAAGCCACAAAATTGGTGGTGATTTGTTATGGCAACCGGAGAAGACAAAAATGCACATCTTTTACAAAATGACAGTGATGTGGTTTGGCTGTGTCCCCACCCAAATCTTAACTTGAATTCTATCTCCCAGAATTCCCACATGTTGTGGGAGGGACCCAGGGGCAGTAATTGAATCATGGGGGAATGGTCTTTCCCATGCTATTCTTGTGATAGTGAATACGCCTCACAAGATCTGATGGGTTTATCAGGGGTTTCGGCTTTTGCTTCTTCCTCACTTTTCTCTTGCCCCCGCCATGTAAGAAGTGCCTTTTGCCTCCCGCCATGATTCTGAGGCCTCCCCAGCCATGTGGAACTGTAAGTCCAATTAAACCTCTTTTTCTTCCCAGTCTCGAGTATGTCTTTATCAGCAGCATAAATACAGACTAATACAGGCAGTGTCAGAGGGTGTTTGAACCATAGCAACTCCATCTTGAATAGGGGCTGGGTAAAACAAGGCTGAGACCTACTGGGCTGTATTCTTGGGAGGTTAGGCATTCTAAGACACAGGATGAGATAGGAAGGCAACACAAGCTACAGGTCACAAAGACCTAGCTGATAAAACAGGTTGGAGTAAAGAAGCTGGCCAAACCCCACCAAAACCAAGATGGTGATGAGAGTGACCTCTGGTCATCCTCACTGCTACACTCCCACCAAGCACCACGACAGTTTACTAATGCCATGGCAACATCAGGAAATTACCCTCTATGGTCTAAAAACAGGAGGCATGAATAATTCACCTCTCGTTTAGCATATCATCAAGAAACAACCATAACAATGGCCCACCAGCAGCCTTCAGGGCTGCTCTGCATGTGGACTAGCCATTCTTTTATTCCTCTACTTTCTTTTCTTTGTTTGTTTTGAGACGGAGTCTCACTCTGTCACCAGGCTGGAGTGCAGTGGCCAGATCTCGGCTCACTGCAACCTCCGCCTCCAGGTTCAAGTGATTCTCCTGCCTCAGCTTCCCGAGTAGCTGGGATTACAGGTGCGCACCACCACGCCCAGCTACTTTTTGTATTTTTAGTAGAGACGGGGTTTCGCCATGTTGGCCAGGATGGTCTCTGTCTCTTGACCTCGTGATCTGCCCGCCTCAGCCTCCCAAAGTGCTGGGATTACCGGCGTGAGCCATCACACCAGCCAGTTTTTATCTCTTTAAGTGTCTTTATTTCCCCAGCATTTCTTAGGTCTGGCATCTCTGGAAACCTCAATGGCAGATTCTGAACTCATTCATAAAGAACCAGGACTTTGTCAACTTCCTGGAAAACACTGATGGTTTTCCTCAGTTACTTTATAATTAGGCATAAGCAGGTGTGCCACTCTTCCCTGTTAACTGGAACTGCACCTATGTCCTGACAAGTAAAATGATTCGAAAACTAATAATTGGAGTTTTGCCTTGGCTGAAGTCTAAAATCCTCAGAGTGTGCAGTCAGTTCTCAAATTTGTGCAGGTGTGGTGGCTCACACCTGTAATCCCAGCACTTTGGGAGGCCGAGGCGGGAGGATCACTTGAGGTCAGGAGTTTGAGACCATTCTGGCCAACATGGCGAAGCCTCATCCCTATTAAAAATACAAAAATTAGCCAGGAGTGTTGGTGGGCACCTGTAATCCCAGCTACTTGGGAGGCTGAGGCAGGAGAATTGCTTGAACCCAGGAGACGGAGGTTCCAGTGAGCCCAGATCGTGCCACAGCACTCCAGCTTGGGTGACAGAGCGAGACGCCATCTCAAAAAACAAAACAAAACAACTCAAAAAAAAGAAACGCACTTGTTGAGAAAACATGACAAACTCAGATAACACAGCACTTAGCATGTGAAAATTTTCACCCACACGTGCATGAAACATAAATCTTGTGTTTCCATGGAGGGTGCATGGCACATTTATACTGCACCATTCAACTTCCTTTGAAAAGGCATCCGACTCTTGTCCAAAGTTGTTGTAACTAGTAAATTTTATCTGACTGGGATTATTGAACAAATGCTTCAGTGACTTTCGGACTTTTAAGGTTCTAGTCCCTGGAATCCCATGTGATTGAAATGTTAATAACTGACTTTAGCAAAAACAGTTCTGTGGTTAAAGAATTTTGGGCACGCGGACCACAGTACCCACAGTATCTCTCCTGGGAGATTTAATTGCCCTTCAGCAAACAAAAGACTGAGAAATCTTGCTGAAAAGAACCGCTCAACTCTGAGAAGCTCAGTCTTTTCCACATTTTTTCCCCCTGAATTTAGAGCCTCTTTTTTTCCCCAGGCACTTTTATTAGCATTCCAAGACATTTGTGTTGGAAAGAATTGCCCAATATAGTTCAGAAAATATTTAGCTACACAATAGAGAGAAAGAAACATCTGGCAGTTCCCATGGAGGGATGTGTTGCGGAAGGCACTGTTGATGGTGGTGGTGAACGTGAGTGTTTTCTTCTAGGTTTCATCTTGGGTCATGCAGCTGACCCCATCTATAATTGCAGCTCGTGCTAAAAACACTCCTAGGCTGAGTGCTCCATACACTTGCATTTATTTATTTTTATTTTTTAAAGACAGAGTTCTGCTCTGTCACCCAGGCTAGAGTGCAGTGGTGCAATCACAGCTCACTGCAGCCTTGACCTGCTGGTCTCAAGCAATCCTCCTACCTCAGCCTCCCCAGTAGCTGGGAATACAGGTGCATCCTACCACATCCAGCTAATTTTTTTTTTTTCTTTTGTAGAGATGGGATCTCACCATGTTGCCCAGGCTGGTCTCCAACTCCTGGTCTCAAGGGATCCTAAACCTTGGCCTCCGAAAATGCTAGGATTACAGGTGGGAGCCACTGTGCCCGGCCGTACTTGTACTTTTATTTACAAAAGCCACATGAGACAGCTGTCAAGTAAATATGTTAAAATAGCTCATGGAACATGGTTTTTGTAACTTCCTGAAAGTTCTACACATTTCTAAAATATTTAAGCAAGTGATACTGGGCCAGGCTCGGTGGCTCACACCTGTAATCCCAGTACTTTGGGAGGCGGAGGGGGGCGGATCACCTGAGCTGAGGAGTTTGAGACCAGCCTGACCAACATGGTGAAACCCCATCTCTACTAAAATGCAAAAGTTAGCCAGACATGGTGGCAGGCGCCTGTAATCCCAGCTACTCAGGAGGCTAAGGCAGGAGAATCACTTCAACCCAGGAGGCGGAGGTTGCAGTGAGCTGACATGGTGCCAGTGCACTCCAGACTGGGGGACAGAGCCAGACTCCATCTGAAAAAAGAAAAAGAAAAAAAAAGTGATGCCGAAACATCTTTCTCTTTTTAAAGCATGATATTTACCATGCACTTAACAGTGAGTTCACGCAATTCATGTGACCCATATGTGTTGGAACCGTGGAAACACAATATGTTTTCTGATTTTATTTGTTTACAATATTGTACAGTCTCTCATTCCCTAAATAAAAATAAGTGCCTTAAAAAGAATCTTGCTGGCCAGGCGCAGTGGCTTACGCCTGTAATCCCAGCACTTTGGGAGGCCGAGGCGGGCAGATCACCTGAGGTTGGGAGTTCGAGACCAGCCCGACCAACATGAAGAAACCCCGTCTCTACTAAAAATACAAAATTAGCCGGGCGTGGTGGCACATGCCTGTAATCACAGCTACTTGGGAAGGCTGAGGCAGGAGAATCGCTTGAACCCGGGAGGCGGAGGTTGCCGTGAGCCGAGATCGCATCATTGCACTCCAGCCTGGGCAACACGAGCAAAACTCCATCTCAAAAAAAAAAAAAAAAAAATCTTGCTAGGTACTGTGGCTCACACCTGTAATCCGAGTACTTTGCAAGCAGAGGTAGGAGGATCACTGGAGCCCAGAATTTCAGCACCAGCCTGCGCAACATAGTGAGACCTCATCTCTACCAAAAAATACAAAAATTACCTAGGTGTGGTGGCACACACCTGTCATCCTAGCTACTTGGGAGGCTGAGGTGCGAGGATCACCTGAGCCTGTGAAGTCGAAGTTGCAGTGAGCCATGATCACACCACTGCATTCCAGGTCTCCAGCCTGGGTAACAGAGGGAGACCCAGCCACAAAAAAAAAAAAAATTTTTTTTGCACAAACTTTTACGATGACTCTGCTCTATAATTAAAAGTAATTTCTGCTTTGTTGGTGTTTTCTCACACATTTATCTGGTTGACCAGATATCTGCATATGATAGAGTAAGAATGACCCATTTCCCTCCAGGGAGAATAGCATTGCAAGGGGGTTGAGGATGCATGCGTGTGGAATCCAAACATTGAATGCACTGAGACGGTGCTGCATGAAGCCTGCCTGTGAGTTTATGATGAAGCTGCACATAGATTCCTACCTGGCTCTCACTCCTCTCTCTGACCCTTTGGCTTCGGTTTAATTGCATGCACATCCTTCAAAGCTGCTCGGGGCCACCACTTCTTCAGACTTCTGGCATTTTTCCAAGAAACACTAAACCTCTTTGCAATGGTCCCCCTGGATTTTGCGTGCATGTCTTCCAGCACTGGAGCTGCCTGACCTGTGCTTGCAAGGGTTCCGTAACACTGGATAGGACAGAAGCTCCGCCCAGCCCCACATGAGAGCTCTGTGCTCTTCAGGGACCATGTCCTATTCACACTGTCTCCCTCACATCTAATACAGTCATGATACTCGGCAATATAGTACTCCACCCAACAGGCAACTGGGAGTCTGCCAGTGATACAGGAGTTAAGAAGAAATCACTTAGGCAGACAGTAAGGGTATGGGAGTCCTTGGTAAGGCTTTTCTCTTTAATGAAAAGCAGCCCCAAGTCATTTTCTAACAAAGAGCAGCCTGTCAAGTCAAGCTGCAGACATAGACAAGCCAGCTGGGAGCTTGCACGGGTGAATGCCGGCAGGAACTAGGGACTAGAGACGTTCAACAGGGTGGCTCCATCTTCCTCCTCTTTGTCGGCCACTTGTACAGTAAGGAGCAGACAAGATGGCGCCTATCAAGTGGAAAGCCCATTTGCATAATAAGATTAAGGTGGGGCAATCAGCCTTCCCCACAGGCGCTATGTAAACGTACCTGATGGAACCAATCTGTGAGCCCTACATAAATCAAACACCACCTTCTCCAGCCTGCCTATAAAATCTGCTGCTGACTGCCACCTCCCTACTTTTCAGATGTCTCTCTCTCTCTCTCTCTCTGGCAAGGAGCTGCTCTCTTCTTTCCTTTCTTTGTCTCTTAAACTTTCCACTCCTTAATCCACCCACACGTGTCTGTGTCCTGAATTCTTTCTCGGTGCGAGACAATGAACCCCAGGGTATGTACCCCAGACAATGTAGCTGTTTCATCATGATGACAGTCACAGGCAAACCAAGGTGGTGATAACTGCATTTGCTCACTGGCTCTGCAACAAATCCACTCAAGACCTAGAAAAGAGTATATTCAATCTGCGACCCTCCATGCTGCAGAGGCATCTGATGAGAGGGCTTTTTGCAGAATCAGGTTAAAGTATGGTCAGAGGTGTTTGAACCAGAGCAACTCCATCTTGAATAGGGGCTGGGCAAAATGAAGCTGAGACTTATGGGCTGCATTCCCAGATGGTTAAGGCATTCTAAGTCACAGGATGAGATAGGAGGTCGGTACAAGAGACAGGTCATAAAGACCTTGCTGGTAAAACAGGTAAAAGATAAACAGGTAAAGAAGCCGGCGAAAACACACCAAAACCAAGATGGCCACAAGAGTGACCTCTGGTGGTCCTCACTGCTACACTCCTACCAGCTCCATGACAGTTTACAAATGCCATGGCAACGTCAGGAAGTTACCCTATATGGTCTAAAAGGGGAGGCATGAATAATCCACCCCTTGTTTAGCATATCCATACAAATAACCATAATCCACCCCTTGTTAAGCATATCCAAGAAATAACCATAAAAATGGGCAACCAGCAGTCCTGGGGCTACTCTGGCTATGGAGTAGCCATTCTTGATTCCTTTATTTTCCTAATAAACTTGGCTTTCACTTTATGGACTCGCCCTAAATTCTTTCTTGGGCAAGATCCAAGAATACTCTCTTGAGGGTCTGGATCGGGACCTCTTTCTGGTGATAACAGTATGATCTGGTTTCAAAAGAAGAGCCTTTTGCTGAATCTGAATGCTTCAGGCCGTTCTCCCTCCAAATTACAGGCTGTCCGGCAAAGCTTTCAACAAAGCAACACATCCTAGCCTGCAGGATGCACTGCTTCCGGCTGTCCATCGCATGAAATGAGTGTGTGCTTTTTGTGCAGCTTAAGGAGTCTCATGCATAACAGATGTGTTCAAACTGGGGATGGAAGGAACTTAGGCATTGATGGATGATCCCTGTAGAGTTACGACTCTTTCTCATTCAGGTCGAATTTCATTTACAAATAGAAATCTTCCAGTCTTCCAACTACACAGTGTGTCTAAAATCCCATGTAAATGGAAAAAGGAAAAGAAAAACACAGACCACCCCACCTGTGTGCATGCCTAGAAGGTTCTAACTGAGGAAGGCAGGCCAGGATCATCGGCAACTGGGAACTTCACAATTGAATTATGGCCTTGTGGGCTGGGTGTGGTGGCTCCTGCCAGTAATCCCAGCACTTTGGGAGACTGAGGCGGGCAGATCACTTGAGGTCAGGAGTTTGAGACCAGCCTGGCCAACATGCTGAAACCCCGTGTCTAGTAAAAACACAAAAATCAGCCGGGCATGATGGTGCACGCCTGTAGTCCCAGCTACTCATGAGGCTGAAGCAAGAGAATCGCTTGAACCTGGGAGGTAGAGGTGGCAGTGAGCTGAGATCGCGCCACTGCACTCCAGCCTGGACAACAGAGCAAGACTCTGTCTCAAAAAAAAAAAAAAAAGAAAAAAAAGAATTATAGTTGTGTCGATCTAGATCGTTTTACTTTTATCCAAGGACACTAGTGTAGCCATAGCCTTTTTTTTTTTTTTTTTTTTTTTAAAGCAAGGTCTCATTCTAAGAGCCTGGGACTGGAGTGCAGTGGTGGAATCATGGCTCACTGAAGGCTTGAACTCCTGGGCTCAAGTGATCCTCTCTTCTTAGCCTCCTGAGAAGCTGGGACTATAGGGGTGCGTGCCACCAGGCCTGGCTAATTTTTTTTAGAGAGATAAGATCTCGCTATGTTGCACAGCCTGGTCTGAAACTGTTGGTCTCAAGCGAACTTCCTGTCTTGGCCTCCCCAAATGCTAAGATTACAGGCATGAGCCACCATGCTGCGCTGGTGAGGCCATCTTGAAATAATAGGATGCACCTGTTCCTCCCAAATTTGGTCAGGATGTCAAGACTCATGACCCCCCCACCCCACCCCCCACATACACACATACACACATACACACATACAAACAGAGTATGCAAACACATATTTCTTACATAATACAGCTTTTGCGGGAGAGCAGGAAAGATCTTCCAAGCTGATCCAGAATAGACCAAGATGGTAAAGAAAAAACTCTAGATTGAATTTTTATTGTGGGTAAGGAGCAGGGTAGGGTGAGATTCCCAAATGCAGTACAGCAGCTTGCCTGGTTTCAATTTTTGTAATTTTTTATTTTTTGAGATGGAGTCTTACTCTGTCACCCAGGGTGGAGTGCAGTGGTGAGATCTCGGCTCACTGCAGCCTCCACCTCCCAGGTTCAAGTGATTCTCCTGCCTCAGCCTCTCAAGTAGCTGGGATTACAGGCACATGCCACCACGCCTGGCTAATTTTTGTATTTTTAGTAGAGACGGGGTTTCACCATGTTGGCCAGGCTGGTCTCGAACTCCTGACCTGAAGTGAACTGCCCACCTCAGCCTTCCAAAGTGCTGGGATTACAGGCATGAGCCACCACACCCGGCCTTACCTGATTTCAAGCTCCCACTGGCACCAAAGGAGCAAGCACCTGGGCTTTATCAGCAGTTTGCCAAGATGTGCTTTGTCATCATTTGTGGGGAGAACAGACTAGATGTCTTGTGAACTCACTCATTATCACACAAACAGCAAGGGGGGAATCCACCCCTTGATCCAGTCACCTCCCACCATGCCCTTTCTCCATTATTGGAGATTACAATTGGATGTGAGATTTGGGTGGGGACACTAATCCAAATCACATCACAATGCAAAATGGACTAAGACAAGAACCAGACAAATAAAGATATCTCCATTCCACGGGAATTGAGAGGGTGCACTTGGAAGTTGTCAGCAACCAAATATCAAAAACTGGCATCACACTCTTTAATACAAACTTTCAGGCTTGCAAATTCTCATTTGATTCCCCAGCAAGCCTCAGAAGGAAGCCAAGAGAGTGTTATTCCACATTGGCCAGGGAGTCCTGGCAGATGGAGGAACTCAGCCAATGTGTAGGTGGAAGTGATGGTTAACTGTACATGTCAACTTGCCTGGGCTATGGGACGCCCAGGTAGCTGGTAAAACCCTTAGGTGTGTCTGTGAGTGTGTTTGCAGAAGAGATTTGCATTTGAACAAGCAGACTGAGTAAAGAAGACTCTCACCACTAGGAGTGGGCATCACTCAATCCATGGAGGGCCCAAGTAGAGGAAAAAGGTAGAGGAAGGGAAAACTTCCTCTCTGTTTTTGAGCTGGGACATCCATCTCCTCAGAGAGCAGAGCTCTTGGTTCTTGTGTCTTTGGACTCCAGGACTTACACGAGCAGAGCCCCTCAGTTCCCCGCACCTTCCACACCCACCCTTAGGCCTTTGGATTCTGACTGTTTTGTGCCACCCGTTTCCCTGGTTCTCCAGCTTCCAGATGGCAGATCATGAAATTTCTCAGCCTCCATAATCATGTGGGCCAATTCCCAGAGTGAATCCTGTTTTATATGTTTATTTGTCTGGTTCTTGTCTTAGTCTGTTTTGCAATGTGATGTGATTTGGATTTGTGTCCCCACCCAAATCTCACATCCCATTGTAATCTCCAATAATGGAGAGAGGGCATGGTGGGAGGTGACTGGATCAAGGGGTGGATTCCCCCCTTGCTGTTTGTGTGATAGTGAGTGAGTTCACAAGACATCTAGTTGTTTAAAAGTGTGTACCACCTCCTGCTTCACTCTGTTTCTTCTACTCCAACCATGTAAGAAGTGCCTCCTTCTTCTTCACCTTCTGCCATGATTGTAAGTTTCCTGAGGCCTCCCCAGCCATGCCTCTTGTATAGCCTATGGAACCATGAGCCAATTAAACCTTTTTTCTCTATGGATTACCCAGCTTCAGATAGTTCTTTATAGCAATGTGAGAACAAACTAATACACATTGCTCTAAAGGCATACCAGAGGCTGTGTGGTTTATAAAGAAAAGAGGTTTATTTGGCTCACAGTTCTGCAGACTGTACAAGCATGGAGCCAGCATCTGCTTCTGGTGAGGCCTCAGGAAGCTTCCACTCATGGTGGAAGGTGAAGTGGAGCTGGCATGTCACAGGGTGAGAAAGGAGGTGAGAGAGAGAGGTGCCAGGCTGTTTTAAACAACCAGCTCTCATGTGAACAAACAGAGCAAGAACTCATTAATTACTGTAGAGACAGAACAAAGACATTCATGAGAGATCTGCTCCCATCACCCAAATACCTCCCACTAGGCCCTACCACCAACATTAGGGGCCAAATTTCAAAGTGAGATTTGGAGGAGACAAATATTCAAACTATATTAGTTCTGTATCTCTGAAGAGCCTGACAATCCCAGTGTTGTTATGTGATGATAAGCTCTCAGCATGCCTGGCTCAGAGCCCTTCCTACTGCCTCATTCCACACCTTCATCCACGTGTTGAACTGAAGGTCATAGAGAGAACTCATCTGGCTTCCAAGAACTTTCTCCTTGGAGGCACATGTCTGGGTAACAGAGGCCATTTCCAGTATATATTAGTCAGGGTGCTCTTGAGGGACAGAACTAATCAGATAGATGTATATATGAAGGGGAATTTACTAGGATAACTGACTCACATAATCACAAGGTGAAGTCCTACAATAGCCCATCTGCAAGGTGAGGAGCCAGGAAGCCAGTCCGAGTCCCTAAACCTAAAAAGTAGGGAAGCTGAAAGTGCAGCCTTTAGTCTGTGGCCAAAGGCCCGATAGGCCCCTGGCAAACCACTGTAGGTCCAAGAGTCCAAGCACTGAAGACCTTGGAGTCTGATGTTCGAGGGCAGGAAGCAGCCAGCACGGGTGGAAGATGGAGGCCGGGAGACTCAGCAAGTCTTCTCATTCCATGTTCCTCTGCCTGCTTTTATCCTAGCCACACTGGGAGCTGATGAGATCGTTCCCACCCACAATGAGGGTGGGTCTGCATCTCCCAGTCCACTGACTCAAATGTGAATCTCCTTTGGAAACACCCTCACAGACACACCCAGGAACAATGCTTTGCATCCTTCAATCCGATCAAGTTGACCCTCAATCCTAACCGTCACACAGCAGGACTCTGGCCAGAAGATTTTCAGAAGGAGGGGAGAAAGGTCTGCACCAGTGGTCCCCAAACTTCTTGGCACCAGGGACAGGTTTTGCGGAAGACAATTTTTCCGTGGACCAGGGGATGGGCAGATGGTTTCAGGATGATTCAAGTACCCTGCATTCATTGTGCACTTTATTTCTATTACTATTACATTGGAATACATAGTGAAATAAGTCTACAGCTTGCCATCATGTAGAATCAGTGGGAGCCGTGACTTGTTTTCCTGCAACTACATGGTCCCATCTGGGGTTGATGGGAGACAGTGACAGATCATCAGGCACTAGATTCTTATAAGGAGCATGCAACTTCGATCTCTCATATGGGCAGTTCACAATAGGATTCATGCTTCCACGATAATCTAATGCCACCACTGACCTGACGGGAGGCAGAGCTCAGATGGTAATGGCAGTGATCAGAAGCAGCTGCAAATACAGATGCTGTAAATACAGATGTAAATAGAGGTGCCTTCTGCTCACCTCCTGCTGGGCATCCCAGTTCCTAACAGGCCACAGACTGGTACAAATCTGCAGCTAGGGGTTGGAGATCCCCGGTCTAAACACATCTTCCCAGGAGCATTGAACTCCATATCAGATTGTGCTCCTGCTGCAGTGGTCATAGCGCCCTTTGAACCAATCACCTGTGGGGACTAAGGTTTTCCCTCCCAAGATCACCAGCTTGTCATCTTTCTCTGCCTTGTACACCTTGACATACAGGGGTGCTAGGAGTAGCTCGTATGAGCTTATGAGAACCAACAGGGCATTATCTCTTTCCAAATCCGCATTCCATAATCTCACCTGAGTACCTTTAAATCAACCACAAGAGGAAAATTTACACCAGAGAAATTGGCATAGGCTCTGACCAGGGTTTCTTTTTTTTTTTTTTTTTTTTTGCAGAATTCATTGTTAAAACTTTCAGCAAGCCGCTGTCCTGACGGTATCAGCCCCCTAGGAGAAAGGAAAAAGTTGGGTTGAATATAGGCATTTAAAATTCATACAAAAATGTATTGAAATGATAAGCCACTATTCAAAGGGTAACTATAACATTCTAAAGAAAAAGCAGTTTCTATAACCAGGTAGGAAAAAGGGAATAGCTTTCTGTGAAATTCCCAGCACCCTGCCGCAGCTTCTTGTTGGCGGCACTTGCAAAATTCAGCACAGTGCTGTGCAGAGATGCAGAAGAATTTCAAGCTGGAGGCACCGTCCCAGGCAGCTTTTAACTGAGAAAACTTCTGTGTGCAAAAATGTTGGGCTAGCAGAAGTGCCAACTTTTCTGTTACTAAAAAAAAAAGAGGGTGGAAATGTTTTGCAAACACCTGATCGCCTTATCAAGCCAAAGCAGACCTTTTGCAGCATGAGGAAACATTGGTCTATTTCCAGGTTATTTTTTTCTTTTTGGCCACAAAACATCTTTCAGCTGAAAGTGAATGCATTTTGGTAAACATCTGGAGTCAAAGTGAGATTTTGATGCCAATTTTTTGGGGGAGTGAGGATGGACACATCATGAGTAACATAATTATGTTCAATAATTTTTTCTTATTATAAATTTCTTTTAAAACGTACATGTCAAACAAAGTAAAACCATCACTAAAATTATGGCTTGGAGGTTACTTATTTATTTATTTATTTATTTATTTATTTATTTATTTATTTATTTTTGTGAGATGAAGTCTTGCTCTGTTACCGAGGCTGGAGTGCAGTGGTGCGATCTCAGCTCACTGCAACCTCCGCCTCCCAGGTTCAAGCTATTCTCCTGCCTCAGCCCCCCAAGTAGCTGGGATTACAGGCACCCGACACCCCACCTGGCTAATTTTTGTATTTTTAGCAGAAATGGGTTTTCGCCATGTTGACCAGGCTGATCCTGAGCTCTTGACCTCAAGTGATCCGCCCACCTCAGCCTCCCAAAGTGCTGGGATCACAGACCTGAGCCACTGCACCCAGCCTAGAGGTTATTTTAGTTTATTTTATTTTTTGAGACTGAGTCTTGCCCTGTCGCCCAGGCTGGAGTGCAATGGTGCCATCTCGGCTCACTGCAACCTCCACCTCCGGGTTCAAGCAATTCTCCTGCCTCAGCCTCCCGAGTAGCTGGGATTACAGGCGCCATGCCACCATGCCTGGCTAATCTTTTGTGTCTTTAGTAGAGACGGGGTTTCACCATGTTGGCTGGGCTGGTCCCAAACCCCTGACTTCGTGATCCGCCCACCTCAGCCTCCCAAAGTGCTGGGATTATAGGCATGAGCCACCGCGCCTGGCCTAGAGGTTATTTTTTTAAGCACTTAAATTGAGGAAGGATGGTGAGTACACGTTTTTGCATTGAGGTATTCCCATGAATGAACGTTTATTATTTGTACAAAAGAACACGAGCAGGTTATGACATTAATAAGAGAGAATTAAACAGGAACATCTGGTGAAAGGAATAAAATGGAAGTGCCTGGGGTAGTCGTCCATCAATGAAATTGAAGTTCCATAAACTCCAACACACGTGAAAGACATTACATCAGGTTAAGTAAGAAAGTAGGCCGGGTGCGGTGGCTCACACCTGTAATCCTAGCACTTTGGGAGGTCGAGGTGGGCGGATCACCTGAGATCAGGAGTTTGAGACAGCCTGGCTAACATGGTGAAACCCCGTCTGTACTAAAAATACAAAAATTAGCCAGGAGGGGTGGCGGGCGCCTATAATCCAGCTACTTGGGGGGCTGAGGTCAGAGAGTTGCTTGAACCTGGAAGGTGGAGGTTGCAGTGAGCCAAGACTGCACCACTGCACTCCAGCCTGGCAACAAGAACGAAACTCCATCTCAGAAAAACCCCAAACAAAACCCCAAACAAACCCCAAACAACTCCCAAACAAAACCCAAACCACGGAGAGGAGGGGTTCACGTGACATGGAAACATCTAAGCAAACGCCTCTCGGAGAAAATTAATGAAATCTCAGGTCAAACGAAACCTATCCTCCAACAGACCCAGAGGAAATGTCTGAAGGCACATCTTGGAGATTCAATATGACAAGAAAAAACCAGCAGTCAGTGTGACTTAAGCTTTTTTTTTTTTTTTTTTTTTTTTTTTTTCAGAAACCTGAATGCAAGATGCAGGGAGCTGCCCATTTTTGCCTTTTGAGGGCGTAGCTTTCAATGATCCACAAGGAAAACAGCTCAGCAATCAAATAAAGAAAGCCCCAGAGGCCAGGCATGGTGGCTCACGCCTGTAATCCCAGCACTTTGGGAGGCTGAGGCGGGAGGATCACCTGAACCCAGGCGTTTGAGCCCAGCCTGGACAACATGGTGAAACCCAATCTCTACAAAAAAAAAAAATATAAAAATTAGGCTGGATGCAGTGGCTTATGCCTGTAATCACAGAACTTTGGGAGGCCAACGTGGGAGGATCAACTGAGGTCAGGAGTTCAAGACCAGCCTGGCCAACATGTTGAAACCTGTCTCTACTAAAAATACAAACATTAACTGGGCCTGGTGGCACGTGCCTGTAATCCTGGCTACTCGGGAGGCTGAGGCACAAGAATCGCTTGAACCCGAGAGGTGGACATTGCAGTGAGCTCAGATCAAGCCATTGCACTCTAGCCTGGTGACAGAGTGAAACTCCGTCTCAACAAAAAAAAAAAAAAAAAAGAAAGAAAGAAAAAGAAAAAACAATTAGCTGAGCATTATGTTGTGTGCCTGCAGTCCCCAGCTAATCGGGAGGCTGAGATGGGAGGATCATTGAGCCTGGGAGGTCAAGGCTAAGGTGAGCCATGATCCTGCCACTGCACTCCAGTCTGGGTGACAGAGCTAGACCCTGTCAAAAAAAAAAAAAAAAAGAAAAACAGAAAGTTCAAGAAAAATGTGCATCCATTCTCCAGTAGTTTATCAGTAATAAAACAACTTGCACTGATAAATCATTCTCCTAGCCGGGCGCAGTGGCTCATGCCTGTAATCTCAGCACTTTGGGAGGCCGAGGCGGGCGGATCACCTAAGGCCAGGAGTGCGAGACCAGCCTGGCCAACATGGTGAAACCCTTTCTCTACTAAAAAAGCACAAAAAATTTGCCGGATGTGGTGGCTCGTGCCTGTAATCCCAACTATTTGGGAGGCTGAGACATGAGAATCGCCTGAACCTGGGAGGCGGAGGTTGCAGTGAGCCAAGATTGCACCACTGCACTCTAGCCTGGGCAAGAGACTGAGACTCAGGAAAAAAAAAAAAAAATCAGCCAGGTGCACGGTGGCTCATGCCCGTAATCCCAGCACTTTGGGAGGCCGAGGCGGGTGGATCTCCTGAGGTCAGGAGTTCGAGACCAGCCTGGCCAACATGGTGAAACCCTGTCTCTGCTAAAGAAGTACAAAAAATTTACCGGGCATGGTGGCTTGTGCCTGTAATCCCAGCTATTTGGGAGGCTGAGACATGAGAATCACTTGAACCTGGGAAGCGGAGGTTGCAGTGAGCCGAGATCATGCCACTGCACTCCAGCCTGGGCAACAGAGCAAGACTCCATCACACACACACAAAAAAATTATTCCCCCAATATAACTGGAAGCCCTGTATTTTAAAATCACTTAAAACTCCTATGAAACTATAAACAGAAGGGAATGTCCATGAATTGCTCTCAGAGTAAGAAAGATATAGATTTCTTTCAGCTCCCATTTTCATTTACTTTAAGGCACAGACATCTGAAACAATCTAAAATATCATTTTTCAATTCTAATGAAAGAAACTAGTAAATAATTCAAAACTGTGACTAATAAAAATGAGGCTGGCTTTGAGAATGAATACATACTAGCAGATATCACAAATCTACAATTTAAATTACATTTCAGAAGCCATTATCAGTGTTCAAATTCCATGACTAATTGAACAAGGACGAACCCACAGCTTCCTAACAGGTGACTGGGAAAAGGAGACTGAAATTAAATAAGCACCACAGCGCATCCCACTTGGAGAACTGAAAGCCTGTGATGTAGCAGAGGACAAAGGAATGAAAACAATAACAACAAAAAGAAAGTGTGTAACCATCTCTGAATTTTGCTATTTTTACTCTTCTCTCTGCCCTCCTTGGAGATGATATCTATAGTAAAACGTATGGTACTGAGGCCGAACGCAGTGGCTCACGCCTGTAATCCCAGCACTTTGCGAGACCAAAGTGGGAGGATCACAAGGTCAGGAGTTCGAGACCAGCCTGACCAACATGATGAAACCCCGTCTCTACTAAATATACAAAAATTAGCCGGGTGTGGTGGCATGTGCCTGTAATCCCAGCTACTCAGGAGGCTGAGGCAGGAGAATCGCTTGAACCTGGGAGGCGGAGGTTGCAGTGAGCTGAGATTGCATCACTGCACTCCAGGCTGGGTGACAGAGCGAAACTCCGTCTCAAAAAAAAAGAAAGAAGCAAGTCCCAGGTCTTGTCCATACTCAATGGGAGGGGATCATGCAAGAAATGAATATCACAATATGAGAATCATGGTGAGCTATCTTCAAGTCTGTCCTTCACCAGAAAACCTTCTTCCACTTCTGCTGTAGAAAAATCTCTGCAGTTCGAACATCAAGGCTTCCAATATCCAACACTTTTTGGAGATCATCACAACTCTTAGCTGTGACAGTTGACTCCGGATGGAGTAGAGGAAATGGGGTAAGCTTGCTTTGTTTTTCAGCAAGTCTTTTTAAACAATGGTGCCTGAAAGCCCAGTCAATAATTAATATATTGTTCAATTTCCCTTAATGTTGATTTTGGTTTTGTTTTTTGTTTTTTGAGACAGAGTCTCAGTCTGTCGCCCAGGCTGGAGTGCAAAGGCGTGACCTTGGCTAACTGCAACCTGTGCCTCCCGGGTCCAAGCAATTCTCCTGCATCAGCCTCCCGAGTAGCTGGGTCCGCAGGCGTGCACCACCATGCCCAGCTAATTTTTTGTATTTTTGTAGTGATGGGGTTTTGCCATGTTGGCCAGGCTGGTCTCCAACTCCTGACCTCAGGTGATCTGCTTGCCTCGGTCTCCCAAACTGCGGGAATTATAGGCGTGAGCCACCACACCCAGCCCCCTTAATGCTGATTTTACACATGGCCATGAGCTAGCGAGGCAGCTGTGTCAAACAGTAGAGAGAGTCAGCCTAAAAGAAACGGATAGCAGCACACTGGCTGAATTGAATCTGGTGTGACTCCCAGCTCTTACCTCTCACGAGGGTAGAAGCAGCAAAAAAGATGAGTTGCCTGAGTGTAAAAATAAATCAGAAAAACCACGCACCTGCATCTTGTCTAGATTCAGGTCAAATATTTATGCAGACACAAGCTGAGTCCCTAACTTTATGTGCACTGCAGTCTCTGCTACTTGGGGGCAGGAAAAAAAGCTGACTGGAAATAAAAAGAAAAGGGGTTACTGCTCCAATTCTGAAACAAAGAGGCACTGTGGAAAATTGCAGCTGGAACAGGAGAGCCGATCTAAGAGTCAATGAGAAGCAGGCTTGCAGAGACAAAGACTGGACGCCGTCTGGAATTCCATCCAGACTACTGCAGACTTAGCCGGTTATTGGCACGGTTGAAAGGCCTGGATAGACCGTGAAAGGATTGGGACTTTCAAGTGACAAATCCCAGTAAAACAAAAGTTCCTAAATCACGAAGCAAATTAAGTATGAGAAAAACACAGACGATAAAGGAAAATGAACAAGAACAAGGAAAAGGGGAAAAAAGGAATGTTGGTGAAGCAGATGTCACTAGAGAGGAAATTTGAGAGATCTGAAGGAATACGTATCTTCTACAAGAATTACTTTTTCTACTAAAAAAGGGAGAATGAAGGAAAGGACAGAGTTCTCCTCTTTGAATGAAAAAACATGAAGAGTTCATGTCAAAGAATCTCACTTTGACTGAGTTTATATTATCCTAAGCTTTGTATTATGAGAGTTTCAAAGATTGAATTCTTACTGCATTCAAAAGGTAACACATTATTAAAGTCCTAATAGATAGCAGAGCAACGCAGCCCTGATTTAGTGAGTAGAATGAAATGATTTATAATCAGCTTTTCAAATATCATCTCATTCTAGGGAAATGCATTACTTTTTTTTGAGAGTTTACTAGGTCAGAGTAATTTTAAATCTCTCTCCTACTTATTTGAAATCCGAAATAGGCTCAGTTTTCTCCACACTAAGAGGTCCTTTGAACGGTGATAAAATGTCCCAAACGTACTGGGGATATTGTCCAAAATAATGACAATAAATAAAGCCCTGGCATTCGCATTTCAAACTAATTTTGTCAACTGAATTTTTCAGAGCAAAGGGTGTGGTGAAGGTGTCAGCAGGCAAAGACGGCATCAGCTGGTGCTTTTTTTTTTTTTTTTTTAAGGACTTAATATATGAGTTCTCATTATCTGATGGGTTGGCCAGGTGGTTCTGCTGAATGTGGTGGTGGTGGCTGGAGCACTGAGGCAGGTGCAGAGTCCGAAGTGACTTCATTCACATGGCTGAGAGTTGTTGCTGGCAGGTACCTCGGAAGAGCTGGGGGTGTTGGCCAGAGGCCTTGTTTCTCTTCCGTGGGGTCATTCCCAAATGGTTGCTTGGGTTTCCTCCCAACTTGGCAGCTGCATTTCCAGAAACAGTCTTTCAAAAGGACATGGGGTTACTTCACAGAAAAGCCAAATACTCCGGGAAAAACTTGCTCATAGGCAAAGATAACAACGCTTTTCCAAAGCATCAACATTTAAAAAAATCTAGCATATTAAATAAAGATTTCACAAAAGCAAACAGAATATTGAGGATTTTTGTTTGTTTGTTTTTTGTTCTTGTTTTTGTTTTTCTGAGATGGAGTTTCGCTCTTGTTGCCCAGGCTGGAGTGCAATGGTGTGATCTTAGCTCACCACAACCTCCACCTCCCGAGTTCAAGCGATTCTCCTGACTCAGCCTCCCAAGTAGGTGGGATTACAGGCATGCACCACCACACCTGGCTAGTTTTGTATTTTCAGTAGAGACGGGGATTCTCCATGTTGGTCAGGCTGGCCTTGAACTCCCAACCTCAGGTGATCAGCCCGCCTCGGCCTCCCAAAGTGCTGGGATTACAGGCGTGAGCCACCACACCCACCCTGAGAATTGTTAAATCAAACTAAATATTGCCTGGGAAGCAGTCCATACTTCTATATTTGAGTCCTTGTGGATGAACTCTTACCTAGCTTAATAGGCAGGCAAGATTGAAAACCTAACTTAGGCTTATGTGGCTGTAACCGTAACTGAGTGTTGGCCAATCCCAGCGTCCATACTTCAACCATTCATACACTGCTGAGAGTTCAGCCCGTGTTCAAATAAGGCAAATGCCAACCTGTAACCAAGCCAGCTGTTTCTGTACCTCCCTGCTGATTTCTGTATGTCATTTCCCTTTTATTTTTGTATGTCTATAAATCTTCTTGCATCACATGGCTGCGGTGGAGTCTCTGTGAATCTGCAGTGATTCTGCCCGATCCGTTAAATTCATTGCTTAATTGAACTCCTTTAAATTTAGTTTGGCTGAAGTTTTTCTTTTATCAGGATAATAATATATAATCCATCGAGTAAGCATACTAAAAAATAAAAAAGGGGCCGGACTTAGTGGCTCACGCCTGTAATCCCAGCACTTTGGAAGGCCAAGGTGGGTGGATCACCTGAGGTCAGGAGTTCGAGACCAGGCTGGCCGACATGGAAAAATCCCGTCTCTACCAAAAATACAAAATTAGCCAGGTGTGGTGGCGCATGCCTGTAATCCCCGCTACTTGGGAGGCTGAGGCAGGAGAATCGCTTGAACCTGGGAGGCGGAGGTTGCAGTGAGCTGAGATCGCATCATTGCACTCCAGCCTGGGCAAAAAGAGTGAAACTTCATCTCAAAAAATAATAATAATAAATAAATAATAAAAAAGGAAGATATAAGCAATATGAAACAGTACACAAGAAGATGAGGAAGGAAATCATATTAGGTTGCAAAAATATAATCAATGAAATAAATTTTTCAGTAGATAAACAGCAGAATGTATATAGGTGAGGGAGAAATCACCAAAATTATAGACAAGATAGAAGAAATTTCATAGAAAGAAAAAGGAAAAAGAAATAGGAAGTATAAAAGCAAAGCTAAGAAATATAGGGGATAGAAGTAAGTATCATATCTGAAGAAAAAAAATGGTAGAATGAAATAAAGCAATAATGAGTACATCCTCCTCTCCAGCACCTGTTTTGCTAGCATAGGACCTCGAAGAATGAGGTCCACCCTCAGGGACATATCTCTGTTGTTCCTGCTCAGCTTCTTCCAAACTCACAGAGTGGAAACCCTGGTTCCTTGCTTCTGCTATATGTCAAGGTAAGTCCTGACTTCTAACAATCTTTGGTAACCCCCCTCTTCTTCCTTCATGCTTGGAGAAACCTTCGGTTTCCATTCAAGCAGAATGTCTTTCTCCTCTTGCCCACAAAGGGACAAGAAGCCAGAGCCAGGGAGGTCACCACTTAAAGATGCAGTTTCAACTATGTCCTTTCATCAAAAAAAATTATTATTATTTTTTATTATTATACTTTAAGTTCTGGGGAAATGTGCAGAACGTGCAGTTTTGTTACATACATACACACGTGCCATGGTGGTTTGCTGCACCCATCAACCTGTCATCTACATTAGGTATTTCTCTTAATGCTGTCCCTCCCCCAGGCCCCCACCCCCTGACAGGCCCTGGTATGTGATGTTCCCCTCCCTGTGTCCATGTGTTCTCATTGTTCACCTCCCACTTATGAGTGAGAACATGCAGTGTTTGGTTTTCTGTTCCTGTGTTAGTTTCCTGAGGATGATGGTTTCTAGCTTCATCCATGTCCTTGCAAATGACGTGAGCTCATCCTTTTTTATGGCTGCATAGTATTCCATGGTGTGTATGTGCCACATTTTCTTCATCTAGTCTATCATTGATTGGCATTTGGGTTGGTTCCAAGTATTTGTTATTGTGAACAGTGTTGCAGTAAACATACATGTGCATGTGTCTTTATAGTAGGATGATTTATAATCCTTTGGGTATATACCCAGTAACGGGATTGCTGGGTCAAATGGTATTTCTGGTTCTAGATCCTTGAGGAATCGCCACACTGTCTTCCACAATGGTTGAACTAACTTACACTCCCACCAACAGTGTAAAGGCGTTCCTATTTCTCCACATCCTCTCCAGCATCTGTTGTTTCCTGACTTTTTAATGATCAAGTTGATGAATGAGCAACATCATCTGGTCTTCAGGAGATGAATAATGCTCCATAAAGATGTTCTGTTACTCAATGAAGACTGGGTTTTAAGAAAGATGTGCTTTTTATCCTCTTTTTCTTCCACAGAAGGAGGTACACCAACAGGAAGCAGATTTTAGGATGTCAAAATATTTCTGCAGAGACCCTGTGAGCAACAGGCCTTGTGAAAACTGTCTATTGTTGAGAACTGGAGCTAAGTGCCAGCGTTGAGTAACACGGTGAAAAACCTGGTGGTCTCTTTAGCACCCAGGTGGGAAAATCTCATCACCAAATGACAGTCTAGATATCTGACGGGTGGGACCAACACTGGCTGTGAATGAAAATATCAAATGAGAGAGAGTTGCATGGGTGGCTATTTTTCTTTATTTTTTTAAGCATATTATTTTAAAATAGAAGGATTTAAATGCACAAAAACAAAAGACAAAAAAACTCTAGTTTTAACTTGCAGTTTTAGCTGAAAGGCAAGAACATGTAAAGACTACTGATTTGGCAATCAGATCTGTTATATAAATTGGCTTTCTTCTGTCTCCCATTAAAGAAAAAAAAACTCAGAACAGGAAATAAGCTAAGATGAATAATGTATTTGTTCAATTTTTAAAACAAGTCAAGCCCTTCAGAAACATGCCCTAGAGATCCAGTTCAAATAATTCACTGAAGGATAAGAAGTCCCACAGAACGTGAAACAGAGAGACGCAGGACACACAGATAAAATCTAGTGACATAATTTATATTCTCTCTGGGGAAGCTTCCTGGTTTTTTAAGGGGCGATGTTTGGTCTGTGCTGAAAGGTGAAATGACAACAGCCTCCCTCCAAAAGTCCTGTTGAGATTTAATCCCCGATGCAACCTTATTAAGAGGTGGGACCTTTAGGAAGTGATGAACTCATGAGGGATCTGCCTTAATGGATGGGATTAGCGCTCTGTAAAAGAGCTGGAGGGAACAGGCTGGGCTCTAAGGCTACGTGAGGACACAGCAACAGGGCGCCATCTTGGAAACAGAGACAGTCCCCTCGAGTCACTCAATCTGTCATACCTTGATCTGGCACTTCCAGCGTCCAGAAGGTGAGCAATAAATGTCTATTGTTTATAAGCCACCCGGTCAACAAGTATCTGTTGTTTATAAGCCACCCAGTCAATAAACGTCTGTTGTTTATAAGACACCCAGTCAATCAATGTCTGTTGTTTACAAGCCACCAAGTCTATGATATTTTCGTGATAGCAGCACAGACAGGTGATTGGATCAGGGCCCACCTTAATCCAGTATGATCTCGTTTTCATGTAATTAATAATATGTAGAAGAACTCTGGTTTCAAAGAAAGTCACACTCATAGGTCCCAAGGGTTATCATTTTAGCGTATCTTTGGGGGACAGGAAATATACTTCGACCCGTAACCAATTCATGCATCAAATATTTAATTACCAGCTGGGTGCGGTGGCTCACACCTGTAATCCCAGCACTTTGGGAGGCCAATGCGGGTGGATCATCTGAGGTCAGGAGTTTGAGACCAGCCTGGTCACCATGGTGAAACCCCAACTCTACTAAAAATACAAAAATTAGCTGGTCATGGAGGAGGACGCCTGTAGTCCCAGCCACTCAGCACACTGAGGCAGGAGAATCACTTGAACCCAGGAGGCAGAGGTTGCAGTGAGCGGAGATCACACCACTACCCTCCAGCCTGGGCGACAGAGTGAGACTCCACCTCAAAAATAAATAAATAAATATTTAATTACCACCTACTGTGTGCATTGCTCGGTTCTGAGCACTGGGAATATTGTAAAGAACAACTTACAGCAATTAAAGCTGTTGTGGAATTTCTAGCTGTGTGTGTGTGTGCGTGTGTGTGCACACACGTGTGTGTGCACGCATGTATGTGCATGTGCACATGGGTATATGGCAAAACTTAAACAAAATAAGTTGAATATTTATAATTTTTTTGAGACAGGGTCTTGCTCTGTCACCCAGGCTGGAGTGCGGGGGCTTGATCATAGCTCACGGCAACCTCAAACTCCTGGGATCCAGCAATCCTTCTACCTCAGCCTTCTGAGTAGCTGGGACTACAGGTATGTACCACCACGCCCAGCTAATTTTTTATATTTTTTTTATTTTTTGTAGAGTCAGGATCTTGCTATATTGCCCAGGCTGGTCTGGAACTCCTGGGCTCAAGCAGTCCTCCTGCCTCAGCCTCTCAAAGTGCTGGGATTATAGGCATGAGCTGCCACACTTGGCCTGTTTAGAATTTATATTAGCAGCTATGAGGTGCAATGCAGAAAACAAGGAAGTAAAATCATAGAGGCCACATTTTTTTTTTTTTTTGAGAAAGGGTCTTGTTCTGTTGCCCAGGCTGGAGTGCAGTGGCACGATCTCAGCTCACTGCAACCGTCGCCTTCCAGGTTCAAGCAATTCTCATGCCTCAGCCTCCCGAGTAGCTGAGATTACAGGCGCTCACCACCACACCCGGCTAATTTTTGTATTTTTAGTAGAGACAGGGTTTCACCATATTGACCAGGCTGCCCTCAAACTCCTGACCTCTGGTGATCCACCCACGTCGGCCTCCCAAAGTGCTGAGATTACAGGCGTGAGCCACTACGCCTGGCCTGAGGCCACATCTTAGTAAAAGCACAAATCGAATTTGGATCTTGGGGACGTCTCAAAGGGCATGTGTCCATCCTGTTCCATTTTGCAGACAAGAAAACCAAGGCCATCTGGGGGTGGTGGCCTGTCAAATGTAATGTAGGTACTTGGCTTGAGAGAAGCACTAAGTTTTTGGTGTGAGGTCCAGTAATTTTATTTTAAATTACAAAGGAGAGGCCAGGAGATGAGAAAATATTGGAGACTCTTTGGAAGTTTCATATCCTTTCATGCTGATCTTTTTAGCATTCGGGTCAACAACGCAGAGCCTCAAATATAGATTTTGCACATGTTTTTAGGATAATTTCCTTTTTTTTTTTTTTGAGACGGAGTCTCACTCTGTCACCCAGACTGGAGTGCAATGGCATGGTCTCAGCTCACTGCAACCTCTGCCTCCCTAGTTCAAGGGATTCTCCTGCCTCAGTCTCCTGAGTAGCTGGGACTACAGGTGCGCACCACCACACCCAGCTAATTTTTGTATTTTTTTTAGTAGAGATGGGGTTTCACTATGTTGGCCAGGCTGGTCTCAAACTCCTGACCTTGTGATCCGCCCGCCTTGGCCTCCCAAAGTACTGGGATTACAGGCGTGAGCCATGACACCCGGCCGAGAATTTCCTTATTTCTTACAATTCCAGAAGGCATTATTGACCTATTTAGAGTAGAAACTTTGCGTCTCTACCAATTCATTTGCAAAGGCTGGTTCAGACTGGACCAAGGCCTGTTCCAAGAGTGGCAAGCACCACTTTATTTTTTTAATTGTTTTTCAACTTTTATTTTAGAATCAGTGGGTACCTGTGCAGGTTTGTTATAAAGGTATATTGTGTGATGCTGAGATTTGGCGTACAGATGAAACCGTCACCCAGGTAGTGAGCATAGTGCCCAAAAGGAGCTTTTTCAACCCTTATCCTCCTATTCTCTACCCCCACTTGTATTCCCCAGTGACTGCTCTTCCCATGACATAAGTCCATGTGTACGCAATGCTTAGCCCCACCCTTATAAATAAGAATATGTGGTATTTGGTTTTCTGTTTCAGCATTAATTGACAGGATTATGGACTCCAGCTGTATTCATGTTGCTGCAAAAGATATGATTTTATGCTTTTTTTTTTTTTTTTTTTGAGGCAGAGTCTCACTCTGTCACCCAGGTTGGAGTGCAGTGGCATGATCTCGGCTCACTGCAACCTTTGTCTCCTGGGTTGAAGTGATTCTCTTGCCTTAGCCTCCTGAGTAGCTGGGACTACAGGTGCACATCACCAGCCTGGCTAATTTTTGTATTTTTAGTAGAGACAGGGTTTCACCAAATTAGCCAGGATGGTCTCGATCTCCTGACCTCGAGATCCACCAGCCTCGGCATCCCAAAGTGCTGGAATGACGGGCGTGAGCCACCATGACAGGCTTTTTTTTTTTTTTTGAGACAGTCTCGCTCTTGTCCAGGCTGAAGTGCAATGGCGCCATCTCGGCTCACTGCAGCCTTTGCCTCCCGGGTGCAAGCGATTCTCCTGTCTCAGCCTCCCAAGTAGCTGGGACTACAGGCATGCACCACCACACCTGGCTAATTTTTGTAATTTTATGTTTTTATTTATTTATTGAGATGGAGTCTCGCTCTGTCGCCCAAGCTGGAGTGCAGTGGCATGATCTCGGCTCACTGCAACCTCCGCCTCCTGGGTTCAAGCCAATTCTCTTGCCTCAGCCTCCCTAGTAGATGGGATTACCGGTGCACACCGTCACACCCAGGTAATTTTTTTTTTTGAGACAGAGTGTCACCCTGTCGCCCAGGCGGGAGTGCAGTAGTACGATCTTGGCTCACTGCAACCTCTGCCTCCTGGGTTCAAGCGATTCCCCTGCCTCAGCCTCCCGAGTAGCTGGGACTATAGGCACACACCACCACGCCCGGCTAATTTTTGTATTTTTAGTAGAGACGGGGTTTTACCATATTGGCCAGGTTGGTCTTGAACTCCTGACCTCAAGTGATCCACCCACCTCAGCCTCCCAAAGTGCTGGAATTACAGGTGTGAGCCACTGTGCCTGGCCCATTCTAGTAAATTTTCAAACCTTATGTCAGTTTTAGCCTCAATAGATATACAGCCATGCAGAGGAAACATTTGGAAAGCACCATTAATAAAACTCACCAATGGGCTGGGCGCAGTGGCTCACACGTATAATCCCAACGTTTTGGGAGGCTGAGGCACGTGGATCACCTGAGGTGAGGAGTTCCAGACCAGCCTGGCCAACATGGTGAAACCCTGTCTCTACTAAAAATACAAAAATTAGCAAGGCGTGGTGGCGGGCGCCTGTAGTCCCAGCTACTTGGGAGGCTGAGGCAGGAGAATTGTTTGAACCCGGGAGGTGGAGGTTGCAGTGAGCTGAGATTGTGCCACTACACTCCAACCTGGGCAACAGAGCGAGACTCCGTCTCAAAAAAAATAAATAAATAAAAATAAAAATAAACTCACCAAGAGTGATGAGTCTTTAATCATGGAGAAAGGCCTGGGTTTTCTTTCTATGTTTGGTAGTTCCACTCTGAAAATGTTGACCCATTCTCTATCCAATTCTCACCTATTCCCCAATCACCTGTAGTGATACTGCTGCCAATACAAAGCTTTACCTAATTGGCCTAACTAAATGGCTTAACTTTGTTGACATATGGTAACATATGTTTATAGATTTTTAGAAGAAAAATTGTAAAAGAAAACCAATGATTTGAAAACAGCACTCTGGAAGGTGACCCAGCCATGACGGTGCAATGCCTGGGGGAATCTTTGCCAAACCAATTCACAAGAATCTTGCAATCCTTGGGCTGTAAATGCATTTAAAACTTGGAAAGACATTTTTTTTAAAGAGGTTCAGACATTATTTTCAGCTATCAATGCCATGGCCATTTTAGAATAAAGTAGGGTAGAAGCTATATATAAACACGACAACAAACAAACATCCATTCATGACTAAACTGCCTCAGGAAAAGCACCTTAGCTTCTAGTTGGATGTCTGATATTCTGATATTAGGCTGGGAATTGTGGTGTGAATTCTTCCCCCTATTCTCTCATGGAGAACTCAAATCTTTGATCATGTGATTCTTCCAGAAAAGGTGAGAACAAATTTAGTTTGTATGAAGATTAATAGTATAGTTTAAGTAAACACACATTCAAAAAATAGAATCATTAAATCCTTGAGTGTGTGTGTGTCTGTTTGTGTCTATGCATTTGTGTGTCTTGTGTTTTGGGGGTGATATGGTTTGGCTGTGTCCCCAGCTAAATCTCATCTTGAATTATAGCTCCCATAATACCCATTTATTGTGGGAGGTACCCAGTGGGAGATAATTGAATCATGGGGCGGTTTCCCCCACACTGTTCTCATGTAGTAAATAAGTCTCATGAAATCTGATGGTTTTATAAGAGGTTTCCCCTTTCACTTGACTTTCATTTTCTTTCTTGCCTGCTGCCATGTAAGACATCCCTTTCGCCTTCCGCCATGACGGTGAGACCTCCCCAGCAACGTGAATCTCTGAGTCCATTAAACCTCTTTTTCTTTATAAATTACCCAGTCTTGGCCAGGCATGGTGGCTCACGCCTGTAATCACAGCACTTTGGGAGGCCGAGGCAGGCAGATCACCTGAGGTTGGGGGTTTGAGACCAGCCTGGCCAACATGGTGAAACCCCATCTCTACTAAAAAATAAAAAAATTAGCCAGGCGTGGTGCTGCACGCCTGTAATCCCAGCTAATAGGGAGGCTGAGGTAGGAGAATCGCTTGATCAAAGGAGATGGAGGTTGCAGTGAGCCAAGATCGCACCACCGCACTTTAGCCTGGGCAACAGAAGGAGATTCTGTCTCAAAAAAATAAGTAAATAAATAAAATAAAAAATAAATTACCCTGTCTCAGGTATGTCTTTATCAGCAGCATGAAAATGGACTAATACGTGGAGGGAGGTAAAGGATGCTAAAATGTAATATGTATTAATTATGATAATATATATATAAAACATCCGGGGCCCCGTGTTAATCATGTTTAAGTGTACCATGCAGTGACATTAATTACATTCACATATTAGCACTATTTCCAAGTATTTTTTCATGTAGTGATCCAAGGGGAAAAAAACGTGCTTGCTTTCTAAAAACATATTTGGGCAAATGCTTTTAGAGAGGATGCCAACGAATCTTTCCCAAAACGATGAAATCTCGCCGGAGTCGGGGCTAACGTTGAGTGCATTCGAAACAAACAGGGCTGAGTTTGATTCACTACAGTCCCTGGGTGTTTTTCAGGTCCTGCGTCCGCCTGGCAGTCAGACATCTCTGCTAAATGAATAAACGCTCTCCCTCCCCGCCTTCCTCAGTCCCTTCTGTTTTTCCTTTGTCACATACTAATTAGAGTTTTTTGTTCCCCTATTAAAATGTTTCAATGGTACAAAAGCATGGCACATCCCTTTCTCCTATACCTGCTATCACTTTTCTTGAATGCTTGTGCCAACTTTCTTCCTTTTGTTTCTCTGACCCACTTTGTACACTTCTCCAACCTTCTCAACCCAGGGGAGAGTGGCAGGGGGAATGGGGAGGCAAGGAGGCTGAGGATGACTCACAGATACTACATCCATAGGGTTCTCTTGCCTTCTGGCTGCCATTTTTGGTTCTGACCCTGGGGAATTGCCACTGAGGTTGGAGACAGGAGGAGAGTAAAGTTGGAGGGATTTAGCCCTGGGTTCCATCTGACATTGGCTTTCTCCTCTAATCCAGTGTCCTAGCACCTGTCAGGTGGCGTTGTTCATTGAGTTCTCCCTCGCTGGGTTCTAGCCTCTCTCTCTTTCCTTTGCCATCATTCTCGAGTTGGGGGTGAGCGCTCCTGTTTCCCAGCCTGCAGGTTCTGCACCATCTCTGAATGCTTTCCCTAACATTCTGGCTAGACTTCAGTAAAGAGTCCCTGCACTAAATCCTCTTTCACTGTTCAGCTTGCCTGCACCACCTTCTTCCTGCTACACCCATCTGTGTGTGCACAGCCCCTGCCCTCTTGCCCTAGAAATATGTGTCTATGCACTGCACAGACCCTTTGGCTATCACTGCAAATTACCAGGAAACCAACTGTGTTCACACTCTGCTGATAAAGACATACCTGAGGAGACCCGATAATTGATCATGAAAAGAGGTTTAATGGACTCGCAGTTCCACGTGACGGGGAGGCCTCACAGTCATGGTGGAAGGCGAAAGGCACATCTTACATGGTGGAGGCAAGAGAAAATGAGAGCCAAGTGAAGGGGGTTTCCCCTTATAAAACCATCAGTTCTCTTGAGACTCATTCACTACCACAAGAGCAGTATCGGGGAAACCGCCCTCATGATTCAGTTATCTCCCACCTGGTCCCTCCCACACCACGTGGGAAATACGGGAGCTACAATTCAGATGAGATTTGGGTGGGGACAGTCAAACCATATCACCAACATTCTTCCGTGCCCTTAAATTCCAGAGGATTCCTCCAATATGTGTCTATTTTTCCCAAGTCAAGTCTAAACACACTACCTCTAAGGCAAACCTTCACCTAACTAGGCTTAACTCAACAGCTTAACTTTGTTGACATATGTATTTATGGATTTCTAGAAAAAAATTTTTAAAGGAATTTTGTTGTCGTTGTGGTAAAATAACACTATGGAAGGTAACCCAGGCATGGATATGTGATGAAATATAAGAAAAAAATAACTCTATCACCCAGGCTGGGTGCAGTGGCTCATGCCTATAACCCCAGTGCTTTGGGAGGCCAAGGTGGGAAGATTGCTTGAGCCCAGGAGTTCAAGACCAGCCTGGGCAACATAGTGAGAACCCCCAGCTCTACAAAAAATAAAAAAATTTAGCTGAGTATGGTGAGTGCTTGTCTATAGTTCCAGCCACTCAGGAGGCCGAGATGGAAAGACAAACTGACCCCAGGGGTTTGAGGCTGCAGTAAGGTGTGAGTGTGCCACTGCACTCCAGCCTGGGTGATAGAGCAAGACCCTGTCGAGAAGGAAGGAAGGGAGGGAGGGAGGGAAGAAAGAAGGAAAGAGAGGGTGAGAGAGAGAGAGGAAGGGAGGAAGAGAGTGAGGAAAAAGGAAAGGGGAGGAGAGGAGAGGAAATGGGAGGGAAGCGAAGACTAACCTACAATGTCTGGGGGAATAACAGACACACTGTGTGTAAGATGCCAATAAAAGTGCTAAATACCACATTTTTCATGGGAAAATAATTATTAGAGTAATTCCACCAATTTTAAAGTGAAGCGTTGACATGTATCGCACATCACAAAAATCACATTTAGTATTTATTGAACACTTACTGCATACAATCATTATGGTTGATATTTCACAGAATATCACTTACGTAATTTCAAAAACCTCACGTTTACAATGTTATCTCCGTGTCAGGGAGGATGACACAGGACCCAAGAGGATCAAAAATATGCAGATTCCCCAGAAACTCATGCTGGAAAGATTGCATTTTTATTATGATGATTGTATTCATTTCTTTTAAATAATGATATTTGAATGCAGTGATATTTTAAACACTGGGTGATCTGTGATGCTTCTCCTATAAACTTGTTTCACAGAAAACCAGCTTACCCAGGTATAGGCTCAGTTTTTAGAGTATTGCAGTCAGCACAGTTTCTGAAGACAGAATCAATCTGGGACACTTCTGCATTGAATAAAAGATGAACTGACATGTCGCCTCTGCTATCAGAGTCTCCTTGGGCGAAATAGTGAATCAGGGCATGTTGAACGAACATAGGTCTTTTGGGGCTCTGTAATGCTGCCTGCTGCTATAATATTTACAGATTCTCATGCATAGAGTTAGAAGAGATTGAGGAGATCGTTGGAGGGTTTTTGTTTGTTTGTTTTTTGTTTTTGTTTTTGTTTTGACACAGAGTCTTGCTTTGTCTCTAGGCTGGAGTACAACGGCACGATCTCAGCTGACTACAATCTCCACCTCCGGATTCAAGCGATTCTCCTGCCTCAGCCTCCCGAGTAGCTGGGACTACAGGTACACACCACCACACATGGCTAATTTTTGTATTTTTAGTAGAGATGGGGTTTCACCTTGTTGGCCAGGCTGGTCTCAAACTCCTGACCTCAGGTGATCCACCTGCCTCAGCCTCCCAAAGTGCTGGGATTACAGGGCATGAACCACTGTGCCCGGCCCTTTGAGGGGTTTTTAATCTGTAGTTTATTGAGAGGAACTTGAATCTTAATCTTGATTCTTTAACAGAGTGCAATTTGACATTTAATGTCGATTTAAGTTACATTTTTTGTTTCAGAATGATTTCAGATTTGCAGAAAAGTTTCAAACATACCACAAGGAGCTCTTTTATACCCCCGTCATAAACATCTTCAATTAGTACGGTGCATTTGTGGCAATTAACCAACCACTCTTGATACATTACTATTAACCAGCCCATACCCTATTCAGATTTCTTTAGTTTTTTTCTAATGTTTAGGATCCCATCCAGGGTCTGTCAGTCAAGAAAATTAGAAGACAATTGTCAATCATTTTAGGAAGTTTATTTGCCAAAGTTAAGGATGCGCACCTGTGACACAGCCTCATGGGGTCCTGATGACATGTGCCCTAGGTGGTCGGGGCACAGCTTGGTTTTATACATTTTAGGCACACATGAGCCATCAATCAATATATGTAAGAAGTCCATTGGTTCCTTCCAGAAAGGCGGGGACAACTGGAAGCAGAGAGGGAGCTTCCAGGTCACAGGTAGGTGGGAAACATATGGTTGCTTCTTTTGAGTTTCTGATTAGCCTCTCCAAAGGAGGCAATTAGAATATGCGTCTATCTCAGTAAGCAGAGGGGTGACCTTGAATAAAATGAGAGGCCGATTTGCCCTGGGCACTTCCCAGCTTGTCGGGGCCCGGGTTAGTTTCCTTTCACAGGCCCCACAGTTCCACAGGGTGTTTAGTTATTACTTCTACCTGGGTTCCCTCTTGGCTGGGACAGTTTTCCAGACGTTTCTTGATTCAGATGAATGACCTGGACAGCTTTGAAAAGCACTGGGCAAGCCTTTTGACGGAAGTCCTTTTATTGGGATTTTTCTCATGTTTTCTTTCTTTTTCTTTGAGATGGAGTCTCACTCTGTCGCCTAGGTTGGAGTGCAGTGGCGCAGTCTCGGCTGACTGCAACCTCTGCCTCCCGCGTTCACGCCATTCTCCTGCCTCAGCCTCCTGAGTAGCTGGGACTACAGGTGCCCGCCACCATGCCCACAGCTGATTTTTTTAATTTTAATTTTTTAATTATTACAGGAGTGAGCCACCGCCCCTGGCCTTTTCTGATGTTTTCTTCATGATTAGATGGGGTTTGGGGGCCGGGCGTGGGGGCTGACCCTTATAATCCCAGCACTTTGGGAGGCCGAGGCGGGCAGATCACGAAGTCAGGAGATCGAGACCAGTCTGACAAACATGGTGAAACCCCATCTGTACTAAAAATACAAAAATTAGCCAGGTATGGTGGTGCCCACCTGTAATCCCAGCTACTCGGGAGGCTGAGGCAGGACAATCGCTTGAACACAGGAGGCAGAGGTTGCAGTGAGCCGAGATCATGCCACTGCACTCCAGCCTGGGCGACAGAGTGAGACTCCATCTCAAAAAAAAAAAAAAAAAAAAAAAAAGATGCGGGTTGTGGGTTTTTTGGGGGAACGACCACAAGTTGGACAGGCCCTTCTCGTCATATCCTAACAAGGGTACACACTCTCACAACCACAAGACTTCTCACAGTGCATGTTGACCTCAGTTATCTGGTCGAGATGGTGTTTGTCAGCTTTCTTCACTAAAAAATTATCCTTCCCCCGGCCTCTTTCCCATGCTGTACATTTTAGGAGAAAATCATTATGTCCTACACACACTTAAGAAACGCGTCAGTAGATTTTTGAAAACGAAACACTTCTAAGTGATTTAATTTCCTTATTGAAACAGTGGATAATAGGTTTCTGGTGTTATTACGGTGGAGAAAATATCCAATATTGAGTATGAGAAGGCTTAACAATGAGCAAACTTCTGTGTAATAATAATAATCGCATTTTGTGGGGTTTTTTGTTTTCTTTTGTTTTGTTTTAGCTTTTGTTTTTGAGATGCAGTCTTGCTTTGTTGCCCAGGCTGGAGGGCAGTGGTATGATTTCAGCTCACTGCAACCTCCGTGTCCTGGGTTCAAGCGATTCTCCTGCCTCAGCCTACCAAGTAGCTGGGACTACAAGTGCACGCCACCATGCCCGGCTAATTTTGGTATTTTTAGTAGAGACAGGGTCTCACCATATTGGCTAGGCTGCTCTTGAACCTTGGCCTCAAGTGATCCCCCCACCTTGGCCTCCCAGAGTGTTGGGATTACAGGTGTGAGCCACTGCGCCCGGCACATTTTGTTTTTAATAGTAAAATAATCACAAGTGTAATTCGACCAATTTTTAAAGTGAAGCATTGAAATGTATCGCACATCACAAAAATCACATTTAGTATTTATTGAGCACTTACTGCATACAATCATTATGACCGATATTTTATATAATATTACTTATGTAATTTTAAAAACCTCACATTTAGAATGTGAGATTTCTCTCAAATCATCTCACTTCAAAGGCCTCGCCATACCAGGAGCTAAGTCATAAGACATGACGTAATGTTTTCATGACAGATGAAAGTGCTGAGACTCGAATTCTGAGGCCAAAGCCTTCTCTTGCTTGACCACTTGAAACTTGAATCCTTTTTTTTCTCCTTTTTTTTTTTTTTTTTTGAAATAGAATCTCACCCTGTCACCCAGGCTAGAGTGCAGTGGCACGATCTTGGCTTCCTGCAACCTCCACCTCTTGGGTTCAAGTGATTCTTCTGCCTCAGCCTCTGAAGTAGCTGAGATTACAGGCATGCACCAGCATGCCCGGCTAATTTTTGTATTTTTAGTAGAGACAGAGTTTCACTATGTTGGCCAGGCTGGCCTCGAACTCCTGACCTCAGGTCATCTGCCCACCTCAGCCTCCCAAAATACTGAGATTACAGGCATAAGCCACTGTGCCTGGCAAATCTGAATCCTTAAAGTTGCTCTTAATTCTCGACTCTCACTTCCAGTCGTTGAAGAATAGTGTGTATTGGACAGAACGTCCCGGAGATCACAAGGATAAACTCTGGATGAAGCCTTTTAAAAAACGATGTGAAGACCCTTGGCCCCAAACAGGCAGAAATGTGGGCAGAGGAACTCTCTGACAAATGGGGAACTGCCCTGTGAAGATTAGCATTTGCACGTCCTTTCTGCAGGGGGCTTCCCAAAGTCGCTTAATTCTGGGGAAGTGAGAACTTCTGCAGGTTTACTAGCCTGAAGAGTCACGAGAGAGCTGGCAGCTGCCAGAGACCCTGCAACACGAGGAGGAAATGTTTAAAAGGGGAATATGCAACGGTTTAAGGGAACTCCAAGTCTGGATTTGAACGCTGCCCAAATATTTGGTCATCTGGATTATGCATGTGTGGGGAGACCTCAGAGAACCAAGAGGAATCCATCAGTGTGATGTTGAAAGAACTGAGCAGATATTTAAACTCCTGCCCACTTCAGCAAACACAAAGATTAAAGTGTATATCCAGCGAAGCTAACTGTCTGATAGACTCTTCTATAGAGGAATAGACTCTTTCTATAAAGGAAAATACCTGACTGCACCACAACGTATCATCCTCAATGTCCATGATAAAATTGTTTTTTTAAAAAACAGACACGTAGGAACAGGAAAAGTAAATACCCAATGTTAATATTCATGTTCAGAGCTCTTAGCACGGTTTTGACACATTCAGGCAGAATACGTCCACCGTGATTCCTCTTACTCTCTTAGAAAAAACAATCAGAGGCCACATAATTACGAAGACTTTTCTGGTACACACAGTAAAACCAGAGGTCAAGAGTCTCTGGAAAAGAGGGCAAAGCAAGCATTTAAGCTTGGTGATAATAATGATGATGGTGATGGTGATAATGAAGATGGTGATGATGATGGTGACGATGAGGATGATGGTGATGATGATGGTGACAGTGGTGATGGTGATGGTGAGGATGATGATGGTGATGATGGCGACAGCGATGATGATGGCGAGGATGATGATGGTGATGATTATGGCGAGAGTGATGATGGTGAGGATGGTGATGATGATGGTGAGGATGATGATGATGTGTATGAGGATGATGGCAGTGATGATGTTGGTGAGGATGATGACGGTGATGATGATGGTGAGGATGATGATGGTGAGGATGATGATGGTGAGGATGATGGTGAGGATGATGATGATGTGTATGAGGATGATGGCGGTGATGATGACGGTGATGATGATGGTGATGATGATGGTGAGGATGATGATGGTGAGGATGGTGATGGTGATGATGGTGAGGATGATGATGGTGAGGATGATGATGGTGATGATGATGGTGAGGATGATGATGGTGATGGTGAGGATGATGATGGTGAGGATGATGATGGTGAGGATGATGATGGTGATGATGATGGTGAGGATGATGATGGTGATGATGATGGTGAGGATGATGATGGTGATGATGATGGTGATGATGATGATGGTGAGGATGATGATGGTGATGATGATGGTGAGGATGATGATGGTGAGGATGATGATGGTGAGGATGATGGTGAGGATGATGATGGTGAGGATGATGATGGTGAGGATGATGATGGTGATGATGATGGTGAGGATGATGATGGTGAGGATGATGATGGTGAGGATGATGATGGTGAGGATGATGGTGAGGATGATGATGGTGATGATGATGGTGAGGATGATGATGGTGATGATGATGGTGATGATGATGGTGAGGATGATGATGGTGAGGATGATGATGGTGACAGTGAGGATGATGGTGAGGATGGTGATGATGATGGTGAGGATGATGATGGTGACAGTGAGGATGATGGCGATGATGGTGATGATGATGGTGAGGATGATGATCATGGTGATGATGGTGAGGATGATAATGGTGATGGTGATGATGGTGATGATGATGGTGAGGATGATGATGATGGTGAGGATGGTGAGGATGATAATGGTGATGGTGATGATGGTGATGATGATGGTGAGGATGATGACGATGGTGATGGTGATGATGGTGATGATGATGGTGAGGATGATGATGATGGTGAGGATGATGATGATGAGGGTGATGATGATGGTGACAGTGAGGATGATGATGATGATGGTGATGACAGTGACGATGATGAAGAATGTTGTTGGTAATTACAGACTTCCTGAGCTACCAACTTGGACATCTGTACAACGATACAAATTTTGAGGAAAACTGTCAGACATTTTCTCATCAGGAAAAAATTTTCTTTCTGTATTAGTTTGTTCTCACATTGCTATAAAGAACTACCTGAGACTGGGTATTTCATAAAGAAAGGAGGTTTAATTGAGTCACAGATTCACAGGCTGTACAGTAAGCATGGCTGTGGAGGCCTCACAGTTCTGCCGGCTGTACATGCTTCTGCTCCTGGGGAGGCCTCAGCAAACTTACAGTCGTGGTGAAGGGAAAGGTGAAGCGCACACATCTTCACATGGTGGAGCAGGAGAGAGAGAGTGAAGGAGAAGGTGCCACACACTTTTAAACAACCAGATCTCCTGAGAACTCTATCACGAGGCCGGGTGCGGTGGCTCACGCCTCTAATCCCAGCACTTTGGGAGGCTGAGGCAGGGGGATCACTTGAGGTCAGGAGTTCAAGATCAGCCTGACCAACATGGTGAAACCCCATCTCTACTAAAAATAGAAAAATTAGCCAGGCTTGGTGGCAGGCGCCTGTAATCCCAGCTACTCTGGACACTGAGGCAGGAGAATCGCTTGAACCCAGGAGTCAGAGGTTTCAGTGAGTGGAGATTGTGCCATTGTACTCCAGCCTGGGCTACAAGAGCAAAACTACATCTCAAACAAACAAAATTCTATCACAAGACAGCACTGGGGGATGATGGTAAGCCATTAGAAACAACCCCTGTTATTCACCCACCTCTCACCAGGCCCCACCTCCAACACCACAGATGACAATTCAACGTGAGCTTTGGGCAGAGACACAAATCCAAACCATGTCACATTCCATATCATAGAAATAAAGAAGAGATGGAACATACATAGGATTTTTTTTTTTTTTTTGAGAAAGAGTGTCGCTCTGTCGTCACCCAAGCTGGAGTGCAGTGGCGCGATTTCTGCTCACTGCAACCTCTGCCTCTCGGGTTCAAGTGATTCTCCTGCCTCAGCCTCCTGAGTGGCTGGGACTACAGGCACCCGCCACCATGCCCAGGTAATTTTTTGTATTTTTAGTAGAGACGGGGTTTCATCATGTTAGCCTGGATGGTCTCGATCTCCTGACCTCGTGACCCACCAACCTTGGCCTCCCAAAGTGCTGGGATTACAGGCATGAGCCACCATGCCCGGCCTCACAGATAGGATATTTAAACTGGAGACCAAAATGCACCCTGAAAAATGAACGTGCGGTCATCGTTCAGACAAAAATGTTGAAAGTGAAAGCACTGAGAATGACTTTAAGACTTAGAATGTGAGAATAATGTACTCTCCCTCAGTCCTTAGAATTCCGACAGGAGCAGATCATGTCTGAGAACTTAGCCTTTTCTGGATTTCATACATGGAACATATGGGAATGTAAAGCAAAGAAAAACTGTTTTTCCATTATGATGCTTTTACAGAACATGTAGTTGAATAGACTCTATGGTGGACAAGCATGCAATGGAGAATGAAGACAGAAACCTCAGGCTGGACACAGTAGCTCATGCCTGTAATCCTAGCATTTTGGGAGGCCAAGACGGGAGGATTGCTTGAGGCCAGGTGTTTAAGACCAGCCTGGTTAACATAGCAAGACCCCATCTCGAAAGAAAGAAAGAAAAAAAAAGAAAGGAAAAGAAAAAAGAAGGAAGGGAGGGAGGGAGGGACGGAGGGAGGGAGGGAAGGGAGGGAGGGAGGGGAAGAAGAAAAAAGAATAAGAAGAAGGAGAGAAAGAACAAAGAGAAGAAAGAAAGAAAGAGAAAGAAAGAGAAAGAAAGAAAGAGAAAGAAAGGAAGGAAGAGAAAAAAAGAAAAGAAAGAGAAAGAGAGAAAGAGAAAGGAAGGAAGGAAGAAATCTGACCTTAGAAAGATACATTGGAGCTGAAACAAAAATGTAGTCATCATTAGCTGTTTAAAGTACATTTTCTTTTTTTTTTTTTTTTTTTGGGACGAAGTTTTGCTCTTGTTGCCCAGGCTGGAGTATAGTGGCGCAATCTCAGCTCACTGTAACCTCCTCCTCCTGGGTTCAAGTGATTCTCCTGCCTCAGCCTCCCGAGTAGCTGGGATGGCAGGTGCCTGCCACCATGTCTGGCTAATTTTTTGTATTTTTAGTAGAGATGGGGTTTCATCATGTTGGCCAGGCTGGTGTTGAACTCCTGACCTCAGGTGATCCACCCGCCTCGGCCTCCCAAAGTGCAGGAATTACAGGCGTGAGCCACCATGCCCAGCCTAAAGTATACTTTCAATGAAAGCACACAGACAGGTTTATGTGGGGTTTGGTGACTGCCAGCCCCTGAATCTTACGAAGCTTCCCACTCTGAAGAAAGAACAACACAGCCTGCCTTCTCTGCACCTGTTCTTATTGTCTTTCTGCTCGTTACAATGAAAGAGAATTTTAAACTGGATAACAGATTTAGAAACAGATTTCAAAGACACCATCTCTTTAATCTCCCCCCCAACACCAGACACTTCAGATATAAACATTCTATGAGTGCCCACATAGTCACTGAAACGATCACAGCTGCTTCCAAAACTAAGGATCTCAAAAGGTCAAAAACAACAAAAAAACCCTACAATGTTCATTGTCTGAAATTTGCTAAAGTAAAACTGTGCAGAACTTTGAATAAATACAGCTTCAGAAAACTGACCATCCCTTGTCTAAAGCCCAGAGTAGGAAAGACCAATCAAGCTTGAGGCTGAAAAGAAGCATTTCTTTTTTGTTTTGTTTTTGTTTTTGAGACAGGTTCTCGCTCTGTGGCTTAGGCTGGAGTGCAGTGATGCAGTCACGGCTCACTGCCATCTCCGCCTCCTGGGCTCAAATGATTCTCCCACCTCAGCTTTCAAGTAGCTGGCATCACAGATGCATGCCACCATGCCTGGCTAATTTTTTGTATTTTTGAGAGACAGAGTTTCGCCATGTTACTCAAGCTGGTCTTGAACTCCTGAGCTCAAGTGATCTTCCCACCTCGGCTTCCCAAAGTGCTGGGAATACAGGCATGAGCCACTGCACCTGGCCAGAAAGGGAAAAATTTATAATCATTTTTATCCTTCACAAGCAAAGATGGGCCATAACTAGCATGTTTTTTTGGGTTTTTTTTTTTGTTTTTTTTTTTTTGTTTTTTGAGACGGAATCTCACTCTGTCACCCAGACTGGAGTACAGTGACACGATCTTGGCTCACTGCAACCTCTGCCTCCCGGGTTCAAGAGATTCTCCTGCCTCAGCCTCCCAAGCAGCTGGGATTACAGGCGCCCACCACCATGCCTGGCTAATTTTTGTATTTTTTTTTTAGTAGAGACGGTTTTTTAGCATATTAGCCAGGCTGGTCTTGAACTCCTGACCTTGTGATCCACCCGCCTTGGCCTCCCCAAGTGCTGGGATTACACTAGCATGCTTTTTTATGCACAGGTCATGAAGTCATGTTACAATCAATGGCTTTGCATGTGCAGCTGTTATTATATCATGGTGGCATCATGGTAAAATGAGGTTTGTTTGATGGAATGAAGGACAGGGGAAAATGTCAAAGAGAACATTGCTTGTCGTCACTCATATGTGAGAGCTTAAAAAATTGAACTCACGGAGATAGAGAGTAGAATGATGGTGACTGGGGACTGGGAAGGTTAGTGGGAGGGGATGATTAAGAGAGGATGGTTCATGGGTACAAAAATACAGTTGGATAAAAGAAATACAGTCTAGTGTTTGGCCAAACCATAGGGTGACTGTATTCACAATAATTTATTGTGTATTTCAAAATAACTGAAAGAGTGGAATTGGAATGTGATTTCCACAAAGAAATTATAAATGCTTAAGGTGATGGGTACCCTAATTATCCTGATTTCATCATGACACATTCTATGCTGATATCAAAATATCACATGTGGGGTGGGTGGGGGGCAAGGGGAGAGAGAGCATTAGGACAAATACCTAATGCATACGGGGCTTAAAATCTAGATGATGGGTTGATGGGTGCAGCCAACCACAATGGCACATGTATACCTATGTAATAAACCTGCACGTTCTGCACCTGTATCCCAGAACGTAAAGTAAAAAAATATATATATGTATATGTATGTATATATATATATATCTCACATGTACCCCATAAATTTGTACAACTATTATGTATGTGTGAAAGGAAAATAAATCTCGGGATCCCAGAATCACTTAGCCAAAGGGAAAAGTCGATCTGGGAGCTGTTTTGGGCAAACCCGTCTCCCATTCTATTCTAAAATAAGATAGTTACAAAGATTTGTTTAAAAGCTACATGCTTCCCTCATAATATCCCCACAGGGAAATTCCTTGTAGACAAAGGACAGAAATAACTCATAGTTAAGGCGGGTGTGGTGGCTCACACCTGTAAATCCTAGCACTTTGGGAGGCTGAGGCAGGTGGATCAATCACCTGAGGTCAGAAGTTCGAGACCAGCCTGGCCAACATGGGGAAACCCCATCTCTACTGAACATACAAAAATTAGCCAAGCATGGTGGCAGGTGCCTGTAATCCCAGCTGCTCGAGGAGCTGAGGCAGGAGAATCGCTTGAACCCAGGGTACAGAGGTTGCAGTGAGCTGAGATCGCGCCACTGCACTCCAGCCTGGGCAACAAGAGCAAGATTCTGTCTTAAAATAAATAAAATAAATAAATAGAACTCAAAGTTATCCCTCTGCTCACGTGAGACAAATGCATACCTGATTGCTTCCTCTACCCTCTTGTTTCACTAAGCCAGACTAAGGCATAAGTGAGTATTCCTGTACATCGTGCTTTCAGTACAAGGCTAATCAGAAACTCGAAAGAAAGCAACCATTTGTCTCTTATCAGCCTATGAAATGCAGGCTCTCTCCCTGCCTCGAGTTGTGCCACCTTTCCGGACAGAACCAATGTACATCTTCCATAGACTGATTGATGTCTCATGCCTCCCTAAGATGCATAAAACCAAGCAAGCTGTGCCCCAAACACTTTGGGGACATGTTGTCAGGAGTTCCTGAGGCTGCATCTTCAAATTTGGCAAAATAAACTTTCTAAATTGATGGAGACTTGTCTCAGGTACTTTTTGGTTTTCATACGTAGAATAACTAAAAATTTTAAAAAAAGAAAAACAGAGAAGGCTGTCGGCAGCACTCCCGTCTGTCTGGGAGATCCTGACTTATTGTTTTGGAAATGATACCAGCATCAGCAGCCCCCACGCGCGATAGAGATGTGCTCAGGGACTCTGGGGGGAGCTCACAGCTGTTGCAGCTTCTATGTGCTCTACCTGACTATTTTCAGACTTCCTGTGAGTTCCTGTGGGCAAATGAGCCATCCTGGCTCCAAACAACTTCTTCTGCTTCTTTTGTGTGTGTGTGTGTCTGAGACAGGGTTTTGCTTTGTTGTCCAGGCTGCAATAGTACCATCACAGCTCAAGCCATCCTCCCACCTCAGCATCCCAAGTAGCTGGGACCACAGGTGCAGGCCACCACAGCCAGCTCATTTTTTTTTTTTTTTTTTTTTAATTTTCAGTAGACATGAGGCTTCGCTCTGTTGCTCAAGCCGGTCTTGAACTCCTGGCCTCAAGTGATCCTCTTGCCTCGGCCTCCCAAAGTGCTGGGATTATGGGTGTGAGCCACCGTGCCCAGCTGAGGCTCTGCTTCTGAAAAAACCACCTCTGGAACTCAGAGTTAGAAACAGCAAGAATCATGCACCTTCAGCATCAGAAGGAATGCCCCAAATTGGCGATGTTCTCCCTCCCTTGTTACAGAGTCCTTAAGAAACTGAGCTGGGGCCGGGTGTGGTGGTTCATGCCTGTAATTCCAGCACTTTGGGAGGCCGAGATGGGCAGATTACTTGAGGTCAGGAGTTTGAGACCAGCTTGGCCAACATGGTGAAACCCTGTCTCTACTAAAAATACAAAAATTAGCTGGGCGTGGTGGTGTGTGCCTGTAATCCTAGCTACTCAGGATGCTGAGGCAGGAGTATTGCTTGAACCCGGGAGGCAGATGAGCCAAGATTGTACTACTGCACTCTAGTGAGCCAAGATTGTACTACTGCCCTCCAGCCTGGGCAACAGAGTGAGACTCCGTGTCAAAACAAACAAACAAACAAACAAGAAACTGAACTGGTATGCAACTTCTCTAAAGTCAAATTTCAGGACAGGGGCTGGAAAGTTTCATCAGACCCACCTGTGGCAGGCCAGGTCTCACTAACAGCTGAACAGGCAGGCCTCCGTGGCAACCGTTTCAGCACTCACTGACCAGTGGAGTTACATATTAAAAGCTGAAACAACCAGTGCCCTTATACAAAGGCTGGAATGTAACAAAAGCCCACCAAGAGTTTTGCCCGGGGCTTTCCTGGGCCTTAAAGCATGAAAAGATAACGAAGGAATTCTTAACAGGACCTGTTTCAGATTAAACAAGTTTTACTGGGGTTCTGAAGGAACTCTGCAGGCCTCCACAAACAAGTTTTATTGGGGGTCTAAAGGAACTCCCCAAACCTCCATGATTTAGCAGGAGACAAGATAAGGGTAATCACCCCAGCACCTGGAACCATCTAGATTAAGTCAATTTACTGAGGCTCCAGAGGAAGGTCTTCAGGACTCAGACCTTAGTTACAGATTAGAAGAAGTGAATCACTTATGTCTTTTTTTTTTTTTTTTGAGACCTCTCGCTCTTGTCCCCCAGGCTAGAGTGCCATGGCGCAATCTCAGCTCACCGCAACCTCCGCCTCCCGGGTTCAAGTGATTCTCCTGCCTCGGCCCCCACCCCCACCCCCAAGTAGCTGGGACTACAGGTGCATGCCACCACTCCCAGCTAATTTCTGTCTTTTTAGTAGAGATGGGATTTCACTATGTTGGCCAGGTTGGTCTAGAACTCCTGACCTCAGGTGATCCGCCCATCTTGGCATACCAAAGTGCTGGGATGACAGGCGTGAGCCACCGCGCCCGGCCTCACTTATGTCTTTAGATGGATACACACTTATATGTAGACATATATTTTAGAAGATACATAAGGTCTGGAAAATTTTGTAATTTGGAGTTGGTCTGGCGATATTTTCCCAGCCTTCTCCCTGTACCCAGTTACAGAAATAAACTCTGTTCTTTCCCAATTCATCTGCGTCTCATTATGGGGCCATGACAATAAGCGGTCTGACACTCGGTTCGGTCTGGGAACACACCTGCCAGACTGGGCAGGGGGTTGTCTCTGCATATCGTTCTCATAGGTGGAAACCTGTGATTTGTATTCCTGGAAACTCCAATCTCTAAAACTCCTTGTAAACAAAACCAAAGTGAAAATAAACCTCTGCCCTGAAATAGCAGTTCCTTGATGCTTTCATGTCCTTGTGGATGAAAATCATAGTTCTGTGCCCATCAAAGCTTTGTGGGCTCGAGAGATGCAATTGTGATACTGATTAAAAATAATAATAAACATACTAATGACCATAGCATCAATCCCAACAATGAGCTGTCAGGCTTGCCCCCAAGGCATGAGGAAATGATCACCCTGAAGGTGATACAGGCAGGAGACAGGGAAATACTGGGTAGAAGAGGGTGGTTCCCCAGCAAAGGCCCCACCCTCACGCCTGGAAACCCACAGCCTGAAATGAGAACAGGCATGCCTGTATTCACACCCAAACGTTGCCTTTTGGCCCCCCACTCCCCCCATCCTGTACCCATATAAATCCCAAACCCCTGGCTCCAGGAGGAGACGAACCGAAGAGCAAAAGATTGGCAGAAAGAAGAGAAGGAGTGTCTGAATGCTGAGAGGAGTTTAGCTGGGGACGGTTGGAGAGATCGGCTGCTGGACGGCCAAACTCCAGGGGAAGACCATCTTCCCACTCCATTCCCTTTCCAGCTCCCCATCCATCCAGCTGAGAGCCACCTCCACCACTCAATAAAACCCCTGCATTCATCATCCTTCAAGTCCATGGGTGACCTGATTCTTCCAGGACACTGACAAGGACTTGGCCACCAAGGAGGCACAAGCTGTCCACAGAGAGCAAACACTCAAGTTGTCTGCGGACAGCAAAGCCAAAAGAATGCACTGTAACACACAACAACTTGGGCTTCAGGAGTTGCAGGCACCCAGCCCTTCATGCTACCATGGGGCCAGATCCCCAAAGTGTTTGCCCCGGCTTCTGCATCTGTCCGTCTGCGTGCTCTCCATCCTGTAAGGGGTTTGAGCACGCAGCGGCCAAACAGATGAGCCATACCTTTGTTGCACATACTGCCCAGATCTATCAATCAATCAATTATCATCTGGTTATTATCTATTAATATCTATTTGTCTATCCATCCATCCCATTGTATCTATCATCTATGTATTATCTATTAATATCTATCTATTGCTGGGTGCAGTGGCTTACGCCTGTAATCCCAGCACTTTGGGAGGCAGGGGCAGGTGGATCACGAGGTAAGGAATTTGAGACCAGCCTGGCCAATATGGTGAAACCCTGTCTCTACTAAAAATACAAAAATTAACAGGGCATGGTAGTGGGCACCTGTAGTCCCAGCTACTCAGGAGGCTGAGGCAGGAGAATTGCTTGAATCTGGGAGGTGGAGGCTACAGTGAGCTGAGATCATGCCACTGCACTCCGGCCTGGGTGACAGAGTGAGACTCTGTCTCAAAAAAAAAAAAAAAATCTATCTATCCATCCATCCCATTTTATCTATTATCTATGTATTATCTATTAATATCTATCCATCCCATTGTGTCTATCATCTATGTATTATCTATTAATATCTATCAATATATCTATCTATTGATCTATGTATCCATCCATCCATCCCATTGGTACTGTTTCTCTGGAGAACCCAGATTAATATAGATGCTAATAACACCTTTAATGGAACTTAACAGAGCAATGCTGTCTCCACACATTCCAGCTGGTGGATATTATTTGTGATGGAAACAGATTTGATACTTGGCACTCTAAAAATATAAAGTATCACAGGCATGTATTGTAGAACATCCTTATTGTCAAAAAGTTGCCCAAATAATTTAGAATTTTTTGATAAAAAAAGCATTGAGGGCCGGGCGCAGTGGCTCACACCTGTAATCCCAGCACTTTGGGAGGCAAAGGTGGATGGATCACCTGAGGTCAGGAGTTTGAGACCAGCCTGGCCAACATGGTGAAATGCCATCTCTACTAAAAATACAAAATTAGTTGGGCATGGTGATGGGCACCTGTAATCCCAGCTACTGGGGAGGTTGAGGCAGGAGAATCACTTGAACCCGGGAGGTGGAGGTTGCAGTGAGCTGAGATCTGCCACTGCACTCCAGCCTGGGGGACGAGAGCGAGACTCCATCTCAAAAAAGAAAAAAAAGGAAAAAAGAAAAAGCCTTGAGGATGTTTCATGCTCACAGCCAGTTGAGAACACCAGCCAAGACAGAGGCTGAGATATACATGAAATGGTATTGACTTTTCATTAACATCTTACCCTATGAATTCTGGGGATTTTTCACAATGATATTCAAAGATGTGCTCAGGGATCATTAAGGTGTGAGGAGTCTGATAATGTGAAGCATTATATAAAGCGGATGGCGGATAATTCAGCTCAGAATCTTTCAGCACTTCCCAGACATTGTATCCCAAACTCCACGGAAACCATCCACTAATGCACAGGACAACTTTTTTTTTTTTTTTTTTTTTTTTTTTTTAAGATGGAATCTCACTCTGTCGCCAGGCTGGAGTGCAGTGGCATGATCTCGGCTCACTGCAACCTCCGCTTCCCAACTTCAAGGGATTCTCCTGCCTCAGCCTCCCGAGTAGCTGAGATTGCAGGTGTCTGCCACCATGCCCGGCTAATTTTTGTAGTTCTTAGTAGAGACAGGGTTTCACTATGTTGGGCTGGCTGGTCTCAAACTCCTGACTGCAGGTGATCCACCCGCCTCAGCCTCCCAAAGTGCTGGGATTCCAGGCGCGAGCCACTGCACCCGGCCCAGAATACCTCTTTATGAGAGTTTACTCTGGGGATAACCTCTGCCTAGGCATGTACCAGTGCTCAGCCACAGGGCCCATGACTTTGAGGAATTAAACACTGAAACACAAAATAAAACATGAGACCAGGTGTGGTCGCTCATGCCTGTAATTCCAGTAGTTTGGGAAACCAAGGAGGGAGGATCCTTGAGGCCAGGACTTTGAGACCTGCCTGGGCAACATGGTGAGACTCCATCTCTATAAATTTTTTTTTTTTTTTTTTTTTTAGTTGGAGACTTGCTCTGTCGCCCAGGCTGGAGTGCAGTGGCACGATCTCAGCTCACTGCAACCTCCACCTCCCGACCTCCCTAGGTTCAAGTGATTCTTTTGCCTCAGCCTCCTCAGTAGCTGGGACTACAGGTGCATGCCACCATGCCCGACTAATTTTTGTATTTTTAGTAGAGACGGGTTTTCACCATGTTGGCCAGGCTCGTCTCGAATTCCTCAAGTGATCCACTCGCCTCAGCCTGACAAACTGCTGGGATTACAGCAAAAAAAATTTTTTTTAATTAGTCACACGTGGTGGCGTGTGCCTGTAGTACCAATGACTTGAGAGGCTGAGGCAGGAGGATCCGTTGAGCCTGGGAGATTGAGGCTGCAGTGAGCTATGACTGTGCCACTGCACTTAAGCCTGAGCAACAGAATGAGACCTCAACAGGAAGAGAGAGACACAGAGACAGAGAGAGAGAGAGAGAGAGAGAAGAGAAAGAAAAAGAAAGAGAAAGGAGAAAGAGAAACAAAGGAGAAAGAAAAAGAAAGAGAAAGAGAAGAGAAAAAGAGAGAGAAAAAGAGAAGAGTAAGGAGAAAAAAGAGAAAAGGGAAAGAAAAAGAGAAAAAGAAAACGAGAGAGAGAGAAAGCAAGCAAAAGAAAAAAGAAAGAGAAGAAAGAAAGAGAGGAAGGAAGGAAAAGAGAGAGAAACAAAGGCAAGCAAAGAAAGAAAGAAAATAAAGAAAAGAATAAAGGAAACATGAATCACAGCTAAGGTCAATTGGGACATCAAAATGGATTACAATAGTCTATTATATTATTACTAATGAATTACATGGTTATTTACTGGGATTCTACTATGTGCACGAGAGAATTAGCACCAGGAATAGGAGAGAGATACAGAGGCTGTGTCCCCACGCACAGGGAGACTGGCCCACATATCTTACAACCAGGAAGGTTGCTTTCCAGGCTGCTAAATTTCAAGGAGAATCTCACGGGAGGGAGGCACTGCGCTATCAGGAATTGTTGCTAGTGGGCTGAACTTTGACCCCACAGGTGCTATTTAACAGAACAAGATTCCCTGGAGAAACCTCAAGCTGTTTCTGTTTAGAATGTGGCTAACATCACTGAAGCCCTCCTGCATGACCAGGGGCTGACAGGAACAGACCACCCCAGCCCACGGTGATGTTTTCGGATCAGGCCCCCTGAAGGGCCACACTGTGGCCATCTTTGCCTCTTCCACTAAAAAATATACCAGATATGGTGGCTCATGCCTGTAATCCCAGCTCTTTGGGAGGCTGAGGCAGGACGATTACTTGAGCCCTGGAGTTTGAGACCAGCCTGGGCAACATAGCAAGATCCCATTTCTACCAAAAGAAAAAAAAGAGCCAGGCATGGTGGTGTGCACCTGTGGTCCCAGCTACTTGAGAGGCTGAGGCAGGAAGATTGTTTGAACCCAGGAGATGGAGGCTGCAGTGACTGGAGATCGCAGCACTGCACTCCAGCCTGAGCAATAGTGTGACCTCATATATCTTTCTTTCTTTTTTTTTGAGACGGAGTTTCGCTCTTGTTGCCAAGGCTTTAGTGCAATAGCTTGATCTCAGCTCACTGCAGCCTCCGCCTCCCAGGTTCAAGCAATTCTCCTGCCTCTGCCTCTCAAGTAGCTGGGATTACAGGCGCCTGCCACCATACCCAGCTATTTTTTTTGGTATTTTTAGTAGACATAGGTTTTCACCGTGTTGGCTAGGCTAGTCTGAAACTCCTGACCTCAGGTGATCTGCCCACCTCGGCCTCCCAAAGTGCTGGGATTACAGGCGTGAGCCACTGCTTCCGGCCTATGACCTCATAAATCTTACAACTGTGTTGATAAAAAGACATATTTTCTGGACTGTGTGCATGATTTATATTCATTATTATATATATTTTTTCTGATTTGAGACACATTAACTTAAAGCATTGTTATGGACCCTGAAGAGTTTCATGAGATCCTCACACTCAGCTTAGGATGCGTGATGGGGAAGTTGGCCCTGGGTCAACCAGAAGTCCTAAGGACAGGGCCCCCACCCTGCAATATCCTTCTCTCTCTTCCAGTAGGGGTGTCCTTCATGTAAGCTCCTCCAGGGAGCATCTCCTGCCCCTGCTGTCCTGGCCTGTTCCGGTTTAGGTGAATGCAATTTCAAACCTGCTTATGAAATCCTGAAATAGACAGGAATTTGTAAACCACGCTACTGTAGGCTGAATAATCTCCTGTCCTTCCCAAAGTCTTCCACACCTGAATCTCCCGGAACCTGTCACTATGGTAATGTCATATATGGCACCAAGGAACACTGCAGGTGCAATTGAGGTTATAAACTATTTATTTATTTATTTATTTATTTATTTATTTGAGATGGACTCTTGCTCTGTTGTCCAGGCTGAAGTGCAGTGGCTCCAGCTTGGCTCACTGCAACCTCCGCCTCCCATGTTCAAGTGATTCTCCTGCCTCAGCCTCCCGAGTAGTTGGGATTACAGGCACCCACCACCACGCCCAGCCGATTTTTGTATTATTAGTAGAGACATGGTTTCACCATGTTGGCCAGGCTGGTCTCGAACTCTTGGCCTCAGGTGATCTGCCTGCCTCGGCCTCCCAAAGTGCTGAGATGACAGGCGTGAACCTTTAAATAGGAAGAGTATGCTGGATTTCCTTGGTGGGCCCTATCTGATCACATGGGAGCCCTTGAAAGAACAGAACTTTCTCTGGCTGGAGGGAGGAGAGAAGGTGAGGGACATGGCACACAAAGTCAGTGAGATTCTAATGGTGAACTGGACTCTAAGTGGCCCCTGCTGGTTTCAAGATGAAGCAGAGCTGGCTTACAGATGGAGCAGACACTTTCAAGGACCAGAGAGAGGACTCTAAGAGCTCAGGGTTGTGCTCCCCACACCCCTTCTATGACAATCAGTGAGGAAAGGATGACTTCAGTCCCATGACAACAAGAGACTGAATTTTCTAAAAATGGGAATAAGCTTGCAAACCAATTCTTTCCAGGGCCTCCTGCGAAGAGCCCAGGGGGTAGACATCGTCATTTTGACCTTTTGTGACTGTATTAGTCCATTTTCACGCTGCTGATAAAGACATACCTGAGACTGGGTAATTTATAAAGAAAAAAAGGTTAAAGCCAAGGCGGGTGGATTACCTGAGGCCAGGAGTCTGAGACCAGCATGGCCAACATGGTGAAAACCTGTCTCTACTAAAAATACAAAAATTAGCCAGGCGTGGTGGTGGGCACCTGTAATCCCAGCTACTCCGGAGGCTGAGGCAGGAGAATTGCTTGAACCTGGGAGGTAGAGGCTGCAGTGAGCTGAGATCATGCTATTGCACTCCAGCCTTGGCAACAAGAGCGAAAACTCCATCTCAGAAAAAAAAAAGACCTTTAATGGACTCACAGCTCCATGTGACTGGGGAGGCCTCACGATCATGGCAGAAGGTGAAAAGCACGTTTTATATGGCTGCAGACAAGACAGAGAGAGCCAAGCGAAAGGGATTTCCCCTTATAAAACCATCAGATTGCTGGGCACGGTGGCTCACGCCTGTAATCCTAGCACTTTGGGAGGCCAAGGTGGGTGGATCAGCTGAGGTCAGGAGTTCGAGACCAGCCTGGCCAACATGGTGAAACCCCATCTCTACTAAAAATACAAAAAATTAGCCAGGCATGGTGGCACAAGCCTGTAATCCCAGCTACTCGCAAGGCTGATGCAGGAGAATCTCTTGAACCGGGGGGCAGAGGTTGCAGTGAGCCGAGATCCTGCCATTGCACTCCAGCCTGGGCAACAAGAGTGAAACTCTGTCTCAAAACAAAACAAAACAAAACAAAAATAACAAATAAAAAAAAACCCCATCAGATCTCATGAGACTTATTCACTGCCATGAGAACAGTGTGCGAGAAACCGCCCCCATGACTCAGTTATCTCCCACTGGGTCCCTCCCACAACACATGAGAATTATGGGAGCTACAATTCAAGATGAGATTTGGGAGGGGACACAGCGAAACCATATCAGTGACCTTGAGCAAGTGACCCGGTTGAGCCCGTTTTTGGGACATCTTACCTGCAGACTTGAGATAATAACTTTGTGTTGTTTAAAGCTGCTACATTCGTGGCCATTTATTACAGCAGTGGCTAAAAACATTCACATGGAAATCAAAGTCAATATATGACAGATGATGAAATGAGCCTCTGAGAAGATAAGTGGGTTGTGGGGAAGGTAGGGGTGTCTCCCAAACCATTGCTGGAAGCACCAGGTGATGCATTCTGCTTTTAGCCCCCCAATTCATGGCTCTAGACGTCACTATCCTTTTGCTCACAAACATCCTTTTAGATAACTACCAGAAGTCCCCAAAGGGAGGAGCATGTCGGGCTACAATAAGCCCACTCCCCTGCTGCTCCTGGTGGAATCCTTGGTCCTTCTGAATTTGGCAGTGGGGTCACGGTTTCACACCCCATGCAACGGCAGCTCTCCTGGGAAAACTTTAAGGTGGGGACAGGGGTGACTGTGGATTTTCCCAATGCTTCTGGCTGGGTGCCCTGGCCACACCTAGGCATACCTGGTCACACCTGAGGATACCTGGGCACGCCTCAGGATATCTGGACACATGGCCAAACGAGAAAGCTTCAGTTTTCTCATCTGTAGGACAGAAGGTTGCAAAGGCTGGAATAACCTTTTTTTTTTTTTGAGATGGAGTTTCCCTCTTGTTGCCCAGGCTAGAGTGCAATGGAGCAATCTCGGCTCACTGCAACCTCCGCCTCCTGGGTTCAAGCAATTCTCCTGCCTCAGCCTCCTGAGTAGCTGGGATTACAGGCATGCGCCATTATTTCCAGCTAATTTTGTATTTTTAGTAGAGACAGAGTTTCTCCATGTTGGCCAGGCTGGTCTCGAACTCCCGACCTCAGGTGATCTGCCCGCCTTGGCCCCCCAAAGTGCTGGGATTACAGGCGTGAGTCACTGTGCCTGGAGAAGCCCTCTTTTTTAATTTAATTTTTTTATATAAAAATAATAAAGACAGGTTTTGTTATGTTGCCCAGGCAGGTCTCGAACGCCTGGGCTCAAGCAATCCACCCTTCTCAGCCTCCCAAAGTGCTGGGATTGTGCGCGTGAGGCGCTGCACCTGGCCCACAAGGAGCCTTCTTAATCCAACCTGGTTACTGAATCACACCTGAGCATACCTGGCGACACCTGAGCATACTTGGGCACATGTGAAGATACCTGGCACACTTGGCCAAATGGGACAGCCCCATCCCTTGGTCTTCCTGGCCTCAGTTTCCTCATCTGTAGGACAGAGGGTTGCAAAGGCCACAAAGACCCTTCTTAACCCAGCTTGGTCACCTGGCCACACCTGAGGTCGCCGGGTAGGTCTCTGTATTCCAATCATCTTAGATCTGCACCAGAGCCCACCCAGTGGCTGGGTGCAACCTGCACACTGGGGGTGCCCCTTAGTGCCTGTTGAGGTTCTGTGGGGAGTGAGGCCTGGAGGGTTCAATTCCTATGGGAGTGGGGATGCATCCCAATGGGGGCCAAAGTTCCAGATAGGTTGTGGCCCTGCAAGGTGCCAGGGTCCCAGTGAGATGTGGAGTGTGGGGTTCTGGCTCCCAGCAGGGATAGAGTTCCTGGCTAGGGTCAGGTGACTTGCTGGTGGAGATTCTCACTCCTGGACCTCGGCAGGGGCTGGGGGGTGCCCATCGGCACGTGTATGAGGGTGCAGACCTAGAGTGAAGGTGGAGGTCTGGGTCCTGGGGATGATAGGGTTGGTGATTTAGGGTCCCAGTGTTGCAGGAGAGGGGTCCCGATCTAGCCCCCAAGAGTGGGTTCTTGGATATTGCTCAAGAAGTAATTCAAGGTAAGTCATAAGAGTACAGGGAAGTTTTAGTTTATTAGAAACTATTCCATTACATGCTGGGTGTGGTGGCTCATACCTGTAATCCCAGCACTTTGGGCGGCCGAGGTGGGCAGATTACCTGAGGTCAGGAGTTTGAGACCAGCCAGGCCAACATGGTGAAATCCCATCTCTATTAAAAATACGAAAATTATTTGGGTGTGCTGGTGCATGCCTGTAATCCCAGCTACCAGGGAGGCTGAGAGAGGAGACTCTCTTGAATCTGGGAGGTGGAGGTTGCAGTGAGCTGAGGTTGCGCCACTGCACTCCAGCCTAGGCCACAGAGCCAGACTCTGTCTCAAAAAAAAAAAAAAAGAAAAAGAAAGAAAGAAAAAAAAAGAAACTGTTTTGTCATAGAGGTGTAACACCTTGTGTTTGTTTTAAAGCTTCCTTCTATAGGGGTCTGTCTTATCTATGTAAAAGCTAGGTTATGTCTGACGGCGTGACATTTATTCCTTAGTTGATTTAGAGAGAGCCATCCTTTGCATTTTCGCGCCCAAGCACGTCCATGCATGACTGTAATTATCTTTAACAGCATATGTGGTTACGCGATATGGCGACATCCAGACATTCCGCTGTCGTCTGTGTTTGTCCTTGGAGGCATTATTAAGTCATTTCTTCAGCCGTAAACATCTTATGACCATGGGCCGTGACCGGCAAGGAATGTGTCTTCCTGGTTTTTAAGATGGAGTTGATGATTAAAATGGTGTCACCCCAGCTCTCCCAGGCTCCTGTCTCCCAAACACAGCGGGTGTTAGGATCTGTGTGGAGTCCCGGATGCCAGGTCTGGGGTCCCCTGGGGGACCAGGTGTGGGACTGGGAGGGTTGTGGTGGGGTGAAGGTCTGAGTGTCTGGGTGGGGGGTTCCATGAAGAATTCCAGTAGGAGTCTGCTGGGGGGTCCATGTGGGATTTCAGCCTTGGCCCTGGTAAGGGTCTGGGTGGGGGTTCTGTGCTGGTCTGGGGTTCCCTGAGGGAGCCCAGGTAACTCTGTGGTTGTCTGGGGTTCCCAACCAAGGTCTGAGTAGGGGTCTGCTGTCCCAGTAGGGATCAGGGTGGGGAGGGGGCTCGTGGTCCCTGAAGTAGTCTGGAGTTCTCTGCAGGGGCCGGGAAGGGGGTCTGTGATCCCTGCAGGGTTGTTGGGGGCAGGGAAGTGGAGGGGTAGGTTTGGTGGGTGGTGTCTGTGGCCTGGCAGGAATTGGGGTGGGGTCTGTGGTCTCAGTAGGAACTGGGGTGTGGGGTCCGTGCTTGGGGCAGGTTCTGTGGTGTCAGCAGGAACTGGGGTGTGGGGTCCGTGCTTGGGGCAGGTTCTGTGGTGTCAGTACGAATTAGGGTGTGGGGTCCATGGTCCTTACAGCTGTTCAGAGTCCTCTGTGGGAGTCCTGGTCCATAATCCTGGCATGGCTCTGGGTGGTTGTCTGGGGTTCCCTATGGGGTCCAAGTCCTTGTGGTCCCTGCTGAGGTCTGCGTGGGGTTACATGATTCTGGCTAAGATGGGGAGGGTGGTTCCCGTGGTGGTCCTGGTCCCCTGCAGGGTCTGGGTAGGGGATCTGTGATCCCATGGTGGGGGTCCTGGCTGGGGCTTGAATGGGGTTCCATGGTCTTGGCTGGAGTGTGGGGTCTTGGAGAGGCAGTCCAGCTGGGGTCTGTAGTCCTGGGGGGCGTCCTGGCAGGGGTCTGTGGTCTTGTGGGGTGCTGGCTGGGGCCTGTGGTCCGGGGGGTGGTTGTGATGGAGGTGGAGGTCCTAGAAGGGGGCCCCAGTAGGGGTCTGTGATCCTGGAGAGGGGTCCTGGTGGTGGGGGTCCCAGTGGAGGTCTGTGGTCCTGGGGGGCCCTGGGAGGATCTGTGGTACTGGGGAGTCCTGGTGGAGGTCTGTAGTCCTGGTGGGGTTCTTGGTGGGGTGTCTGGGCGTGCCCCAGTGGGGGGGCCTGTGGTCTTGGGGGTCCCAGCAGGGGTCTGGGGTCCTGGGGGGTGTTCTTGGGAGGAGTCTATGGATCTGACTTGGGTGCTGGCTGGGGTCTGTAGTCCTGGGGGCGTCCTGGCTGGGGCTGTTGGTCTTGTGGTGGTGGGGATCCCTGCTGGGGTCTGCAGTCCTGCCGGGAGGGGGAAGGGTCCCTGCTGGGGTCTGTGGTCCTGGAGGAGGTGTGGAGGGTCCCTGCTGGGGTCTGTGGTCCTGGGGGGGATTCCTGGCTGGGGTCTGTGGTCCTGGCTGGGGGTGTGTGTGGGGGGTCCCTGCTGGGGTCTGTGGTCCTGAAGGGGGGGTCCTGACTGGGGTCAGTGGTCCTGGGGGCGTCCTGGCTGGGGTCTGTGGTCCTGGGGGGGGGGGTCCTGGCTGAAGTCTATGGTCCTTGCAGGGGGGGGTTCCTGGCTGGAGTCTGTGGTCCTGGGGGGGGTGTCCTGGCTGGGGTCGGTTGTCCGCTCGGGGTCCCCAGTCCTGCAGGCGGTGCGGGATCCCAGAGGGCCCGGGCGGGGTCTGGGGTTGGGGGTTCCCCGCAGGCCGGGGCGGTTCGGGGCGGGCAGGGGGCGGTCCGGGGCGCGCGCGTTTCCGCCGTCCGTCCGGGCGGGCGGGCGCAGAGTCCCGCGGGCGGCGCGGAAGCGGCGGCGGCGCGGCCGGGGCAGCCATGTCGCCATTGTCTGCGGCGCGGGCGGCCCTGCGGGTCTACGCGGTAGGCGCCGCGGTGATCCTGGCGCAGCTGCTGCGGCGCTGCCGCGGGGGCTTCCTGGAGCCAGGTCAGCGGGGCGGGGCAGGGGTCAGGGCTCCGGGGACCCGGGTGGGCGCGGGCTGGCTCGGGGGCGGGGGCGCGGGGGCTCCGCGTGACCTTGGCGAGGCGGTGGCGCTCCCGGAAGTGGGGCTGGGCGGGGGTCGAGGTGTGGCCGGGGGTGGGGGGGGGGCGGCGTGCGCGCTGGGACCTCCCCGCCCCGCGCTTTCCGTCCCCGCCGGCTCTTCTGCGCGCCTGGCCCGGCCCGACCCGGCCCGACCCTTCCCTCCCCGCGCGTGTGGCCTCCCCGCCTGTCCCGGGTCGGGCTCCAACCAAGCAGCCCCCGTGCAGCCGCCCCCCCGCGCACCCTGACACCTCCGGGCCATGGCCGGGGACCCGGGGGCTCGCACGCCCCGCGCCCAAGACATCAGGCGGCTCTGCCTGCCGCCTGCGGTCGGCCAGTGACCGCGCGCCCCCGCCAGGCCCCGGAGGGGAGGAGCGGGCGTCCCAGGGACCTCGACCCCTACCCACCCCAGGGTAAGTGAGGATGGGCCCTTCTCCGGAGGACGTCTCCAGAGGGGGCCCAGAGGCGGCTTCTCGGGCACTGGGGAGCCACGGAGGTCTGGTGGGGAGGGCAGGCCCGTTAAGTGGCAACTTTGTTTCCTTGGCCTTTGTAAACATCTCTGAGTCACAGATCTCCAACTTTGCAGGACTCGTTCACTGTCTGAACTCATCAGTGATGACCGCCACTGTGTTTTGTGTATGCAGATAACTTCTGTTCCTAGATTTGCAGGTTCAGAATTTATTATTATTATTATTTTTTGTAATAGGAAGTAGAGATGAAGTCTTGCTCTGTTGCCGAGGCTACTCTCGAACTCCTGGGCTCAAGCAGTCCTCCTGCCTCAGCCTCCCAAAGTGCTGGCATTACAGGCACCAGCTACTGCATCCGACTAATGTTTTAAAGTTTTGTAGACGGGGTCTTGCTATGTTGCTCAGGCTGGTCTCGAACTCCTGGGCTCAAGCGATCTTCCTTCCTTTGCCTCCCAAACTGTTGGGATTACAGGTGTGAGCCACCACACCTGTCTAATGTTTTAATTTTTTTGTGTAGCAATAGGGTCTTGCTACGTTGCCCAGGCTGGTCTGAAACTCATGGGCCGAAGCAATCCTCCTACCTGGGTCCCCCAAAGTGCTGGGTTTACAGGCGTGAGCCACCACGCCTGGCTAATGTTTTAAATTTTTTGTAGAGATGGCATCTCACCATGTTGCCCAGGCTGGTCTTGAACCCCTGGCCTGCAGCAATCCTCCAGTCTGGGCCTCCCAAACTGCTGGGATTACAGACAGAGCGCCACTGTGCCCAGCCCATATTCTCAATTTAAACCTAGAAACCTGTAAACAATTATTTGTGAACTGGAATAAAGGGAATGTTAATTCCATGTTAGGTTAAATGATACTTTGTTTCAAAAATAACAGTTTTCCAAAACAGAGCGTTCAGAGGGTCAGTGTGGTGGGGGTGGGGGTGTACGTTGCCCTGAATGTCTTAAATGTCCAGCCTAAGAAGAGAGCTGTTATTTCTGCCTCTGTAGACAGTTTCATGGCATGTCAGGAGGCCTCTGGAAGACACTACTGCACGCCTCTGGGAGACTGGGAGTCAGCCAGGCGAAGCGCTTGGGTGCCTTATTGTGAAATGACTTTTGACTTCCACTCTGCACCCACTGAAGGAATCCCAGGGGTCCCAGCGCCACCCTTTGAGAAGCGTGCCTGGAGTGGATGTTTTAAAATGAGCCTCTCTCTCCCGCCTCTAGCCAGAGAAAAAGAGCTTTGAGTTTTCTGTGAGCTAAGCTTTTCTTTTTCTGCCAAACTGGCCTTCAGTATTTTTTTTTAAACCCACTTAGCATAATTACAAATGCATAGAAGAAGGAGAGTAAAGGGAACTGTAGTCAGGCTTTCGGAGGGCAGGAGAGCATGTTTGTTTGAAGTAAGTAATCAGTTGCAAGGTGAACGGTTTACAGCTGCTGAACAATTGTGTGGAGTCTCGCAGAAGATTATGTTTATCCGGGCAGTTTTGCTTACAGAAAGGTCCCCTTAAACCTCCTTAAGGGCCTGTGTGGGCCCTGGCAGAAGAGGCCGGGGTTCCTGCAGCAGCTCACCAAAATGCTGGCCTTTGAAAAACTTGCTCTTTGTGCATTAGAAAAAGGGCTGGAATCTTTTTTTTTTTTTTTTTTCCCATTTACTGATTAAACAACAACAGAAGGTTGTTAAAGAGGACGAGCTTCTGGTGAAGTCACGTGTCTGCCAAGGGAATCTGTACCCGGGTGTGTATCGAAACAGAATGGCCTTCTCTAAAGATTAACTTAAGTGGCTTGCCCTCATCGAGCCCCTTCCTATGTATGGATTAAAAATAATTTTCGATACCAGTGGAGGAATGCTGTTGTCCTTGGTCTGCTGGTGGCCAGCTTCCTAAACGGCATTTTTTATTTGCTTCTCTCTGGTAGGCCTTCGCTGTTGGTGAGGAAACATTGAACTTTGTCCAGGGCATTTGAGCTAAGCTGTTTGAATAACCAAGAGGGCCAATTTCCCCACTGCAGATTGGAAGCAAGGGCAGTTTTTTCTTAGAACTTCCAAATGGAGCGTGTTCTTCTTAGGTATCGTACAAAGGAAATGCCTGGGTTACACCTTCCACATGAGTTGACTTACATGGTATGAGAAGGAAGAAATTGTGGCTGGAATCCACTCCTAAATGGTGTCTTCTTACAGTTCATCATGGAAAAACAAGATAATTACAAATTAATCATAGATGTTGGTCATGCCTTTACAGAGGGGGTTTAGAAGCAAATTGAGAATTCCCATAAGAGGGTCTGTCTCTGTGTTCTTAAGACTATATCCATGCGGCCCATTCAGTAAGTTGTATCTGTTGGTTGGATTTTAAAATAGATGATTTAATCAGTGCATTTAATATCCTAATATGGCATCAAAACTTGAACATTGATATGGCCTGAAATCTGTTGAAAATGATCATATTGAGTAAAGAAAGTCTCTACCCACCGGTATTAATAACAGGGTGATCTGTTTAGAAATTACATTTTCTCTGATACATCAATGAGTTTTGCAAAGGAGAGAAAATTGATGGTACCTGTAGTCAAGTCCAGTTCCAATACTGCCACAGAATTTTTCTTAAAAGTTCTATTGTAAATAATAGGCCACAGAATATTCCTTCACTTTCTGGGATGCAAAATGGATTCGTAAATGCTGTACCACAGGAGTGAGTATTTACAAAAAATATGCCAACTGGCCCACTTACAAAGCTATTTATAGAAGTCCTACTTTTCAAACTATTTTTTTTTTAACCTGTAAAGGGAAAGTTAATTCTTGTTGGTTTTATGAGTAGTGAACAGTGGCTATTAGAAATCAGGTAGAAGTAAAAACAGCAGTTTTCCAACTTCTTCTTCTTTTTCTTGAGACCAAGTTTCGCTTTTGTTTCCCAGGCTGGAGTGCAATGGCGTGATCTCAGCTCACCACAACCTCTGCCTCCCGGGTTCAAGCGATTCTCCTGCCTCAGCCTCCCGAGTAGCTGGGATTACAGGCATGTGCCACCATGCCTGGCTCATTTTGTATTTTTAGTGAGATGGGGTTTCTCCATGTTGGTCAGGCTGGTCTCAAACTCCTGACCTCAGGTGATAGTCCACCTTGGCATCCCAAATTGCTGGGATTACAGGGGTGAGCCCCTGCCCCCGGCCTCCAATTCCTTGATCATAGAATCTCTTTCAAAAAAAATGAGGACCCCAGACAGTTTTTGTTTTTGTGGATTATAACAGTCAATAAGTCATCCTGTTAGACATTAAAACAGAAATTTAAAACATATTTAACAATCTATTTAAAAGTAATGGTAACAGGCCAATTACATGTTACATACAAAAATGTATGTAATATATTTATTGTTTTTATATTTTATTTTTATTAAATATATATATTTTTAGAATAATTTATACTTTTCTATAAATATAAAATACAAATAAGTTATATTTATATAATTTAGATGTAAATAAAAACAATTGATATTTTTATATAAATATATAAATGTGTACACTTATGGGGCACAGTGTGATGCTTTGCTGTATGTTTGCATTGTGGAATAATTAAACTAATATCTATCACCCGCTATTTTTCCTTTGCGGTGGGAACATTTAAAATCTCTTTTAGCTATTTTTGTTTTTTATTTCCATAGGTTATTGGGGAACAGGTGGTGTTTGATTCCATGAGTAAGTTTTTTAGTGGTGATTTGTGAGATTCTGGTGCACCCATCACCCAAGCAGTATACACTGCACGCAAGACATTTAAAATCTCTATTGGCGGGCCGGGTGCGGTGGCTCATGCCTATAATCCCAGCACTTTGGGAGGCTGAGGCGGGTGGATTGCCTGAGCTCAGGAGTTTGAGACCAGTCTGGGCAATACAGTGGAACCCCATCTCTACTAAAATACAAAAAATTAGCTGGGTGTGGCAGTGTGCGCCTGTAGTCCCAGCTACTTGGGAGGCTGAGGCAGGAGAATGGTGTGAACCTGGGAGGTGGAGGTTGCAGTCAGCCAAGATTGCGCCACTGCACTCAAGCCTGGGCAACAGGGCGAGACTCCGTCTCAAAAAAACCAAAAAAACAAAAAAACAAAAACAAAAATAAAAACCTCTTTTAGCTATTTTGAAATATGTAATACACTATTAACTATCGCCACCACGCTGTGCAGTAGGTCACTGAAACGGATTCCTCCTGTCGAACAGAAACTTGGTACCCTTTGGCCATGTGCTGTATGTTTTTTAAAAGAAAAATGATTGTCATTTCCAAAATAACAAAAACCTAGGGAGAAGAGTGGCTGAGTTTTAGGGTTTTGTCAGTCTCATCCATAAAGGGACGGATGGCGGCTGGCTCCTTCCTCTGCTTCTTCACACTGGTCTCTTGCGACGTGTCGTTCTGGTAAGAGTCATGTGAGGCACATCCACTGGCCTCTCATGGATGTGCAATTGGAAACGTGAAATCGCCGGCCCCCTGAGAGCGTTTTGGGGAGTGTCCCCCCCAAACCCCCCTCCCCCCGCACTGGGGATGCTGCACCAGTCTTGAAGAATGAGGCAGTGAGAGGCTGGTTTACAGCAACCTTTATTCGTGGCCTTGTGTGCTCGGAAGCGCTGCAAGGGAGGAGGAAGGAGGAAGGAGGGTACTCACTGCAGAAGGTCAGCTCTGCTGTGGCTGTTACGTGGGTTCAGGTGGAACCCACCTACTGTGTGGACGGTTCTTTACCTGGGAATCCCATGGAATTCTGACAGCAGGAGACGTGGGAGGGAGCTTCTTGTTTCTCCTTCCAGGAGTCACTTGGTTAGGGGTTTGGGAATTTTGGCTCTTAGTACAAAACTTCACTCCAGGTACTAGACCTGTTTCAGCCAAATGATGATCATCATAATAGAATAGAAACCTTTGTTCACCTAAATAATAACAATAATATTAATAATAATAGAATATAAACCTTTGTTCATGGTACTGGGGCGTCTTTCAGCCCAATAATAATAACAACAATAGGAATAATGATAATAATGATAAAATATAAACCTTTGCTTCACGTCCTGGAACGTCTTTCAGCCAAATAATAATAATAATATTAATGATAATAGAATATAAACCTTTGTTCAGGGTACTGTGACTTCTTTCAGCCCAGTAATAATAATAATAATAGTAATAATGATAATAATGATAGAATATAAACCTTTGCTTCATCTCCTGGAACGTCTTTCAGCCAAATAATAACAATAATAATAATAATGACAATAGAATATAAACCTTTGTTCAGGGTACTGTGACCTCTTTCAGCCCAGTAATAATAATAACAGTAGTAATAATGATAATAATGATAGAATATAAACCTTTGCTCCAGGTCCTGGGAGCTCTTTCAGCCAAATAAGAATAATAATAGAATATAAACCTTTGTTCACAGTACCAGGACCTCTTTCAGACCAACAATAATGACAGTAATAATAATTATAATGATAATAGAATATAAACTTTTCTTCTAGGTACTGGGACCTCTTTCAACCAAATAATAATAGTGGAATATAAAACTTGGCTCTAGGTACCAGAACCTTTTTTCAGCCAAATAGTAATAATAAGAATAGTATTAATAGAAAACAGACCTTTGGTCCAGGTACTGGGACACCTGTGAGCCAAATAATAATAATAATGATAATAATAGAACATAAACCTTTGACTGAAGTGCCAGAACCTTTTTCAGCTAAATAATAATAATAAAATATAAACTTTTGTTCCAGGTACCCGGACTTCTTTCAGCCTAATAATAATCATAGAATATAAACCTTTACTACAGGTCCTGGCACCTTTCTCAGCCAAATAGTAATAAAATAGAATATAAACTTTTGTTCTGTTACTGGGACCTCTTTCAGCCTAATAACAAAAGTAATAATAATAGAATAAAAACCTTTGCTCCAGGTTCTAGAACCTCTTTCAGCCTAATAATAATAATAATGATAGAATGAAAATTTTTGTTCCAGGTGTCGAGACCTCTTCCAGCCTAATAATAATAATAATGTAATAATATAAGCCTTTGCTACAGGTACCAGGACCTGTTTCAGCCAAATAATAATAACAGCAATGATAATAGAATATAAACCTTGGCCCCAGGCACTGGGACTTCTTTCAGTCAAACAATCACAATAATAATAATAATAATAGAATATGGATGTTTGCTCCAGCTTTCAGGACCTCTTTCAGACAGATAATAATAACCGAGTACAAACTTTTCTTCCAGGTATCGGGACCTCTTCCAGCCTAAAAACAATAGTAATAATAGCATATATATCTTTTTTTTTGTTTTCTTCTTTCTTTGAGACGGAGTTTTGCGCTTGTTGCCCAGGCTACAGTGCAATGGCGCCATCTCGGCTCACTGCAACCTCTGCTTCCCGGGTTCAAACGATTCTCGTGCCTCAGCCTCCCGAGTAGCTGGGACTACAGGCATGTGCCACTACCACGCCCGGCTAATTTTGTATTTTTAGTAGAGGAGGGGTTTCACCATGTTGTCCAGGGTGGTCTCAAACTCCTGACCTCAGATGATCCACCCACCTTGGCCTCCCAAAGTGCTGAGAGTACAGGCGTGAGCCGCTGTGCCTGGTGCCAGCATAAAAATCTTTGCTACAGGTACTGAGACCTTTTTCAGCCTAATAATAATAACAACCGTAACAATAATAATTAGAATATAAACCTTTGTTACTGGTACTGGGACCTCTTCCAGCCTAATCTTCATAATAATAAAAATAATAATAATAATGGAATTGAAACCTTTCCTTCAGGTTCCAGAACCGCTTTCAGCCACATAATAATAATAATAATGATAATAATAATAATAAATAGAATTTAAACTTTTGTTTGAGGACTGGGACCTCTTTCAGCCCAATAGCACAAATAATAATAATGGAATGTAAACCTTTTCCTCCCAATTACCAAAACCTGTTTCAGCCAAATAATAATATGATGATGATGATGATGGAGGATCTGATACAGCTGTGTCCTGTCACTCAGGTCGGACTTAGGAGGCCTCTTGAGATTCTTTTCCCCCTCCGTTGACTGTGTAATCCAGGGGCCCCACCCTAACTCGGCTGCAGAAGATGCAGTTTGGGGGTTCCTCGTTTTGTGGAAGTCCCGGTCATGTTATTCATTCTCTCAGCACCTTAGAACAAACCAGGGTGCTGGCATTGGCCACAGGACCCCCCTCCTTGCACCCCAGTCTTGGGAAGTGGCACTGCTGGGCTCTGGCAATGCCCAGCTCACCTGGCACGTGGCGGCGTCTCCCTAAAAAGCACTGGGCGGGCACCGTTGACGGAAAGCCAGCAACGCAGGCCGCGACTGCCCGTGAAGACGGGGGGCCTTTCTAAGACCTCCACTCATTATTTCGGGCAAAATTAACCTTCAGAATACCTTGCTTTAATAAAGTACCAGAAACCGGAGGGCTTAAAACCATAGCTTATTCTCTCCCAGTTCTGGAGGCCAGAAGTCTGTAATCAAAGTGTCTCAGGGCTGCGCTCCCTCCGGAGGCTTACGCGGAGGGTGCTTCCTGCCTCTCCCAGCTCCTGGGGGCTCCTGGCGTCCCTGGGCTTCAGGCCAGCCACATCATCACTCTAGTCTCTGCCTCTGTCTCCATGTGGCCTTCTCTGTGTCTGTGTCTCCTCTTCTGTCTTTTATAAGGACATCTGTCACTGCATTTAGGGCTCACTCAAATCCCGGATGATCTCATCTCCAGATCCTTAACTCATGAGATCTACAAAATTTCTAATAACCAAGTAAGATCTCATTCCACATCCTGGGCTTTAGGCTGTGGACAGATCTTTCTGCGGGCCACTGTTCAATCCACCATGATTTTATCCAGTTCATTGTGGAGGCTCTAGAGGAGGATCCTTCCTGCCTCTCCCAGCTCCTGGGGGCTCCAGGCGTTCTGGGTTTGTGGCCGCATCACTCCAGTCTCGGCCTCTGTCTCCATGTGGTCTTCTCCTGTGTGTCCGTGTCTCCTCATCTGTCTTCTATTAAGGACACTGGTCACTGCATTTAGGACCACCTCAATTGAGAATAATCTCATCTAAAGATCCTTACCTTCATTATTAATACATCTGCAAAGACCCTTTTTCCAAACAAGGTCCCATACACAAGTACCAGGTGGATACAGATTTTCTTTGGTAGGGGAGGACGCTTTTCAACCCACTATAGTCATCATTGAAATATGCCTCCTTGCACTGACTGTATCCCAACACTCTGAACGTGCCTGGGTGGTGCATTTTGATATTTACCCTCCTGAGCACTGTACTGGACACTTGGAGACACAATTACACCTTTTAACAAAGCCCAGCTGTCATTTTGGGCAACCCAGTCACAGAGGTGGCCTCCTGAGTGGCAGCTGGAAGGGCCTGTATGTGTGAGCATTCAACCTCAACAGGAACCCTGGGGACTGGCTTCTGGGTCATCTAAGCCTCCACACCGACTGCCTGATGTTTGCACAGGTGTGTGATATTTGCCCAGTTGGGCCTTTCTGCCCACAGGTGTGACTGGACACAATGGGCATTTTGAGAAGTTCCAGGGATTGAGAAATCCATGCTTCTTCAGACGTGCTTACAGATCACGGATGCACCTGTGACGTTCCACATGGCTTCATTTTAAACCATAAAGTTTGAGAAGAGTGTGCAGTGCCTCTTAGCCATAGGAAAGCTGGCTTTAGTCAGATGGAGGTCCTGTTTGGCTTCTTTAATGCAGTGAATGAAGCTCAGGTGGCATTCAGAGAGTCCTGCTGTGATGGTTGGCAGTGGGGGGTCTGCCTGGCCACTTGTGGATTCTTCTATGTAGGCTTCATCCCCAGAAAAGATCTACGCAGCTTTCCCACGTGGCAGGTGCTTGGGAAACTCTTAGGACAGGAACAACAAGCCCCTGCGATGACAGAGGCATTGTCAGGCTGGGCGCGGTGACTCACGCCTGTCATCCCAGCACTTTGGGAGGCCAAGGCGGGTGGATCACCTGAAGTCAGGAGTTCGAGACCAGCCTGACCAACATGGTGAAACCCTGTCTCTACTAAAAATACAAAAATTAGCCAGGCGTGATGGCAGGTGCCTGTGATCCCAGCTACTGAGGAAGCTGAGGCAGGAAGATCGCTTGAACCCGGGAGGCGGAGGTTGCAGTGAGCTGAGATCACGCCATTGCACTGCAGCCTGGGTGACAGAGCGAAACTCTGTCTCAAAAAAAAAAAAAAAAAAAAACTAAAGGCACTTGTCAGGTACAGCCCTGCAAAAATGCCGTGCTCACTCGCAAACCTGTATGTTGACACGTGCGGCATCGCTGCAGTCGGATTAACGTGGAAGAAAGAGCGTATTCCTGCGCTAGGTTCCCTCCTCCACTCTGCAAAAGTGACCCGCAAGGAAGGTCCAGCCGTCCGGCCCCAGTGCCCTTTGGTTGAAAGCGGAGCTGCCCCGGCACCCTGTCTGTCTCCCCGGCAGGGCTCCCGTGCGTGCCTGGGTCCCTTCTCATGCTGTGTTTGTCTTGGCCCTTCTCAGCAGGTCCCCACGCATGAGCAGCCGTCCAGCAGGCAGGCTCCGGTGGAGAAGCAATGGAGAATAAAAGCCTGGAGAGCTCCCAGACAGACCTGAAGCTGGTGGCCCACCCCCGCGCCAAGAGCAAGGTGTGGAAGTATTTCGGCTTCGACACCAACGCCGAGGGATGCATCCTGCAGTGGAAGAAAATCTACTGCCGCATCTGCATGGCCCAGATCGCCTACTCCGGAAACACCTCCAACCTGTCCTACCACCTGGAGAAGAACCACCCCGAGGAATTCTGCGAGTTCGTCAAGAGCAACACGGAGCAGATGCGTGAAGCCTTCGCCACCGCCTTCTCCAAGCTGAAGCCCGAGTCGTCCCAGCAGCCCGGGCAGGACGCGCTGGCCGTCAAGGCCGGCCACGGCTACGACAGCAAGAAGCAGCAGGAGCTGACGGCCGCCGTGCTGGGCCTCATCTGCGAGGGGCTGTACCCAGCCTCCATCGTGGACGAGCCCACCTTCAAGGTGCTGCTGAAGACGGCCGACCCCCGGTATGAGCTGCCCAGCCGGAAGTACATCTCTACCAAGGCCATCCCTGAGAAGTACGGGGCCGTCCGGGAGGTGATCCTGAAGGAGCTGGCCGAGGCCACCTGGTGTGGCATCTCCACCGACATGTGGAGGAGTGAGAATCAGAACCGCGCCTACGTCACGCTGGCCGCCCACTTCCTGGGCCTGGGCGCCCCCAACTGCCTGTCCATGGGCTCCCGCTGCCTGAAGACCTTCGAGGTGCCCGAAGAGAACACGGCGGAGACCATCACGCGAGTGCTCTATGAGGTCTTCATCGAGTGGGGCATCAGCGCCAAGGTCTTCGGGGCCACCACCAACTATGGCAAGGACATCGTGAAGGCGTGCTCCCTGCTGGACGTCGCAGTGCACATGCCCTGCCTGGGCCACACCTTCAATGCCGGCATCCAGCAGGCCTTCCAGCTCCCGAAGCTGGGGGCGCTGCTGTCGCGCTGCCGCAAACTGGTGGAGTACTTCCAGCAGTCTGCCGTGGCCATGTACATGCTCTATGAGAAGCAGAAGCAGCAGAACGTGGCCCACTGCATGCTGGTGAGCAACCGCGTCTCCTGGTGGGGGAGCACGCTGGCCATGCTGCAGCGCCTCAAGGAGCAGCAGTTCGTCATCGCCGGGGTCTTGGTGGAGGACAGCAACAACCACCACCTCATGCTGGAGGCCAGCGAGTGGGCCACCATCGAGGGGCTGGTGGAGCTCCTGCAGCCCTTCAAGCAGGTGGCCGAGATGCTGTCGGCCTCCAGGTACCCCACCATCAGCATGGTGAAGCCGCTGCTGCACATGCTCCTGAACACCACGCTCAACATCAAGGAGACCGACTCCAAGGAGCTCAGCATGGCCAAGGAGGTCATCGCCAAGGAGCTTTCCAAGACCTACCAGGAGACGCCCGAGATCGACATGTTTCTCAACGTGGCCACCTTCCTGGACCCCCGCTACAAGAGGCTGCCCTTCCTCTCCGCCTTCGAGCGGCAGCAGGTGGAGAATCGCGTGGTGGAAGAGGCCAAGGGCCTGCTGGACAAGGTCAAAGACGGCGGCTACCGGCCGGCTGAGGACAAGATCTTCCCGGTGCCCGAGGAGCCTCCCGTCAAGAAGCTCATGCGGACATCCACGCCGCCGCCCGCCAGCGTCATCAACAACATGCTGGCCGAGATCTTCTGCCAGACAGGCGGCGTGGAGGACCAGGAAGAGTGGCATGCCCAGGTGGTGGAGGAGCTGAGCAACTTCAAGTCCCAGAAGGTGCTTGGCCTCAACGAAGACCCCCTCAAGTGGTGGTCAGACCGCCTGGCCCTCTTCCCCCTGCTGCCCAAGGTGCTGCAGAAGTACTGGTGCGTGACGGCCACGCGCGTCGCCCCTGAGCGTCTCTTCGGATCCGCCGCCAACGTGGTCAGCGCCAAGAGGAACCGGCTGGCTCCCGCGCACGTGGACGAGCAGGTGTTTCTGTATGAGAACGCCCGGAGTGGGGCAGAGGCGGAACCCGAGGACCAGGACGAGGGGGAGTGGGGCCTGGACCAGGAGCAGGTGTTCTCCTTGGGGGATGGCGTCAGCGGCGGTTTCTTTGGCATTAGGGACAGCAGCTTCCTGTAGCGAGGAAGCGTGTTGTCTTACAAGTCATCCCCGCAGCAGCCCATTGGATGCTTTGCTGTAAATACTTACCCGGTCAGCTTGGTTTTGAACCTCAGAGACCATCCACTGTCTTTGACACCTAGAAGGTGGAAAAAGGAAAGAGATTTGAGAAGTGAGAGAGGGTCGGGGGCGGTGGCTCCTGTCTATAATCGCAGCACTTTGGGAGGCCGAGGTGGGCAGATCAGCTGAGGTCAGGAGATCGAGACCAGCCTGGCCAACATGGCGAAACCCCGTCTCTACTAAAAATACAAAAATTAGCCAGGACTGATGGCATGTGCCTGTAATCCCAGCTTCTGGAGGCTGAGGCCAGAGAATCGCTTGAACCTGGGAGGTGGAGGTTGCAGTAAGCTGAGATCGCTGCACTCCAGCCTGGGCGACAAGAGCGAGACTCTCTCAAAAAGAAAAAAGAAGACACAAGAGAGGTGGCTTTGAGTGGGTTTCCTTTCCTCCCCTATTCCCGGGGCCCGGACGACTTCTGCTTGGGAACTGCCAACGCTTCTGCTTGGGAATTGCGTGCAGCAGAGCCTAGAGGAGCTGTTCCTTCCTTCACAGATACTTAAGACCTCCACCATGTCTGATTCGAGTTCTCCCTGGGAGGGTTTAGAAGAAACGCAGGAACATTCTGGGTGGCGTCGAAGGAGCCTTTCCCGATCATCATGTGTGACTTCTGCGAGGTCCAGATCACTGAATTCATGTTTACATTCTCGTGCAAGCAGGGACCTCTTGCTTCTGAGAAATGGGGAAGAGACCTTTTAGCCAAAATGCCCTTCTTAAAAAGAGAGACCTTTTTTTTTAATGTTCGGTTAAAAATGTGACAGATGAGTACAAAAATGCAGACACTTAACAAAAAGCAAACAGAAAAAAAAGTGTGGAATGTGTTGTATTTTCGACAGGTTGCTGCCAGAGAGCCTGCTTCCTGCTGCCTGCCGAAATTTCACTTTGCGGAGTTGGTCCTTAAAACTGGGCGGTGGCCGGGCGTGGTGGCTCACGCTGAGGTCAGGAGTTCGAGACCAGCCTGGCCAACCAACATGGTGAAACCTCGTGTCTACTAAAAATACAAGAAACTAGCCAGATGCGGTGGCACCCGCCTGTAATCCCAGCTACTCGGGAGGCTGAGGCGGAAGATTCGCTTGAGCCCAGGAGGTGGAGGTTGCAGTGAGCCAAGACTACGCCACTGCACTCCAGCCTGGAGGCCAGAGTGAGACTCCGTCTCAAAACAAAACAAAAGTGGGTGGCTCACGGGTCCGGAGGTTATGTCTTCGGTGTCTCAGCCCTAAAAGTCCAGTTCCCCCGTGCGGCCAGCTTTTCCACATAAGGTGTTTTTGATTTGATTACCGGAAAGGACTCTTGATTCTTCTCTTTTAAACTGAATACCATAGGGGAAATGAATTTTAAAATATTGCCCCCGGAGGGGTTTTCCGTGGCTGGATTCCTGCGAGTTGCTTTCAGTCATTCAGGGAAACAGAAAGACGTTTTCCAACATGTAGAACTGCTTTTTAACTGGAGGAAAAATACTTCAGGAGGCTTAGCATATTGCTTGGATTCTACGTGCAGCGGGTTCTCTGCCTCCGTGAAGACAAGCTGGGCTGGGGAGAACGGTGTCTAGGAGGGATGACCCCACTCAGCTCCAGGCAGTGTTCTGCCGAGACCCCAAGAACTCGGGGTGTCAGAGGGCAAAGGAACTACCTGCCTTTCACGGCTGCTGACTTCTCAGGGCTGCAAGCAGCACAGAATGTTATCCTTACGTCCTGAGCCGGTTTAAGTCTGTGGAAAAGGAAGCACGGGAGAAATCCACGTAACCTTTGCTTTCTTTTTAAGGGAAGCGGTTCCGCCGTGAACTTGGAACCCTCAGCTCCGGGTGTTCTCGGCAGAAGGGCAGCTGGAAGGGACACAGTGGGGCAGGCTTTGGGGTTGCTCCCTGTTCTGCCCCGAGGCCGGGGACGCAGGGCAGCCCACGCCTCCGTGGGCTCCATTCTGTAGCATTGCCAGCGTTCTCTTCACGTCTCTAACAATCCTTCGCTTTTCCTCACTCACGTGGAAATGTGAACTGTCCCGGCTCTGTCTTCATTTTTATTTTTAAGCCATCGTTCCCCTCCTGAACGGTTGCCCCTTATTTAATGCTGTAAAGTTGGACTGTTGTTCAATAAACCAGAGCAATGCATTAGCTCCTCATTCATTTGTCTGCCGCGTGTCCGTCTGGACTGCAGTTTGTCTGAACCCCTTGATCCTGGGAGTGGAGGGAGGTTTATCATTATTATTATTTTTATTTTTGTTGTGGTCCTTGTTGAAAGCAACTTTTTCCAGGGCACCCACGGTCAGTTCTGTGCTCCTCTTTCTTGTCTGTAAATCCTCAAGTTATGATGTACTTTCGGGTGTTTTGGCATCAAAATTTCTGAGTGAATAAAGCCGGCAGCTGGTGAAAGTGTTCCCCGGGAGCAGAGATTTTTGCCGGTTCCTTCACTTAGTGGATAGTTGTATAAACGGAGGCCCCATGGACGAGGCAGCCTGGATGGATCCGGATGGCATCAGCGCCTTCCCTCTCCCCCCAGCCTCCTTATCACCCCTCTCTTCCTGTCTTCCTCACCTCCTCTCACATGGTCTCTTCCTTCCCTCCTCCTTCCGTCCAACCCTCCCTCTCTTCTTCAGCCAACAAATCCTTCCTTTCTTCCTTCTTTCCTTCCTTCCTTCCCTCCCATCCTTGTCTCTTCTTCTCTCCCTTCCTTCCCTCCCTTCCCTTCTTTCTTTCTCTCCCTTCCTTCCTTCTCTCCCTTCCTTCCTTCTCTCCCTTCCTTCCTTCTCTCCCTTCTCTCCCTTTTCTCCCTTCCTTCCTTCTCTCCCTTCCTTCCCTCCCTTCTCTCCCTTTTCTCCCTTCCTTCTCTCCGTTCCCTCCCTCCCCTCCCTCTCTGCCTCCCTTTCCTCCCCTCCCTCCTTCCCCCATCCCTCCCTCCCTCCTTCCCTCTCCTCCCTCCCTCCTTCCTTCCCTCTGTCCCTCCCTGTCTCCCTCCCTTCCTCCTTCCTTCCTTTCCTCCCTCCCTCTGTCCCTCCCTCCCTTTTCTCCCTCCCTCCCTTCCTCTTTCGTTTTCCTTCCATCCCTTTTTCCTTCCTCCCTCCCTCTTTTCCTCCCTCCTGAGAAAACAATGGCCCCCAAGAAACACAGGAAGGCCGGGATGTGCACCTCTGCCCAGACTTGCCCTTTCCAAGTGCTGTTGGTTGACTGCCTGTCCTTGGGCATCATTAAAATGCCGAAATTTCTCTTTCTTGCACGTTTTGGGTTGAAAGGGGTTCATTTTCAGTCCTCATAACTAAGCATTTGCATCGTGATGTTCATTTAAGTGGGACATGTTTACACGTTTTTCCCATTAGGAGTAATTCTAGTCCTTGAGGGTTTCTTACAGAGACATTTCCCTAACCCCGACGGTTCTCATCCCAGCCTGTGTGGCACTCCTTCCGCACAGTGGTGGGATTTTTCGGTTCGGTTTTGTTTTCACGCTTGCATCTGGCTGCACAGCCCTAACTCTGAGCTGGTTGTTTTTGTTTCCCCCCCACTTTGCAGAATTGCCTGCTTCGAACTGTTTTCCCAGCAGGCCTCTGAAGGGTGAGGAAAACAGCTTGGGGAAAGTGAGAAAAAGGTTTCGGATGTTTTAGTAAAGAGGCAGCTGGTGGGAAGGAGCCGGTTGGGCTGTTTCTGGGGTGCCGAAATCTCGGTGGTGACGTTCATTTGCTCGTGAGTGCAGAGGAGGCCCAGAGACCGGGTTCCTGGCGCAGCCAGCTCCTGCTTTTGTTCCGACCATCTTCCTGCGCCTTCTGCGAGTCTCAGATGTGCTTGGGCAGCAGTTCTACTGTTTTCCCCTCTGTGATCTCAGGCCCGCCGCCCCGTCCTTTCCCAGTGATTTCTGCTCCGTCAAATCGTGGGGCTCACCTGAGAGTTTTATAAAATGAACTCGCCATGCCCCTGCCTGGTGAACAGAGAATGCAAACTCTCACAGGACCGTCTGCAGCAAAACGGCAGTGTTTTGCTCATTTCTTCAGACGACGAAAACAGCAGGGTTTGGCTCGTTTCTTCCAGATTTTCTCAAACTGCATGAGTTCCTTTCTGAGCAACTTCTGGGAAGCTTTCGGGTTTCAGGGCTTTGCAGCCAGGCTCCTTCCTAGCTGCGGCTGCCTGTCCTTTTGTGTTGCAGTCAGATGCGGGAGGTCCTTGGCATGAGTACCCTGATGGTGTCAACTTTAAGGGGTCAGAGAGGAAATATTTTTGGCTCCGCGGACCATGCATTCTCTGTCTCTCAACAACTTAGTTTTGCCGTTGTGTCTAAAAGCATCCATTGCTGGGTGTGGTGGCTCACATCTGTCATCCCAGCACTTTGGGAGGCCGAGGCGGGTGGATCGCCTGAGGTCAGGAGTTCAAGACCAGCCTGGCCAACATGGTGAAACCCCATCTCTACTAAAAATACAAACATTAGCTGGGCATGGTGGTGGGCACCTGTAATCCCAGGTACTGAGGCTGAGGCAGGAGAATCGCGTGAACCAGGGAGGCGGAGGTTGTAGTGAGCTAAGATCGTGCCACTGCGCTCCATCCTGGGCGACAAGAGCGAGACTCCGTGTATTCCACTCCCACTTCGTGGGCACTAAATTTTATATAAATGTTGTGTCAAGAAATATTATTGCTCTGTTGACTTCTTTTTTTCCCCCAACCATTAAGAAATTCAGAAAAAAAATGTACGAATGTAAACACTGTTCTTGGTGAGTGGGCCTTCCAAAAATAACCGCTGGACTTTGTTGAAACTACTTTTTTTTTTTTTTTTTTTTGCCACTTTTTCCCTTTTTTTTCTCGAGGCACCAATTGGAATCCACTTATTTGTCCTGGTTTGAGAAACAGCTCAGATCGCACACTCTGGGCTCTGTGTTTCTTTAGGTAACACACGTGAGGTTTTTGTCACTGGAATTCAGTAATCTGTGTTAATATTATCACAAAAGAACCGGGGGGCATTTGTGTCTTCTCAGAATTGCTGATTAAAACAGCTGCATGGCCAGGTGCAGTGGCTCTCATGCCTGTGATCCCAGCACTTTGGGAGGCCGAGGCAGGCGGATCGCTTGAGCCCAGGAGTTTGAGACCAGCCTGGGCAACATGGCCAAACCTCATCCCTACTAAAAATACAAAAAATTAGCCAGGCATGGAGGCGCATGTCTGTAGTCAGTCCCAGCTACTCAGGAGGCGAAGGTGGGAGGATCACTTGAGCTTGGGAGTTGGAGGCTGCAGTGAGCTGTGAACATACCACTGCACTCCAGCCTGGAAAATAAAGCAAGAGATGCTGCCTCTAAAAATAATAATAATAATAATAAAAATTAGCCAAACATGGTGGCACGCATGTGTGATCACAGCTACTTGGGAGACTGAGGTGGGAGGATCGCTGGAGCCCGGAAAGTCGAGGCTGCAGTGAGCTGAGATTGCATCACTGTCGTGCAGCCTGGGCAAAAGAGTGAGACCCTGTCTCTAAATAAATAAATAAATGAGTTCACGATTAAGCAGAAGTTGTGCTTGTTCTGCCAGGATTTCAGTTGGGTTCTTTGTGCCCTAATTTACGTGAGCTAGTAGGTTGTGCGTTATCTTAGAGGGCTTGCATGAAAGAAAGAGGGTAGCCTTTCTTTTCCCTGTTTTGGTAGCATTGCTGAGGTGGCTTTTGGCTGACGGGTGGACCCGTGGGTGCAGATGTTTTGATGCAGAAGGAATGATTGCCTTTTCACATTCAGGCTCCAACTGGCTTTTAGCTTGTGCGTTCTTACCCTGGGGTGTTCGAGGTCACCGGACTCCTATTTTATTTGTGTTTAACTGGAAAGGCAGGAACTCTGAGAACGTATCAAATAGGCAGTTACTGCAGGATTTCTAGAATTTAAATTGCTTCCAAAACTGTATCCACAAGCTAAGAATTATGTTTAGGTTTTAAAAGGTGTTGGTTTGCTTCTTACATGTTTAAATTCTTGAGGGAAAGAAATGCAAAGAATAATAAAGTTTCATGATACAAAAATGGTATGAGACCGGGCACAATGGCTCACACCTGTCATCCCAGCACTTTGGGAGGCTGAGGCAGGAGGATGATTTTTGAGCCTGAGTTTGAGATCAGCCTGGGCAAACAGCGAGATCCTGTGCCTACAAAAATAAAATAAAAATAGGCTGGGTGTGGTGGCTCATGCTTGTAATACCTGCACTTTGGGAGGCTAAGTCAGTAGGATCACTTGAACTCAGGGGTTTGAGACCAGCCTGGTCAACATACTGAGACCTTGTCTCTAGTAACAATAAAAAAATTAGCTGGACATAAGGTGTGCATTTGTAGTCCCAGTTACACAGGAGGCTGAGGTGGGAGGATCACTTGAGCCAGGGAGTTGGAGGCTGCAGTGAAATGTGATCGCACCACTGCACTCCAGCCTGTGCAACAAGGAGAGAGATGCTGTCTCTAAAAAAAAAAAAAAAGCCAGACGTGGTGGCACACGTGTGTGGTCACAGCTACTTGGGAGGCTGAGGCTGAAGGATCGCTTGAGCCCAAGGAGGCTGAGGCTGCCATAAACTACGATCATGCCACTGCACTCCAGGCTGGGCAATAGCCTGGGCGACTGTCTCAACCAAAATAAATTTAAAAAGATAGGAAATTTCAATGTGAAAATCAGTGTCCCCCAGAACGTTCCATTTCTTCCCAGCTGGGCTATTTTTGGAGTTCCATGGGGAGCCGGCTCAGTGCAGTTTGCATGTACTCGGGAGGATGAGCCCTGCCATGGTGTGTGTTAGGGGACAGCCTGATCTCACCAACCCTCCTGAGCAGGCCCAGCCCTCCGAGTAATAACTGGGAACACTCGCCGCTTTGTGAGACGACCTCGTGTGCTCACTGGAAGGTCATCTCTTCTGGTCCATGCTGCAGTGTGGATACCATTTTTTTTTTTTAAGACAGTTTCACTCTTGTTGCCCAGGCTGGAGTGCAATGGCACGATCTCGGCTCACAGAAACCTCCGCCTCCTGGGTTCAAGCCATTCTCCTGTCTCAGCCTCCTGAGTAGCTGGGATTACAGGTGTCTGCCACCACAGCCAGCTAATTTTTATATTTTTCGTAGAGACGGGGTTTCAGTACATTGGTAAAGCTGGTCTGGAACTCCTGACCTCAGGTGATCCACCCGCCTCAGCCTCCCAAAGTGCTGGGATGACAGGCGTGAGCCACCGCGACCAGCCCAGTGTGGATACACCTTGAGCACATAACTGGAATCCTTTCCTTGGAAACTTGGAGCCCCTTGTGTCATGGTCATATAAACTGTTGAATTAAGAGGAGACACCATTAAATATGTCACAGCTGTCCTCGAAACTGGGACTTGTTTTGCTTTCTGCCTGGAAATGCGAGCTATCTTTATAGAATTATTTTATAGAAAATAATTGTATACATATATAGGAGGTACGACGTGATGTTTTAATCCGAGTACACATTGTGCAATGATTAAATCAAGCTGGTTACCATATTATTAACCTAATTAACATATCAATAATCAAGCTAATTAACACATTAACATTCAAGCTAATTAACATATTAACAAGCTAATTAACATATTCACATAATCCTAACTCTGACCTATATCACCTCACCTACTTTTTTTTGTGGTGAGAATGTGTAAAATCTACTTTTAGTCATTTTGAAAAACGCAATGTATTATTATTAATGATAATCACTGTGTGGTGTGGTAGAACTTTGAATTTATTTCTTCTATCTAACTGGAAAAATTTAATTTTAATGTAATTTATTTTTTTTGAGACAGTCTCACCCTATCACCCAGGCTGGAGTGCAGCATCATGTTCATAGCTCATGGCAGCCTCCAACTCCTGGCTCAGGTGACCCTCCCACCACAGCCTCCCAGGTAGCTGGGACTACAGGTGCACACCACCACACCTGGTTAATTTTTTAAGTTTTTTGCAGAGATGGGGTCTTGCTATGTTGCTCAGGCTGGTCTTGAATTCCTGGGCTGAAGCGATCCTCCTGCCTCAGCCTCCCAAGTAGCTGGGACTGCAGGTGCATGCTACCATACCCAGCTAATTTTTTTTTTTTTTTTTAAAGATGCGGTTTCATTATGTTGCCCAGGCTTGTCTCAAACTCTTGGCCTCCAGTGATCCTCCTTCCTCAGCCTTCCATAGCATTGTGATTCCAGACATGAGCCACCGCTCCTGGCCTCCAACTGAAATTTTATGTTCTTTGACAAACACTTCATGAAGCATTCTTCCCTGGCAACCACCATTGCACTCTCTGCGTTTATGCGTTCAGCTTTTTTAGATTCTACATACGAGATGATACAGTATTTGTCTCTCTGTGCCTGGTTCATTTCACTTCACATTGTATCTTCCAGTCCCATCCATGTTGCTGCAAATGGCAGGATTTCCTTTTTCATGGCTGCATACTATTCCATTGTGTGTCTATGCCACATTTGCTTGATACGCTCATCTGTTGATTGACACATGGGTTGATTCTATATCTTGGAAACTGTTAGTAGTGTTGGCAGTGCACAGGGGGTGCAGGTATCCCATTGATGGGCTGATTTCCTTTCCTTTGGGCACACACCAAGCGGTGGGATGACTGGATCCTGCACAACATTCTTTCCTTTGGTGTTTCGCAGGCCCGTTTCTGGACTTTAGTGAACGTCTTCCCAGTGTCCATGGCGTCCGTCCCTTGGCCACATGCTTAGGGAACATCTTCAGTGTGTACATGGCGACAGTCCCATAGCCACATTCTTAGGGAATGTCTTCAGTGTGTACACGGTGGCAGTCCCTTTGCTGCATGCTTAGGGAACGTCTACAGTGTGGTCCATTGGCCACATTCTTAGAGAACGTCTTCAGTGTGTACACTGTGGCGGTCCCTTGGCCACATTCTTAGGGAATGTCTTCAGTGTGTACATGGCGGCAGTCCCTTAGCCACATGCTTAGCGAACATCTTCAGTGTGCACAGGGCAGTGGTCCCTTGGGCCACATGCTTAGGGAACGTCTTAAGTGCCGTCCCTTGGCCGTTTTCTTAGGGAATGTCTTCAGTGTGCACATGTGGCGGTCCCCTGGTCGCATTCTTACGGAATGTCTTCAGTGCGTACACGGTGGTCCCGTAGCCACATGCTTAGGGAATGTCTTCAGTGTGCACAGGGCCATATTCTTACGGAATGTCGTCAGTGTGCACATGGTGGTGGTCCCTTGGCCACATTCTTAGGGAATGTCTTCAGTGTGTACGTGGCGGAGGTCCCTTAGCCACAAGCTTAGGGATCATCTTCAGTGTGCACAGTGCGGGAGTCCCTTGGGCCACATGCTTAGGGAATGTCTTCAGTGTGTACATGGTGGTGGTCCCTTAGCCACATGCTTAGGGATCATCTTCAGTGTGCACAGGGTGGGAGTCCCTTGGGCCACATGCTTAGGGAACGTCTTCAGTGTGTACAGGGCAGCAGTCCTTTGGCTGCATTGTTAGCGAACATCTTCAGTATGTACATGGCTGTGGTCCCTTAGCCACAAGCTTAGGGAACATCTTCAGTGTGCACACGGTGGTGGTCCCTTGGGCTACATGCTTAGGGAATGACTTCAGTGTGTACATGGTGGCCATCCCTTGGCCCCATGCCTAGGGAATGTCTTCAGTGCCTTGCCTTGGCTGCATTCTTAGGGAACGTCTTCAGTGCGTACATGGCGGTGGTCCCTTAGCCACATACTTAGGGAACGTCTTCAGTGTGTACACCGTGGTGGTCCCTTGGCCACATTCTTAGGGAGCGTCTTCACTTCTTACATGGTGGTGGTCCCCGGGCCACATTCTAAGGGAACGTCGTCAGTGCCTACACAATGGTGGTCCCTTGGCCGCACGCTTGGGGAACGTCTTCAGTCACAGCCCTGGTTGGTCCCTTGGCCACATTCTTAGGGAATATCTTCAGTGCATACACGGTGGCAGTCCCCTGGTGTCATTCTTAGGGAACGTCTTCAGTGCGGTCCCTCAACCACATGCTTAGGGAATGTCTTCAGTGCTGTTTCTTAGCCATATTCTTAGGGAACCTCTTCAATGTGTACACACTGGTGGTCCCTTGGCCGCATGCTTAGAGAACATCTTTAGTGCAGTCCCTTGGCCACATTCTTAGGGAACGTCTTCAGTGTGATCCCTTGGCCACATTCTTAGAAAACGTCTTCAGTTTGTACAAGGTGACAGTCCATTGGCCAGAATGTGTCCCTGCCACATTCTTCTGAGTGTCTGTGTCTGTGTTCTTTCCACCCTGTAAGCTGCTTTTGCTTCTTCACTGGGTGTCTGTGACTCTCATGTGGAATCCCTTTCCTCTGTCACCGCCCATCCCAGGCACAGTGAGAGACGCAGCCAGCCTGCTCCTCTCTGCACCTCGCCATCCCAGACATCCTCCAGCCACCGTGCTGACCGCATTCATTCCTTCTCCTGCCCTGTCCGCATCCTTCTTCCCCTACACGTTTGATACCAAGAAATGGTCTGAATCACAGCCAAGGCTTCATTTGCTTTCTGGAACTGCAGCTCCCCAGCCCCACCCAGATCAGAGATTCAGAACCTGAATCTTCGGATTTCTGGAGATGCCCCCATCCTATCAGAGACTTCTAGTGTGTTTCTTTATATCCGTGTAGACTTGGGAGGATGACAGGAGAGAAACCTTAGAAGGTGGTCTGTGCATTTCCCGGGCCCGGGGTGGAAGGGGCTTGTGTCCTGGCTGCCTCTGTGCACCTTTCATTCTTTTTTTTTTTTTTGAGACGGAGTCTTGCTCTGTCACCCTGTCACCCAGGCTGGAGTGCAGTGGAGGGATCTCGGCTCACTGTAACCCCTGCCTCCCAGGTTCGAGCAATTCTCCTGCCTCAGTCTCCTGAGTAGCTGGGAATACAGGCATGTGCCACCACGCTCGGCTAATTTTATATTTTTAGTAGAGATGGGTGTTCTTCATGTTGGTCATGTTGGTCTCGAACTCCTGACCTCAGGTGATCCATCCGCCTCGGCCTCCCAAAGTGTTGAGATGACAGGTGTGAGCCCCCGCGCCTGGCCGCACCTTTCTTTCTTGATCCACCTGGTTTTAAACTCACAGATAAACTGTTTCCACCTGTGACAAATGAGTCATCCACCTTCCATGTGGTCTGGACTTTGTCCCTGTTACAATATTCCTGTCTCTTGTTTCTGGTTTTTTGCATCCCACATGTTGTCCCTGTAACAGTCCTGTCTGTTGTTTCTGGGGTCACCCGTGTGGCGAGCTGACTGTGCCACGTTCCTGAGGCTGGTGAGGATGCTGTGGGCACCTTAATCACGGCTGTGAACAAACTGGCTAGAGCTAGGTGCCATGGAGCTTTGCAGTGGACACTAAGTCGTGGTACCCATTCTTTGATCAGTGACGGAGCCAGGTGTCTTATTAGGTCTTGGGGATTTGTGGAAGCCCAGAGCAGGGAAACAGCTTCTACATTGAAAGGAATCCTTCTCACACTCATGTTGGCATCGTGAAGTCCCTGATTTCCTAAGACACTACCCTAATATTTTAAAAGACTTACAAAAAATTTAGTAAAATATTCCTAATAGCAGCACATGTGGTGTTTTTTTGTTTGTTTGTTTGTTTTCGAGATGGAGTTTTGCTACTGTTGCCAAGGCTGGAGTGCAGTGGTATGATCTCGGCTCACTGCAGCCTCCGTCTCCCAGGTTCAAGGGATTCTCCTGCCTCAGCCTCTCAAGTAGCTGGGATTACAGGCATGCACTACCACACCCGGCTAATTTTGTATTTTTAGTAGAGACGGGTTTTTCCATGTTGGCCAGGCTGGTCTTGAACTCCCGACCTCAGGTAATCCGCCTGCTTTGGCCTCCCAAAATGCTGGGATTACAGGTGTGAGTCTCCACACCTGGTCAATCCCATTCTTTTTCAAGAATGCATAGTATTCTGTGGTGTATGTACACCACCTTTTCTTTATCCAGTCTACGTGGCGTTGTTTTGAGGAATGGATGAAATGATTTGCATAAAAACAGTGAATGCTTTCTATTGGAATGGTGTTTGCCTCCTGGGAAACTGTGGAGTCATTGCAATTGCAATTTCCTAGTAGATTTGATTAATTAAGAGCATTGGGAATTTTTGGGGTGCCTGATGCACTATTACAGATATTTTTTTCACAGTGTAGATATCTCAGCATGAATATGTCTGTTTTCTTTTCTTTTCTTTCTTTTTTTTTTTTTTGAGATGGAGTTTCTCTCTTGTTGCCAAGGCTGGAGTGCAATGGCTCAATCTTGGCTCACTGCAGCCAACATCTCCTGGGCTTAAGCAGTTCTCCTGCGTTAGCCTCTGGAGTAGCTGGGATTACAGGCATCTGCCACCATGCCTGGCTAATTTTTTTTTGTGTGTGTGTTTTTAGTAGAGACAGGGTTTCACCATGTTGGCCTGGCCGGTCTCAAACTCCTGGCCTCAAGTGATCCACCTGCCTTGGACTCCGAAAGTGCTGGGATGACAGGCCTGAGCCATGGCGGCCAGCTGTCTGTTTTCTTTCCATAAGAGGTGCTGGTCTCACCGTGGCTCTGTGCTGTGATGAAATGGCATTGTCCAAGTTTTACTCCTCACAGCCTGATTTTGTATGTTAAAGACGTCTTCCTTGGTGTGAATCAAGTGGGCTGGGCAGAGTTAAGGGAGCCATTTATTTAGAAGGCGATTAGATCGAATTATGTCTTGGTAATTACTGCAGTTACACCACCCCATTCTTTCCGTGGCTCTCCTAGCTGGGTTTGTGGCTAGTCATGGAGGTGCCCTGAAGAGCCTCATTTTCCCACAGCTGTAGGAAGTGTGTGGTACACCCACAATGTCTTAGCTTTTGTATTAGGGAAGGTCTTCAGTGCATTCCCTTGGCCACATTCTTAGGGAACATCTTCAGTGTGTACATGGCGGCGGTCCCTTAACCACATTCTTAGGGAACGTGTTCAGTGTGTACACGGTGGCAGTCCCTTGGCTGTATGCTTAGGGAACGTCTTCAGTGAGTGTGATCCCTTGGCCACATGCCTAGGGAACATCTTCATTGTGTACCTGGCGGCGGTCCCTTAGCCACATGCTTAGGGAATGTCTTCAGTGTGTACACGGTGGCAGTCTGTTGGCCCCATGGTTAGGGAACATCTTCAGTGTGCACAGGGCGGCGGTCCCTTGTGCCACATGCTTAGGGACTGTCTTCAGTGTGTACATGGTGGCGGTCCCTTGGTCGCATTCTTAGGGAACCTCTTCAGTGTGTACATGTCGGCATTCCCTTAGCCGCATGCTTAGGGAACGTCTTCATTGTGTTCTTGGTGGCAGTCCCTTAGCCACATGCTTAGGGAACGTCTTCAGTTGTATACAGTGGGGTCCCTTGGTCATTATGCCTAGGGGAACGTCTTCAGTGCCAGCTGCATTCTTAGGGAATGTCTTCAGTGTGCACATGGCGGAGGTCCCTTAGCCACATACTTAGGGAGTGTCTTCACTGCACACAGCAGTGGTCCCTTGGTTGCATTCTTAGGGAACATCTTCAGTGTGCACATGGTAGCAGTCCCTCACCCACATTCCTAGGGAATGTCTTCAGTGTATACATGGTGGCAGTTCTTTGGCTGCATGCTTAGGGAACATCTTCAGTGCATTCCCTTGGCCACATGCCTAGGGAACATCTTTAGTGCTGTCCCTTCCCTGCATTTTTAGGGAACGTCTTCAGTGTGTACATGGTGGCGGTCCCTTGGCCGCATTCTTAGGGAACGTCTTAAGTGTGTACATGGCGGCGGTCCCTTAGCCACAAGCTTAGGGAACGTCTTCAGTGTGTATATGGTGGCAGTCTCTTGGCCACATGCTTAGGGAACGTCTTCAGTGCCATCTTTTAGCTGCATTCTTAGGGAACGTCTTCAGTGTGTACATGGCAGAGGTCCCTTAGCCACACACTTAGGGAACATCTTCAGTGTGTGCACAGCAGTGGTCCCTTGGCCTCATTGTTAGGGAACGTCTTTGGTGTGTAGATGGCCGCCGTCCCTTAGCCACAAGCTTAGGGATCGTCTTCAGTATGCACAGCGTGGCAGTCCCTTGGGCCACATGCTTAAGGAATGGCTTCAGTGTGTACACCGTTGTGGTCCCTTGGCCACATTCTTAGGGAGCGTCTTCAGTGCCGTCTTTTGGCTGCATTCTTAGGGAATGTCTTCAGTGCGTACATGGGGGCGGTCCCTTAGCCACATACTTAGGGAACGTCTTCAGTGTGTACATGGCAGTGGTCCCTTGGCCCCATTCTTAGGGAACATCTTCAGTGTGTACATGGTGGCAGTCCCTTAATCACATGCTTAGGGATTGTCTTGATTGTGTACATGGCGATGGTCCCTTGGCCACATGCTTTGGGAACCTCTTCAGTGCATACGGAGTGGCAGTCCCTTGTCCACATTCTTAGAAAACGTCTTCAGTTCGTACACGGTGGCGATCCCTTGGCCACATTCTTCTGAGTGTCTGTGTCTGTGTCCTTTCCACCCTGTAAGCTGCTTTTGTTTCTTCATTGGGTGTCTCTGACTCTCATGTGGAATCCCTTTCCTCTGTCACCGCCCATCCCAGGCACAGTGAGAGACGCAGCCAGCCTGCTCCTCTCTGCACCTCGCCATCCCAGACATCCTCCAGCCACCGTGCTGACCGCATTCATTCCTTCTCCTGCCCTGTCCGCATCCTTCTTCCCCTACACGCTTGATACCAAGAAATGGTCTGAATCACAGCCAAGGCTTCATTATCTTTCTGGCACTGCAGCTCCCCAGCCCCACCCAGATCAGAGATTCAGAACCTGAATCTTTGGATTTCTGGAGATGCCCCCATCCTATCAGAGACTTCTAGTGTGTTTCTCTATATTCGTGTAGACTTGGGAGGATGACAGGAGAGAAACCTTAGAAGGTGGTCTGTGCATTTCCGGGGCCCGGGGTGGAAGGGGCTTGTGTCCTGGCTGCCTCTGTGCACCTTTCATTCTTTTTTTTTTTTTTGAGACGGAGTCTTGCTCTGTCACCCTGTCACCCAGGCTGGAGTGCAGTGGAGGGATCTCGGCTCACTGTAACCCCTGCCTCCCAGGTTCGAGCAATTCTCCTGCCTCAGTCTCCTGAGTAGCTGGGAATACAGGCATGTGCCACCACGCCCGGCTAATTTTATATTTTTAGTAGAGATGGGTTTTCTTCATGTTGGTCATGCTGGTCTCGAACTCCTGACTTCAGGTGATCCATCCGCCTCGGCCTCCCAAAATGTTAGGATGACAGGCGTGAGCCCCCGCGCCTGGCGGCGCCTTTCATTCTTGATCCACCTGGTTTCAAACTCGCAGATAAACTGTTTCCACCTGTGACAAATGAGTCATCCACCTTCCGTGTGGTCTGGACTTTGTCCCTGTTACAATATTCCTGTCTCTTGTTTCTGGTTTTTGGCGTCCCACGTGTTGTCCCTGTAACAGTCCTGTCTCTTGTTTCTGGGGTCACCCCTGTGGCGAGCTGACTGTGCCACGTTCCTGAGGCTGGTGAGGATGCTGTGGGCACCTTAATCACGGCTGTGAACAAACTGGCTAGAGCTAGGTGCCATGGAGCTTTGCAGTGGACAGTAAGTTGTGGTACCCATTCTTTGATCAGTGACGGAGCCAGGTGCCTTATTAAGTCTCGGGGATTTCTGGAAGCACAGAGCAGGCAAGCACCTTCTACACTGAAAGGAATCCTTCTCACACTCATGTTGGCAACGTGAAGTCCTGCCTTTGGAAATCCCTGATTTCCTAAGACACTACCCTAACATTTTAAAGGACTTAAAAAAAATTCAGTAAAATATTCCCAATAGCAGCACATGTAGTGTTTTATTTATTTATTTATTTTTGAGATGATTTGCACTCTTGTCGCCCAGGCTGGAGTGCAATGGTATGATCTGGGTTCACTGCAACCTCCGTCTCCCGGGTTCCAAGGATTCTCCCATCTCAGCCTGTAAGGTAGCTGAGATTATAGGCATGCGCCACCATGCTCGGCTGATTTTGTATTTTTAGTAGTGACAGGGTTTCACCATATTGGTCAGGGTGGTCTCGAACTCCTGGCCTCAAGTGATCCACCCATCTTGGCCTCCCAAAGTGCTGGGATTATGAATCACTGCTCCTGGCCTACTTTTTAAACTTTCAGGTTCAGGGGCACGTGTGCAGGTTCATTACACGGGTAAATTGCATGTCCTGGGGGTTTAGTGTACAGATTAATTCATCAACCAGGTAGTAAGCCTACTACCATCTGATAGGTAGTTTTTTGATCCTCTCATTTGTCCCACCCTCCACCCTCCAGCAGGCCCCTGCAGCTGTTCCCTTCTTTATATCCACCAGTGCCCAATGTTTAGCTGTCACTTATCAGTGGGAACAGGTGGTATTTGGTTTTCTGTTCCTGTGTAAGTTTGCTAAGGATAATGGCCTCCACCTCCGTGCATGTTCCTGCAAAGGACATCATCCCATTTTTTTTTTTTTTTTGAGACAGTTTCCTTTTTGTTGCCCAGGCTGGAGTGCAATGGTGTGATCTCGGCTCACCGCTACCACCAGCTCCCGGGTTCAAGCAGTTGTCCTGCCTCAGCCTTCTGAGTAACTGAGATTACAGACACATGCCACCACGCCCGGCTAATTTTGTATTTTTAGTAGAGACGGGGTTTCTCCATGTTGCCCAGGCTGGTTTTGAACTCCTGACCTCAGTTAATCTGCCCTCCACGGCCTCCCAAAGTGCTGAGATTATAGGTGTGAGCCACCACACCCAACCAATCCCATTCTTTTTCATGGGTATGTAGTATTCCATAGTGTATATGCACCACCCTTTGTTTATCCAGTTTACATGGCGTTGTTTTGAGAAATGGATGAAGCGATGTGCATGAAAACACTGAATGCTTCCTACTGGAGGGGTGTTCACCTTTCCGGGAAACTGTGGAGTGATTGCAATTGCAATTTCCTAGTAGATTTGATTGGTTAATAGCATTGGGAATCTTTGGGGTGCCTGATGCCCTATTGCAGATCTTTTTTCACAGTGTAGAAATCTCAACGTAAATGTCTTTTTTTTTTTTTGAGATGGAGTTTTGCTCTTGTTGCCCAGGCTGCAGTGCAATGGCTCAATCTCGGCTCACTGCAGCCAACATCTCCCGGGTTTGAGCAATTCTGCCTCAGTCTCCTGAGTAGCTGGGATTGCAGGTGCCTGCCACCACACCCGGCTAATTTTTGAATTTTTAGTAGAGAAGGGGTTTCAGCCTATTGTTCAGGCTGCTCTCGAACTCGTGACCTCAGGTGATCCACCCACCTCGGCCTCCCAAAGCGCTGGGATGACAGGCGTGACCGCGCCCAGCCCAGTGTGGATACACCTTGAGCACATAACTGGAATCCTTTCCTTGGCAACTTGGAGCCCCTTGGGTCATGGTCATATAAAGGGTGTTGAATTAAGAGGAAACACTGTTAAATATGTCACAGCTGTCCTTGAAACTGGGACTTGTTTTGTTTTCTGCCTGGAAATGCGAGTCATTTTTCTGGAAAATTCATTTTTCGTTAAAAAAAGTAATTGTATACACGTATATGAGGTACAACGTGATGTTTTAATCCACGTACACATCATGCAATGATTAAATCAAGCTAGTTACCATATTAACAATCACATTAACTAACATATTAATAATCAGGCTAATTAACATATTAACATTGAAGCTAATTAACATATTAACAATCAAGCTAATTTACATATTCACATAATTCTAACTCTAACCTATATCACCTCACCTACTTTTTTTTGTAGTGAGAATATGTAAAATCTACTTTTAGTCATTTTGAAAGACGTGATGTATTATTAACTATCATCACTGTGTGGTGTGATAGAACTTGGAATTCATTTGTTTTATCTAACTGAAAAAAATTAATTTTAATGTAATTTATATGTTTTTTGAGACAGTCTCATCCTATAGCCAGGCTGGAGTACAGCATCATGTTCATAGCTCTCAGCAGCCTCCAACTCATGGCTCAGGTGACCCTCCCACCTCAGCCTCCCAGGTAGCTGGGACTACAGGTGCACACCACCACACCTGGTTAATTTTTAAATTTTTTGTAGAGATGGGGTCTTGCTATGTTGCTCAGGCTGGTCTTGAATTCCTGGGCTAAAGCGATCCTCCTGCCTCAGCCTCCCAAGTAGCTGGGACTACAGGTGCATGCCACCATATCCAGTTAATTTTTTCAGTTTTTTTTTTATTTGTTTAGAGATAGGGTTTCATTACGTTACCCAGGCTTGTCTCAAACTCCTGGCCTCCAGTGATCCTCCTTCCTCAGCCTTCCATAGCACAGTGATTCCAGACATGAGCCACAGCGCTCCTGGCCTCCAACTGAAATGTTATGTTCTTTGACAAACACTTCAGCATTCTTCCCTGGCAACCACCATTGCACTCTCTGCGTTTATGCGTTCAGCTTTTTTAGATTCTACATACGAGATGATACAGTATTTGTCTCTCTGTGCCTGGTTCATTTCACTTCACATTGTATCTTCCAGTCCCATCCATGTTGCGCAAATGGCAGGATTTCCTTTTTCATGGCTGCATACTATTCCACTGTGTGTCTATGCCACATTTGCTTGATGTACTCATCTGTTGATTGACACATGGGTTGATTGTATATCTTGGAACCTGAGTAGTGCTGCAGGGCACAGGGGATGCAGGTATCCCATTGATGGGCTGATTTCCTTTCCTTTGGGTACACACCCAGTGGTGGGATGTCTGGATCCTGCACACCATTCTTTCCTCTGATGTTTTGCAGGCCTATGGCTGGACCTTTGGAACGTCTTCACTATGTACAAGGTGGCGGTCCCTTGGCCACATTCTTAGGGAACGTTTTCAGTGTGTACATGGTGTCGGTCCCTTGGCTATATGCTTAGGGAACATCTTCAGTGGGTACATGGTGGCGGTCCCTTAGTCATATTCTTAGTGAATGTCTTCCGTGTGTACACGGTGGCAGTCCCTTGGCTGCATCCTTAGGCAACGTCATCAGTGCAGTCCCTTGGCCACATGCTTAGGGAACGTCTTCAGTGCATACACGGTGGCGGTCCCTTGGCCACATTCTTAGGGAATGTCTTCAGTGTGTACATGGTCGCAGTCTGTTAGCCACATGCTTAGGGAGCGTCTTCAGTGTGTATAGGGTGGCGGTCCCTTGGCCACATGCCTAGGGAGTGTCTTCAGTGCCGTCGCTTGGCTGCATTCTTTGGGAACGTCTTCAATGTATACATGGCGGCGGTCCCTTGGCTGCATTTTTAGGGAACGTCTTCAGTGTGTACATGGCGGCGGTCCCTTATCCACATTCTTAGGGAATGTCTTCAGCGTGTACACGGTGGCAGTCCCTTGGCCGCATGCTTAGGGGACTTCTTCAGTGCGGTCCCTTGGCCACATGCCTAGGGAACGAGTCTTCAGTGCCGTCCCTTGGCTGCATTCTTAGGGAACGTCTTCGGTGTGTACATGGTGGTGGTCCCTTGGGCGCATTGTTAGGGAACGTCTTCAGTGTGTACATGGCAGTGGTCCCTTAGCCACATGCTTCGGAATGCCTTCAGTGTGTACATGGCGGAGGCCCCTCAGCCACGTGCCTAGGGAATGTCTTCAGTGCTGTCTTTTAGCGGCATTCTTAGGGAACGTCTTCAGTGTGTACATGGTGGTGGTCCCTGAGCCACATACTTAGGGAACGTCTTCAGTGTGCAACGGCAGCGGTCACTTGGCCTTATTGCTAGGGAACTTCTTCAGTGTGTACATGGCGGTGGTCCCTTAGCCACAAGCTTAGGGAACGTCTTCAGTGTGTACATGGCAGCAGTCCTTTGGACCACATGCTTAGGGAATGTCTTCAGTGTGTACACGGTGGTGGTCCCTTGGCCCCATCCCTAGGGAAAGTCTTCAGTGCCGTCCTTTGGCTGCATTCTTTGGGAGCGTCTTCAGTGTGTACATGGTGGAGGTCCCTTGGCCACATTCTTAGGGAATGTCTTCAGTGTGTACATGGCGGCGGTCCCTTGGCCGCATACTTAGGGAACGTCTTCAGTGTGTACATGGCAGTAGTCCCGTGGCCGCATTCTTAGGGAACCTCTTCAGTGCATACACAGTGGCGGTCCCTTGGCCACATTCTTCTGAGTGTCCGTGTCTGTGTACTTTTCATCCTGTAAACTGCTTTTGTTTCTTCATTGGGTGTCTCTGACTCTTATGTGGTATCCGTTTCCTCTGTCAGCGACCATCCCAGGCACAGTGAGAGACGCAGCCAGCCTGCTCCTCTCTGCAAGTGGCCATCTCAGACATTCTCCAGCCAGCGTCCTGACCGCATTCATTCCTTCCCCTGCCCGGTCCACATCCTTCTTCCCCTACACCCTTGCTACCAAGAAATGGTCTGAATCACATCACAGGCTTCCTTTGCTTTCTGGAACTGCAGCTCCCCAGCCCACCCAGATCAGAGGTTCAGAACCTGAATCTTCGGATTTCTGGAGATGCCCCCATCGCATCAGAGACTTCTAGTGTGATTCTTTATATTCGTGTAGACTTGGGAGGATGACAGGAGAGAAACCTTAGAAGGTGGCCTGTGCAGTTCCAGGGCCCAGGGTGGAAGGGGCTTCCATCCCTGGCTGCATTTGTGCACCTTTCATTCTTGGTCCAACATTTTTTTTTTTTTTTTTTGAGACGGAGTTTTACTGTGTCGCCCAGGCTGGAGTGCAGTGGTGTGATCTCAGCTCCCTGCAACCTCCCCGCCTCCTGGGTTCAAGCGATTCTCCTGAGTGGCTGGGAGTACGGGCATGCACCACCATGCCTGGCTAATTTTATATTTTTAGTAGAGATGAGGTTTCTCCATGTTGGTCAGGCTGGTCTCAAACCCCTGACCTCAGGTGATCCATCCACCTTGGCCTCCCAAAGTGCTGGGATTACAGGTGTGAGCCACCACGTCCGGCTGCACTTTTTATTCTTGATCCACCTGGTTTGCAACTCACAGATAAACTGTTTCCACCTATGACACATGAGTCTTCCACCTTCCATGTCCTCTGGACTTTGTCCCTGTTATAATATTCCTGTCTCTTGTTCTGGTTTTTGGCATCTCACACATTGTCCCTGTTTCAGTCCGGTCTCCTGTTTCTGGTGTTTGGTGTGCCGCACGTTGTCCCTGTTACAGTCCTGTCTCTTGTTTCTGGGGTCACCCGTGTGGAGAGCTGACTGTGCCGCGTTCCTGAGGCTGGTGAGGATGCTGTGGGCACCTTAATCACGGCTGTGAACAAACTGACTAGAGCTAACTGCCACGGAGCTTTGCAGTGGACGCTAAGCTGTTGTACTCATTGTTTGATCAGTGACGGAGCCAGATGTCTTATTAGGTCTCGGGGATTTGTGGAAGCCTAGAGCAGGCATGCACCTTCTACGTAGAAAGGAATCCTTCTCACACTCAAGTTGGCGTCGTGAAGTCCTGCCTTTGGAAATCCCTGATTTCCTAAGACACTACCCTAACATTTTAAAGGGCTTAAAAAATTTCAATAAAATGTTCCCAGTAGCTGTTACATGTAGTCATGTAGCGTTTTTTTTTTTTTTTTTGAGATGGACTTTTGCTCTTGTCTCCCAGGCTGGAGTGCAATGGCGCGATCTCGGCTCACTGCAATCTCTGTCTCCCGCATTCAAGGGATTCTCCCACCTCAGCCTGTCAGGTAGCTAGGATTATAGGTGTGCGCTACCATGCCCTGCTACTTTTGTATTTTTAGTAGTGACAGGGTTTCAGCATGTTGATCAGGGTAGTCTGGAACTCCTTGCCTCAGGTGATCCACCCGCCTTGGCCTCCCAAAGGGCTGGGATTATGAATCACCGCCCCCAGCCTACTTTTTTCACTTTGATTTCAGGTTGAGGGGGACGTGCGCAGGTAAATTGCATGTCTTGGGGGCTTAGTGAACAGATTATTTCATCATGCAGGTAATAAGTCCAGTACCACCTGATAGGTAGTTTTTCGATCCTCTCATTTCTCCCACCCTCCACCCTCCAGCATGCCCCTGCAGCTGTTCCCTTCTTTGTATCCATGAGTACCCAATGTTTAGCTGCCGTTTATGAGTGAGAACAGGTGATATTTGGTTTTCTTTTCCTACGTGAGTTTGCTAAGGATAATGGCCTCCACCTCCATGCATGTTCCTGCAAAGGGCATCATCCCATGTTTTCTTTTTTTCTTTTTCTTTTGAGACTGGGTTTCCTTCTTGTTGCCCAGGCTGGAGTGCAGTGGTGTGATCTCAGCTCACCACAACCTCCTGTTCCTGGGTTCAAGTGATTCTCCTGCCTCAGGCTACTGAGTCGTTGAGATTACAGGCGCATACCACCACGCTGGGCTAATTTTGTATTTTTAGTAGAGACGGGGCTTCTCCATGTTGGCCAGTCTGGTCTTGAGCTACCGACCTCAGGTAATCTGCCTGCCTCGGCCTCCCAAAGTGCTGGGATTACAGGCATGCGCCGCCACGCCCAACCAATCCCATTCTTTTTCATGGGTCCATAGTATTCCATAGTGTATATGCTCCACCCTTTCTTTATCCAGTCTACATGGCGTCCTGTTGAGGAATGGATGTAACAGGCGTCGTGTTCAGGAATGGATGTAACAATGTGCATAAAAGCAGTGAATGTTTTCTATTGGAATGGCGTTTGCCTTTCTGGGAAACTGTGGAGTCATTCGAATTGCAATTTCCTGGTAGATTTGATTAGCTAAGAGCATTGGGAATTTTTGGGGTGCGTGATGCCCTGTTGCAGATATTTTTTCACAGTGTAGAAATCTCAGCATGAATATGTCTGTTTTCTTTTCTCTTTTTTTTTTTTTTTTTGCGATGGAGTTTTGCTCTTGTTGCCCAGGCTAGAGTGCAATGGCTGAATCTGGGCTCACTGCAGCCATCATCTCCTGGGTTCAAGCAATTCTCCTGCCTCAGCCTCTGGAGTAGCTGGGATTGTAAGTGCCTGCCCCTACACCCTGATTTTTCTTTTTTTTTGTATTTTTAGTAGAGACGGGGTTTCACCTGTTGGGCAGGCTGGTTTCGAACTCCTGGCCTCAAGTGATCCACCTGCCTCAGCCTCCCAAAGTGCTCGGATGACAGGTGTCAGCCACGGTGCCTGGCCGTCTGTTTTCTTTTCATAAGAGGTGCTGGACTCACAGTGGCTCTGTGCTGTGATGAAATGACATTGCCAAAGTTTTACTCCTCACAGCTTGATTTTGTATGCTAAACAGGTCTTCTTTGGCGTGATTGAGGAGGGATGGGGAGACTTAAGGGAGCCATGTATTTAGAAAGCGATTAGATCCTGTTATGTCTTGGTAATTACTGCAGTTACAACACGCCATTCTTTCCGTGGCTCACCTAGCTGGGTTCGTGGCTAGTCATGGAGGCGCCCTGAAGAGCCTCATTTTCCCACAGCTGTAGGAAGTGTGTGGTACACCCACAATGTCTTAGCTTTTGTATTAGGGAACGTCTTCAGTTTGTTCCCTTGGCCACATGCTTTGGGAATGTCTTCAGTGTGTACACGGTGGCTGTCCCTGGGCCGCATGCTTAGGGAACGTCTTCAGTGAGGTCCCTTGGCCATATGCCTAGGGAACGTCTTCGGTGCCATCCTGTGACTGCATTCTTAGGGAACGTCTTCAGTGTGTACATGGCGGGGGTCCCTTAGCCCCATTCTTAGGGAATGTCTTAAGTATTTACACAGTGGCAGTCTGTTGGCCTATGGTTAGGGAACATCTTCATTGTGCACATGGTATCAGTCCCTTGCGCCACATGCTTAGGGAATTCTTCAGTGTGTACATGGTGGCCGTTCCTTGGCTGCATTGTTACAGAACGTCTTCAGTGTGTACATGTCAGCGGTCCCTTAGCCGTAAGCTTAGGGAACGTCTTCAGTGTGTATAAGGTGGCGGTCCCTTGGCCACATGCCTAGGGAACGTCTTCAGTGCCCTCCCTTGGCTGCATTCTTAGGGAACGTCTTCAGTGTGTACATGGCTGCCTTCCCTTAGCCACATACTTAGGGAACATCTTCAGTGTGCACACGGCAGCTGTCCCCTGGACGCATTCTTAGGGAGCGTCTTCAGTGCGAACATGGCGGGGGTCCCTTACCCACATTCTTAGGGAACATCTTCAGTGTGCACACGGCAGCAGTCCCCTGGACGCATTCTTAGGGAGCGTCTTCAGTGCGAACATGGCGGCGGTCCCTTACCCACATTCTTAGGGAACATCTTCAGTGTGTATATGGTAGCAGTCCCTTAGCCACACACTTAGGGAACGTCTTCAGTGTGTGCACATCAGCGGCCCTTGGCCGGATTGCTAGGGAACCTCTTCAGTGTGTACATGGCAGCGGTCCCTTAACCCAAGCTTAGGGATCGTCTTCAATGTGCAAAGGGCAATGGTCCCTTGGGCCACGTGCTTAGGGAATGTCTTAAGTGTGTACACGGCGGTCCCTTAGCCACATGCCTAGGAAACGTCTGCCATCTCTTCGCTGCATTCTTAGGGAGCGTCTTCAGTGCGTACATGGCGGCCGTCCCTTAGCCACGTACTTAGGGAACATCTTCAGTGTGTACATGGCGGTGGTCCCTTAGCCACATACTTAGGGAACGTCTCCAGTGTGTACAGGTGGCCGTCTCTTAGCCATATTCTTAGCGAATGTCTTCAGTGTGTACACAGCAGTGGTCCTTTGGCCACATGCTTTCCGAACGTCTTCAGTGCATACAGTGGCAGTCCCTTGGACCCATTCTTAGAAAACGTCTTCAGTTCGTACTCGGTGGCGATCCCTTGGCCACATTCTTCTGCGTGTCTGTGTCTGTGTCCTTTTCACCCTGTAAGCTGCTTTTTTTTCTTCATTGGGTGTCTCTGACTCTCATGTGGAATCCCTTTCCTCTGTCACCGCCTGTCCCAGGCACAGTGAGAGACGCAGCCAGCCTGCTCCTCTCTGCACGTCACCATCCCAGACATTCTCCAGCCAGCGTCCTGACCGCATTCATTCCTTCTCTTTCCCTTGTCCACATCCTTCTTCCCCTACACGCTTGATACCAAGAAATGGTCTGAATCACAGCCAAGGCTTCCTTTGCTTTCTGGAATTGCAGCTCCCCACCCCCACCCAGATCAGAGGTTGAGAACCTGAATCTTCGGATTTCTGGAGATGCCCCCATCGCATCAGAGACCTCTAGTGTGTTTCTTTATATCCGTGTAGACTTGGGAGGATGACAGGAGAGCAACCTTAGAAGGTGGCCTGTGCAGTTCCAGAGCCCAGGGTGGAAGGGGCTTCCATTCATCACTGCCTTCGTGCACCTTTCATTCTTGATCCAACCGTTGTTGTTGTTGTTTTGAGACGGAGTCTTGCTGTGTCGCCCAGGCCGGAGTGCAGTGGTGTGATCTCAGGTCACTGCAACCTCCGCCTCCCATGTTCAAGCGATTCTCCTGCCACAGCCTCTCTGAGTAGGGAGCTGCTAAAATAAAATACCTTCAGTTGGGTAATTTATAAACTAGAGACATTTATCACTCACAGTTCTGAAGGCTGGAGGTTCAAGATCATGGCAGATTCAGTGTGTGGTGGGGATGCACTCCCTGGTTCATAGACGACGCATTTTCTCTGCCTGCTCACATGGTGGAAAGGGCGAGGGAGCTCTCTGGGGCTCCTTTTATAAGGACAGTGATCCTATTCATGAGGCTTGATCCCCATGAAGTCATCACCTCCCAAGTCTCCCACCTCCTGACACCATTGTCTTAGGGGTGAGGATTTCAATGCAGGAATTTGGGGGAGGAACACAAACTTTCAGATTGTAGCAAATACCATTCTTTAAAAAAATGCAGTAATAGTTAAGCTTTTTTTTTTTAATTTGATAAATTTTCCAAGAAGGAGGAGACACAGAAACCCTCCGTGTTTTGAAGGTTAATATTAGTGCTGTAAAATACACGTGGGACTTGGGCTTATAAAAAATTCCTGGTCATGGCAAAATATAGGTGGTTTGCAGTACCTGGGGAAGCCCACCTTTCCTGTTTCTGACATGTAACTTTTGTGGAAATTGCCTGAAAGTTGTTTCTAGTTACCCTTCAGTCCTGTGTCCAACCCAGCATGTCCGATACTATCTAACATTGTTTTTTTTTTGAGATGGAGTTTTGCTCTTGTTGCCCAGGCTGCAGTACAGTGGCACGATCTTGGCTCGCTGCAACCTCCACCTCCCAGGTTCAAGCGATTCTCCTGTCTCAGCCTCCTGAGTAGCTGGGATTACTAAATTTTATATAAATGTTGTGTCAAGAAATATTATTGCTCTTTTGCCTTTTTTTCCCTTAACCGTTGAGAAATTCAGAAAAAAACATTTATGAACGTCAACACTGTTTTTGACAAGTAAACATTGTTCTTGGCAAGTGGGCCTTCCAAAAATAAGGGCTGGCGTTTGTGGAAACTGCTCTACTGTTCTTTTTTTTTCTTGCTACTTTTTTCTTTTTTTTTTTTTTTGAGGCACTAATTGGAATCCACTTATTCGTCCTGGGTGGAGAAAGAGTTCAGATCTAACACTGGGGGCTCTGTGTTTCCTTAGGTAATACATATGAAGTTTTTGTCACTGTAATTCAGTAATCTGTGTTAATATTATCACAAAAGAGCAGAGTGGCATTTGTGTCTTCTCAGAATTGCTTATTAAAACAGCTGCATGGCCAGCCGCGGTGGCTCTCATGCCTGTGATCCCAGCACTTTGGGAGGCCGAGGCCGGTGGATCGCTTGAGCCCAGGAGTTTGAGACCAGCCTGGGTAACATGGCCAAACCTCATCTCTACTAAAAATACAAAAAGTGAGAGCGTGCCTGTAGTCCCAGCTACTGAGGAGGCAGAGGTGGGAGGATCACTTGAGCGTGGGAGTTGGAGGCTGCAGTGAGCTGTGATCACAGCCTGGGAAACCAAGCGAGAGATGCTGTGTCTAAAATTATAAAAATAAAAATTAGCCAAACATGGTGCCACGCGTGTGTGGTCACAGCTACCTGGGTGGCTGAGGTGGGAGGATCACTGGAGCCCACAAAGTCGAGGCTGCAGTGAGCTGAGATTGCATCACTGTCGTGCAGCCTGGGCACCAGAGTGAGAGACACCCTGTCTCTAAATAAATAAATAAGTTCATGATTAAGCAGAAGTTGTGCTTGTTCTGCCGGGATTTCAGTTGGGTTCTTTGTGCCCTAATTTACGTGAGCTAGTAGGTTGTGCGTTATCTTAGAGGGCTTGCATGAAAGAAAGAGGGTAGCCTTTCTTTTCCCTGTTTTGGTAGCATTGCTGAGGTGGCTTTTGGCTGACGGGTGGACCCGTGGGTGCAGATGTTTTGATGCAGAAGGAACGATTGCCTTTTCACATTCAGGCTCCAACTGGCTTTTAGCTTGTGCGTTCTTACCCTGGGGTGTTCGAGGTCACCGGACTCCTATTTTATTTGTGTTTAACTGGAAAGGCAGGAACTCTGAGAACGTATCAAATAGCCAGTTTACTGCAGGCTTTCTAGAATTTAAATCGCTTCCAAAACTGGATCCACAAGCTAGGAATTATGTTTAAGTTTTAAAAGGTGTTGGTTTGCTTCTTACATGTCTAAATTCTTGGGGGAAAAACTGCAAAGAATAATAAAGTTTCATGATTCAAAAATGGTATGAGGCCGGGCACAATGGCTCACACCTGTCATCCCAGCACTTTGGGAGGCTGAGGCAGGAGGATGATTTTTGAGACCAGGAGTTTGAGATCAGCCTGGGCAAACAGCGAGATCCTGTGCCTACAAAAATAAAATAAAAATAGGCTGGGTGTGGTGGCTCATGCTTGTAATACCTGCACTTTGGGAGGCTAAGTCAGTAGGATCACTTGAACTCAGGGGTTTGAGACCAGCCTGGTCAACATAATGAGACCTTGTCTCTAGTAACAATAAAAAAATTAGCTGGACATAAGGTGTGCATTTGTAGTCCCAGTTACACAGGAGGCTGAGGTGGGAGGATCACTTGAGCCTGGGAGTTGGAGGCTGCTGTGAAACGTGATCGCACCACTGCACTCCAGCCTGTGCAACAAGGAGAGAGATGCTGTCTCTAAAAAAAAAAAAAAAAGCCAGACGTGGTGGCACACGTGTGTGGTCACAGCTACTTGGGAGGCTGAGGCTGAAGGATCGCTTGAGCCCAAGGAGGCTGAGGCTGCCATAAGCTACGATCATGCCACTGCACTCCAGGCTGGGCAATAGCCTGGGCGACTGTCTCAACCAAAATAAATTTAAAAAGATAGGAAATTTCAATGTGAAAATCAGTGTCCCCCAGAACGTTCCATTTCTTCCCAGCTGGGCTATTTTTGGAGTTCCATGGGGAGCCGGCTCAGTGCACCTTGCATGTACTCAGGAGGATGAGCCCTGCCATGGTGTGTGTTAGGGGACAGCCTGATCTCACCAACCCTCCTGAGCAGGCCCGGCCCTCCGAGTAATAACTGGGAACACTCGCCGCTTTGTGAGAGGACCTCGTGTGCTCACTGGAAGGTCATCTCTTCTGGTCCACGCTGCAGTGTGGATACTTTTTTTGTTTGTTTGTTTGTTTGAGAAGGATTATTGCTCTTTTTGCCCAGGCTGGAGTGCAATGGCATGATCTCGGCTCACTGCAACCTCCACCTCCTGGGTTCAAGCCATTCTTCTGTCTCAACCTCCTGAGTAGCTGGGATTACAGTCGCCCGCCACCACACCCGGCTAATTTTTGTATTTTTAGTAGAGACAGGGTTTCAGCATATTGGCCTTGCTGTTCTCAAACTCCTGACCTCAGGTGATCCACCTGCCTCAGCCTCCCAAAGTGCTGGGATGACAGGCGTGAGCCACCGCGCCCGGCCCAGTGTAGATACACCTTGAGCACATAACTGGAATCCTTTCCTTGACAACTTGGAGCCCCTTGGAACATAGTCATATAAACTGTATTGAATTAAGAGGAGACACCGTTAAATATGTCATAGCTGTCCTCAAAACTGGGTCTTGTTTTGCTTTCTGCCTGGAAATGGGAGTCACTTTTATAGAAAATTTATTGTTCGTTAACAAAAAATAATTGTGTGTGTGTGTATATATATATTGTATGTGTGTGTATATATATATATATATATATATATATATACACACAGACACACATTCTCTCTCTCTCTCTCTCTATGGTACAATATGATGTTTTAATCCAAGTACACATTGTGCAGTGATTAAACCAAGCTAGTTACCATATTAGCAATGAAGCTAATTAACATTAATAATTAAGTGAATTAACATATTAACCATTGACCTAATTAACATATTAACAATCAAGCTAATTAACATATTAACAAGCTAATTTACATATTCAGATAACCCTAACTCTAACCTATATCACCTCACTTCGTTTTTTTGGTGATGAGAATATGTAAAATCTAGTTTTAGTCATTTTGAAAGATGCAATGTATTATTATTAACTATAATCACTGTGTGGTATGATAGAACTTTGAATTTATTTCTTTTATGTAACTGAAAAAATTTAATTTTAATGTAATTTATGTTTTTGAGACAGTCTCACCCTCTATCACCCAGGCTGGAGTGCAGCGTCATGTTCATAGCTCATGGCAGCCTCCAACTCCTGGCACAGGTGACCCTCCCACCTGAGCCTCCCAGGTAGCTGGGACTACAGGTGCACACCACCACACCTGGTTAATTTTTAAAGTTTTGTAGAGATGGGGTCTTGCTATGTTGCTCAGGCTGGTCTTGAATTCCTGGGCAGAAGTGATCCTTCTGCCTCAGCCTCCCAAGTAGCTGGGACTGCAGGTGCATGCCACCATATCTAGCTAATTTTTTCATTTTTTTTTATTTTTAGAGATGGGGTTTCATTATGTTGCCCAGGCTTCTCTCAAACTCCTGGCCTTCTGTGATCCTCCTTCCTCAGCCTTCCATAGCATTGTGATTCCAGACATGAGCCACCGCTCCTGGCCTCCAACTGAAATGTTATGTTCTTTGCCAAACACTTCATGAAGCATTCTTCCCTGGCAACCACCATTGCACTCTCTGCGTTTATGCGTTCAGCTTTTTTAGATTCTACCTATGAGATGATACGATATTTGTCTCTCTGTGCCTGGTTCATTTCACTTCACATTGTATCTTTCAGTCCCACCCATGTTGCTGCAAATGGTAGGATTTCCTTTTTCATGGCTGCATACCATTCCATTGTGTGTCTATGCCACATTCGCTTGATGCACTTATCTGTTGATTGAACATGGGTTGATTCTATATCTTGGAAACTATTAGTAGTGCTGCAGTGCACAGGGGGTGCAGGTATGCCATTGATGGGCAGATTTCCTTTCCTTTGGGTACACACCGAGCGGTGGGATGACTGGATCCTGCACAACATTCTTTGCTCTGATGTTTTGCAGGCCAATGGCTGGACCTTAGGGAACGTCTTCACTTTGTACAAGGTGGGGGTCCCTTGGCCACATTCTTAGGGAACGTCTGCAGTGTGTACACGATGTTGGTCTCTTGACCACATGCTTAGGAAACATCTTCAGTGTGTAGCTGGCAGCAGTCCCTTAGCCACATTCTTCCCGAATGTCTTCAGTGTGTACACGGTGGCAGTCCCTAGTCCTAATTCTTCGGGAATGTCTTTAGTGTGTACATGGCGGCAGTCCCTTGGCCGCATTCTTAGGGAACGTCTTCAGTGTGCACACTGCGGTGGTCCCTTAGCCACAAGCTTAGGGAATGTCTTCAGTTTGTACTTGGTGGCGGTCCCTTGGCTACATGCTTACGGAACATATTCCCTGCCGTCTCTTGGCTGCTTTCTTAGGGAACGTCTTCAGTGTGTACATGGTGGTGGTCCCTTAGCCACAAGCTTAGGGAACGTCTTCAGTGTGCACACCGTGGCTGTCCCTTGGGCCACATGCTTAGGGAACGTCTTCAGTGTGTACATGGTGGCAGTCCCTTGGCCACATTCTTAGGGAACGTCTTCAGTGTGTACAGGGCGGCAGTCCTTTAACCACATGCTTAGGGGAACCATCTTCAGCATGTCCACGGTGGCGGTTCTTTTGCGGCATTCTTAGGGGATGTCTTCAGTGTGTACATGGCGGCTGTCCCTTAGCCACAGGCTTAGGGAACGTCTTCAGTGTTTACATGGTGGCGGTCCCTTGGCCACATGCCTAGGGAATGTCTTGAGTGCTGTCCCTTGGCTGCATCTTAGGGAATGTCTTCAGTGTGTAAATGGTAGCAGTCCCTTAGCCACATGCTTAGGGAACGTCTTCAGTGTGCACACAGCAGAGGTCCCTTGCGCCACATACTTAGGGAACGTCTTCAGTGTGTACATGGTGGTGGTCCCTTGGCCACATCCTTAGGGAACATCTTCAGTTTCTACACAGTGGCCATCCCGCTGCCACATTCTTAGGGAACGTCTTCAGTGCCTACATGGTGGTGGTCCCTTGGCCACATTCTTAGGGATCATCTTCAGTGTGGACCCTTGGCCACATTCTTAGAAAACGTCTTCAGTTCATACATGGGGACGATCCCTTGGCCACTTTCTTCTGAGTGTCTGTGTCATTTGCTCCCTGTAAGCTGCTTTTATTTCTTCATTGGGTGTCTCTATCATGTGGAATCCCACTCATCTGTCACCACCCATCCCAGGCACAGTGAGAGACACAGCCAGCCTGCTCCTCTCTGCACGTGGCCATCTCAGACATTCTCCAGCCACTGTCCTGACCCCATTCATTCCTTCTCCTGCACGGTCCACATCCTTCTTTCCCTACACCCTTGCTACCAAGAAATGGTCTGAATCACAGCCAAAGTTTCATTTGCTTTCTGGAACAGCAGCTCCCCAGCCGCACTCAGATCAGAGATTCAGAACCTGAATCTTCGGATTTCTGGAGATGCCCCCATCCCATCAGAGACTTCTAGTGTGTTTCTTTATATTCGTGTAGACTTGGGAGGATGACAGGAGAGAAACCTTAGAAGGTGGCCTGTGCAGTTCCAGGGCCCAGGGTGGAAGGGGCTTGCATCCCTGGCTGCCTTTGTGCACCTTTCATTCTTCATCCAGCTGTTTTTTTTTTTTTTTTTTGAAGAGGAGTCTTGCTGTGTCCCCCAGGCTGGAGTGCAGTGCTGTGATGTCAGCTCACTGCAACCTCCGCCTCCTGTGTTCAAGCCATTCTCCTGCCACAGCCTCCCGAGTAGCTGGGATTACAGGCACCTGCCACCACACATGGCTAATCTTTGTATTTTTAGTAGAGATGGGGTTTCATCATGTTGGCCAGGCTGGTCTTGAACTCCTGACCTCAGGTGATCCACCTGCCTCAGCCTCCCAAAGTTCTGGGATAACAGGCATGAGCCACTGCGCCCGGCCGCACCCTTCATTCTTGATTCACCTGGTTACAAACTCGCAGATAAACTGTTTCTACCTGTGACAAATGAGTCATCCATCTTCCATGTGGTGTCGACTTTGTCCCTGTTATAATATTCCTGTCTCTTGTTCTGGTTTTTGGCGTCCCGCACATTGTCCCTGTTACAGTCGTGTCTCTTGTTTCTGGGGTCACCCCTGTGGTGAGTTGACTGTGCCCTGTTCCTGAGGCTGGTGAGGATGCTGTGGACACCTTAATCACGGCTGTGAACAAACTGGCTAAAGCTAGGCACCATGGAGCTTTGCAGTGGATGCTAAGTCGTGGTACCCATTCTTTGATCAGTGACGGAGCCAGGTGTCTTATTAAGTCTCGGGGATTTGTGGAAGCCCAGAGCAGGCATGCACCTTCTACATTGAAAGGAATCCTTTTGACACTCAACGTTGGTGTCGTGAAGTCCTGCCTCTGGAAATCCCTGATTTCCTAAGACACTAATCTAACATTTTAAAAGAGTTAAAAAAAAATCAGTAAAATGTTCCCCATAGAAGCATGCAGTGTTTTGTGTGTGCTTTTTATTGTTTTTTTTTTTTTTTTTTTTGAGACGAAGTTTTGTTCTTGTCGCCAAGGCTGGAGTGCAGTAGCACAATCTCGGCTCACTGCAACCTCCGTCTCCAGGGTTCACGGGATTCTCCCGCATCAGCCTGTCACGTAGCTGGGATTATAGGTGTGTGCCACCATGCCCGACTAATTTTGTATTTTTAGTAGTGACAGGGTTTCATCATGTTGGTCAGGGTGGTCTCGAACTCCTGGCCTCAAGTGATCCACCCGCCTTGCCCTCCCAAAGTGCTGGGATTAGGAATCACTGCTCCCGGCCTACTTGTTTTTACTTTTATTTCAGGTTGAGGGGCACATGCGCAGGTTCGTTACACGGGTAAATTGCATGTCCTGGGGGTTTAGTGTAGAGATTATTTCATCAACCAGGTAATAAGCCTACTACCACCTGATAGGTAATTTTTCAATCCTCTCGTTTGTCCCACCCTCCACCTTCCAGCAGGCCCCGGAGTCTGATCCCTTCTTTATATCCACGGGTACCCAATGCTTACCTACCACTTATCAGTGAGAACAGGAGGTATTTTGTCTTCTGTTGCTGTGTAAGTTTGCTAAGGATAATGGCCTCCACCTCCATGCAGGTTCCTGCAAAGGACATCATCCCGTTTTTTTTTTTTTGAGATGGGGTTTCCCTCTTGTTGCCCAGGCTGGAGTTCAATTGTGTGATCTTGACTCACCGCAACCTCTGGCTCCCGGGTTCCAGTGATTCTCCTGCCTTAGCCTTCTGAGTAGCTGAGATTACAGGTGCATGCCACCACGCCCAGCTAATTTTGTGTTTTTAGTAGAGACAGGGTTTCTCCATGTTGGACAGGCTGGTCTTGAACTCCGGACCTCAGGTAATCCACCCGCCTCGGCCTCCCAAATTTCTGAGATTACAGGCGTGAGCCACCACGCCCAACCAATCCCATTCTTTTTCATGGGTGCATAGTATTCCATAGTGTATATGCTCCCACCTTTCTTTATCCAGTCTACATGACGTCGTTTTGAGGTATGGATGAAATGATTTGCATAAAAACAGTGAATGCTTTCTATTAGAATGGTGTTGGCCTTTCTGGGAAACCGTGGAGTCATTCCAATTGCAATTTCCTAGTAGATTTGATTGGTTAATAGAATTGGGAATTTTTGGGGTGCCTGATGCACACTATTGGAGATCTTTTTTCACAGTGTAGAAATCTCAACATGAATATGTCTTTTTTTTTTTTTGAGACGGAGTTTCTCTCTTGTTGCCCAGGCCGGAGTGCAATAGCTCAATCTCGGCTCACTGCAGCCAACATCTCCCGGGTTGAAGCAATTCTCCTGCCTCAGCCTCCTGAGTAGCTGGGATTACAGGTGCCTGCCACCACACCTGGCTAATTTTTGTATTTTTAGTAGACACAGCGTTTCAGCATATTGGTCAGGCTGGTCTGGAACTCCTGACCTCAGGTGATCCACCCGCCTCAGCCTCCCAAAGTGCTGGGATGACAGGCGTGAGTCACAGCGCCCGGCCCAGTGTGGATACACCTTGAGCACATAACTGGAATCCTTTCCTTGGAAACTTGGAACCCCTTGTGTCATGGTCATATAAACTGTGTTGAATTAAGAGGAGACACTGTTAAATATATCACAGCTGTCCTCGAAACTGGGACTTGTTTTGCTTTCTGCCTGGAAATGCAAGTCATTTTTATAGAAAATTTATTTTTCGTTAACAAAAAATAATTGTATACATATATATGGTACAATGTAATGTTTTAATCCAAGTACACATTGTGCAATGATTAAATCAAGCTAGTTACCATATTAACAATAAAGTTAATTAACATATTAAAATAAAGCTAATAACGTATTAACCAAGCTAATTAACATATTAACAATCAAGCTAATTAACATATTCACATAATCCTAACTCTGACCTATATCACCTCACCTAGTTTTTTTTGTGGGGAGAATATGTCAAATCTACTTTTAGTCATTGTGAAAGACGCGATGTATTATTAACTATCATCACTGTGGTGTGATAGATCTTGGAATTTATTTGTTTTATCTAACTGAAAAAAATTAATTTTAATGTAATTTATGTATTTTTTGAGACAGTCTCACCCTATAGCCAGGCTGGAGTACAGCATCATGTTCATAGCTCTCGGCAGCCTCCAAGTCATGGCTCAGGTGACCCTCCCACCTCAGCCTCCCAGGTAGCTGGGAGTACAGGTGCACACCACCACACCTGGTTAATTTTTAAATTTTTTGTAGAGATGGTGTCTTGCTATGTTGCTCAGGCTGGTCTTGAATTCCTGGGCTGAAGCGATCCTCCTGCCTCAGCCTCCCATGTAGCTGGGAGTACAGGTGCATGCCACCATACCCAGCTAATTTTTTGTTTTTTTTTTTTAGAGATGGGGTTTCATTCTGTTGCCCAGGCTTATCTCAAACTCCTGGCCTCAAGTGATCCTCCTTCCTCAGCCTTCCATAGCATTGTGATTCCAGACATGAGCCACCGCTTTTGGCCAGCAACTGAAATTTTGTGTTCTTTGACAAACACTTCAGCATTCTTTGCTGGCAACAACCATTGTACCCTCTGCATTTATGTGTTCAGCTTTTTTATATTCTACATATGCGATGATATGGTATTTGTCTCTCTGTGCCTGTTTCATTTCACTTCACCTTGTATCTTCCAGTCCCATCCATGTTGCTGCAAATGACAGGATTTCCTTTTTCATGGCTCCATACTATTCCAGTGTGTGTCTATGCCACATTTGTTTGATGCACTCATCTGTTGATTGACACATGGGTTTATTCCGTCTCTTGGAAACTGAGTAGTGCTGCAGTGCACAGTGGGGCAGGTATCCCATTGATGGGTACACACCCAGTGGTGGGATGACTAGATCCTGTACACCATTCTTTCCTCTGATGTTTCGCAGGCCCATGACTGGACCTTTGGAACGTCTTCACTGTGTACAAGGTGGTGGTCCCTTGGCCACATTCTTAGGGAACGTCTTCAATGTGTACATGACGGCCGTCCCTTGGCCACATGCTCAGGGAACATATTCAGTGTGTACTTGGCAGTGGTCCCTTAGCCACATTATTAGGGAATGTCTTCCGCGCGTACACAGTGGCAGTCCGTTGGCCGCATGCGTAGGGAACGTCATCAGTGCGGTCCATTGGCCACATGCTTAGGGAACATCTTCAGTGTGTACATGGTGGTCTCTTGGCCACATTCTTCGGGAACGTCTTCACTGTGTACATGGCGGAGGTCCCTTGGGCGCATGGTTAGGGAACGTCTTCAGTGTGTACATGGCGGAGGTCCCTTATCCACATTCGTAGGGAATGTCTTCAATGTGTACACGGTGGCAGTCCCTTGGCTACATGCTTAGGGAACATCTTCAGTGCGGTCCCTTGACCACATGCCTAGGGAACGTCTTCAGTGCCGTCCCTTGGCTGCATTCTTAGGGAACGTCTTCAGTGTGTACATGGTGGTGGTCCCTTAGCCACCTGCTTAGGGAACGTCTTCAATGTGCACATGGCAGCAGTCCCTTGGCCACATTTTTTGGGAACATCTTCAGTGTGTACATGGCGGCGGTCCCTTAGCCACATTCTTAGGGAATGTCTTCAGTGTGTACACGGCGGCAGTCCCTTGGCCGTATGCTTAGTGAACGTCTTCAGTGAGTACATGGCGGCGATCCCTTAGTCACCTGCTTAGTGAACATCTTCAGTGTGTATATGGCGGCAGTCCCTTAACCACATACTTAGGGAACGTCTTCAGTGTGTACATGGCAGTGGTGCCTTAGCCACATACTTAGGGAATGTCTTCAATGTGTACATGGCAGTGGTTTCTTAGCCACATGCCTAGGGAACGTCTTCAGTGTTGTCTTTTAGTTGCATTCTTAGGGAGCGTCTTCAGTGTGTACACGGCAGCAGTCCCTTGGCCGCATTCTTAGGGAACCTTTTCAGTTCATACACAGTGGCGGTCCCTTGGCAACATTCTTCTGAGTGTCAGTGTCTGTCTGTGTCCTTTTCACCCTGTAAGCTGCTTTTGTTTCTTCACTGGGTGTCTCTGACTCTCATGTGGAATCCCATTTCTCTGTCACCGCCTGTCCCAGGCACAGTGAGAGACGCAGCCAGCCTGCTCCTCTCTGCACGTGGCCGTCTCAGACATTCTCCAGCCACCGTCCTGACCGAATTCATTCCTTCCCCTGCCCCGTCCACATTCTTCTTCCCCTACACGCTTGCTACCAAGAAATGGTCTGAATCACAGCCAAGGCTTCATTTGCTTTCTGGAACTGCAGCTCCCAGCCCCACCCAGATCAGAGGTTCAGAACCTGAATCTTCGGATTTCTGGAGATGCCCCCATCCTATCAGAGGCTTCTAGTGTGTTTCTTTATATTCGTGTAGACTTGGGAGGATGACAGGAAAGAAACCTTTGAAGGTGGCCTGTGCAGTTCCAGGGCCCAGGGTGGAAGGGGCTTGCATCCCTGGCTGCCTTTGTGCACCTTTCATTCTTGATGCAACTTTTTTTTTTTTTTTTTTAAAGATGGAGTCTTGCTGTATTGCCCAGGCTGGAGTGCAGTGCTGTGATCTCAGCTCACTGCACCCTCCGCCTCCCGGGTTCAAGCGATTCTCCTGCCACAGCCTCCTGAGTAGGGAGCTGCTAAAATAAAATACCTTCAGTTGGGTAATTTATAAACTACAGACATTTGTCACTCACAGTTCTAAAGGTTGGAGGTTTAAGATCGTGGCGGATTCAGTGTCTGGTGGGGACCCACTTCCTGGTTCATAGATGATGCATTTTCTCTGCGTGGAAGGGGCGAGGGAGCTCTCTGGGGTCCCTTTTATAAGGACACTGATCCCATTCATGAGGCTCGATCCCCATGATCTCATCACCTCCCAAGTCTCCCACCTCCTGACTCCATTGTCTTAGGGGTGAGGATTTCAATGCAGGAATTTGGGGGAGGAATACAAACTTTCAGACTATATATAGCAAATACCATTCTTTAAAAACATACAGTAATAGTTAAGCTTTTTTTTTTTTTAATTTGATAAATTTTCCAAGAAGGAGGAGACACAGAAACCCTCCTTGCTTTGAAGGTGAATGTTAGTGCTGTAAAATATACGTGGGACTTGGGCTTATAAAATCTTGGTCACGGTAAAATATAGGTGGTACGCAGAACCTGGGAAAGCCCACCTTTCCTTTTTCTGACATGTAACTTTTGTGGAAATTGCCTAAAATTGTTTATAGTTAGCTCTTCAGTCCTGTGTCCAACCCAGCATGTCCGATACTATCTAACATTCTTTTTTTTTGAGACAGAGTTTTGCTCTTGTTGCCAAGCCTGGAGTACAGTGACGCGATCTTGGCTCGCTGCAACCTTCACCTCCCGGGTTCGAGCGATTCTCCTGTCTCAGCCTCCTGAGTAGTTTGGATTACTAAATTTTATATAAATGTTGTGTCAAGAAATAATATTGCTCTTTTGACTTTTTTTCCCTAAGCATTGAGAAATTCAGAAAAAACATTTATAAACATAAACACTGTTCTTGACAAGTGGGCCTTCCAAAAATAAGGGCTGGAGTTTGTTGAAACTGCTCTACTGTGTTTTATTTATTTATTTATTTATTGGTACTTTTTTCCTTTTTTTTTTGAGGCACTAATTGGAATGCACTTATTTGTCCTGGGTGGAGAAACAATTCAGATCTAACACTGGGGGCTCTGTGTTTCCTTAGGTAACGCATGTGAGGTTTTCGTCAGTGTAATTCGGTAATCTGTGTTAGTATTATTACAAAAGAGCAGGGGGGCATTTGTGTCTTCTCAGAATTGCTTATTAAAACAGCTGCATGGCCAGGCGTGGTGGCTCACGCCCGTAATCCCAGCACTTTAGGCCGGTGGATCGCTTGAGTACAGGAGATTGAGACCAGCCTGGGCAACATGGCCAAACTCCATCTCTACTAAAAATAGAAAAAATTAGTATGTGCTTATATTCCCAGCTACTCAGGAGGCAGAGGTGGGAGGATCACTTGAGTGTGGGAGTTGGAGGCTGCAGTGAGCTGTGACCACAGCCTGGGCAACCAAGCGAGAGGTGCTGTGTCTAAAAATACAAACATAAAAATTAGCCAAATGTGGTGGCACGCGTGTGTGGTCACAGCTACTTGGGAGGCTGAGGCTGAAGGATCGCCTGAGCCCAAGGAGGTTGAGGCTGCAGTGAGCTAGCATCATGCCACTGCACTCCAGGTTGGGCAATCGCCTGGGTGTGACCCTGTCTCAACCACAATAAATTTAAAAAGATAGGAAATTTCAATATGAAAATCAGTGTCCCCCAGAATGTTCCATTTCTTCCCAGCTGGGCTATTTTTGGAGTTCTATGGGGAGCTGTCTCAGTGCACCTTGCATGTACTCAGGAGGATGAGCCCTGCCATGGTGTGTGTTAGGGGACAGCCTGATCTCACCAACCCTCCTGAGCAGGCCCGGCCCTCCGAGTAATAACTGGGAACACTCGCCGCTTTGTGAGATGACCTCGTGTGATCATTTGAAGGTCGTCTCTTCTGGTCAGGGTGCAGAGTGGACACATTTTTTTTTTTTTTTGAGACAGAGTTTTACTCTTGTTGCCCAGGCTGGAGTGCAGTGGTGCGATCTTAGCTCACTGCAACCTCCACCTCCTGGGTTCAAGCCATTCTCCTGTCTCAGCCTCCTGAGTAGCTGGCATTACAGGCGCCCGCCACCACACCCAGCTAATTTTTGTATTTTTAGTAGAGATGGGGTTTCAGCATATTGGTCAGGCCAGTCTGGAACTCCTGACCTCAGGTGATCCACCCGCCTCAGCCTCCCAAAGTGCTGGGATGACAGGCGTGAGCCACCGCGCCCGGCCCAGTGTGGATACACCTTGAGCACATAACTGGAATCCTTTCCTTGGAAACTTGGAACCCCTTGTGTCATGGTCGTGTAAACTGTGTTGAATTAAGAAGAGACACCATTAAATATGTCACAGCTGTCCTCAAAACTGGGACTTGTTTTGCTTTCTGCCTGGAAATGCGAGTCATTTTTATAGAAAATGTATTGTTCATTAACAAAAAATAATCGTATACATATATATGAGGTACGTGATGTTTTAATCCAAGTACACATTGTGCGGTGATTAAATCAAGCTAGATACTATATTAACAATCAAGTCAATTAACATATTAATAATCAAGCTAATAAACACATTAACAATCAAGCTAATTAACATATTAACAAGCTAATTAACATATTCACATAACCTTAACTCTAACCTATATCACCTCACCTACTTTTTTTTGTGGTCAGAATATGTAAAATCTACTTTTAGTCATTTTGAAAGATGCGATGTATTATTAACTATGATCACTGTGGTGTGATAGATCTTTGAATTTATTTCTTTTATGTAACTGAAAAAATTTAATTTTAATGTAATTTATATTTTTTTGAGACAGTCTCACCCTATCACCCACGGTGGAGTGCAGCGTCATGTTCATAGCTCACTGCAGCCTCCAACTCCTGGCTCAGGTGACCCTCCTGAGCCTCCCAGGTAGCTGGGACTACAGGTGCACACCACCACACCTGGTTAATTTTTAAATTTTTTATGTAGATGGGATCTTGCTATGTTGCTCAGGCTGGTCTTGAATTCCTGGGCTGAAGTGATCCTCCTGCCTCAGCCTCCCAAGTAGCTGGGACTACAGGTGCATGCCACCATACCCAGCTAATTTTTTTGTTTTTGTTTTTTTTTTAGAGATGGGGTTTCATTACGTTGCCCAGGCTTGTCTCAAACTTCTGGCCTTCAGTGGTCCTCCTTCCTCAGCCTTCCATAGCATTGTGATTCCGGACATAAGCCACCGCTCCTGGCCTCCAACTGAAATGTTATGTTCTTTGACAAACACTTCATGAAGCATTCTTCCCTGGCAACCACCATTGCACTCTCTGCTTTTATGCATTCAGCTTTTTTAGATTCTACATACGAGATGATATGGTATTCTCTCTGTGCCTGGTTTATTTCACTTCACATTGTATTTTCCAGTCCCATCCATGTTGTTGCAAATGGCAGGATTTCCTTTTTCATGGCTGCATACTATTCCACTGTGTGTCTATGCCACATTTGCTTGAGGCACTCATGTGTTGATTGACACATGGGTTGATTCTATATCTTGGAAACTGTGAGTAGTGCTGCAGTGCACAGGGGGTGCAGGTATCCCGTTGATGGGCTGATTTCCTTTCCTTTGGGTACACACCTTATGGTGGAATAACTGGATCCTGCACATCATTCTTTCCTGTGATGTTTCACAGGCCCATGACTGAACCTTGGGGAATGTCTTTACTGTGTACAAGGTGGCGGTCCCTTGGTCATATTCTTTGGAAACATCTTCAGTGTGTATACGGCGTTGGTCCCTTGGTCACATGCTTGGGAACATCTTCAGTGTGTACATGGCAGCAGTCCCTTAGCCACATTCTTAGTGAATGTCTTCAGTGTGTACACGGTGGCAGTCCCTTGGCTGCATGCTTAGGGAACGTCTTCAGTGGTGTTCCTTGGCCACATTCTTAGGGAATATCTTCAGTGTGTACACGGTTTGTGTACAGGGCGGTGGTCCCTTAGCCACAAGCTTAGGGAACGTCTTCAGTGCTGTTCCTTGGCCACATTCTTAGGGAATATCTTCAGTGTGTACACGGTTTGTGTACAGGGCGGTGGTCCCTTAGCCACATGCTTAGGGAATGTCTTCAGTGTGTACCCGTGGCGGTCCCTTGGCCTCATGCCTAGGGAATGTCTTCAGTGCCGTCCCTTGGCTGCATTCTTAGGGAATGTCTTTAGTGCGTACATGGCTTCAGTGCGTACATGGCGGCGGCCCCTCAGCCACATACATAGCTAACATGTTCAGTGTGTACACTGCAACGGTCCCTTGGCCCCATTCTTTGGGAACATCTTCCTTGCGGTCCCTTGGCTGCTTTCTTAGGGAATGTCTTCAGTGCCTACACAGTGGCAGTCCCTTGTCCACATTCTTAGGGAACGTCTTCTTCTGTACATGGTGTCGATCCCTTGGCCACATTCTTAGGGAACATCTTCAGTGAGTACATGGCGGTGGTCCCTTGGCCACATTTTTAGGGAACTTCTTCAGTGTGTACATGGCTACCGTCCCTTAGCCCATGCTTAGGGAATGTCTTCAGTGTGTACATGGAGGTGGTCCCTTGGCCGCATTCTTAGGGACCGTCTTCAGTGTGTACATGGCGGTGGTCTCTTGGCCGCATTGTTAGGGACCATCTTCAGTGTGTACATGGCGGTGGTCCCTTAGCCACAAGCCTCGAGACCGTCTTCAGTGTGTACACAGCTGTCGTCCCTTGGGCCACATGCTTAGGGAACGTCTGCAGTGTGTACACGGTGGCGGTCCCTTGGCCACATTCTTAGGGAACGTCTTCAGTGAGGTCCCTTGGCCACATGCTTAGGGAATGTCTTCAGTGCCTACACAGCGGCAGTCCCCTGTCCACATTCTTAGGGAACGTCTTCAGTTTGTACATGGTGTGGGTCCCTTGGCCACATTCTTAGGGAACATTTTTAGTGTGTACATGGCGGCAGTCCCTTAGCCACATTCTTAGGGAATGTCTTTAGTGTGTACATGGTGGTAGTCCCTTGGCCGCACACTTCTGGAACGTCTTCAGTGCGGTCCCTTTGCCACGTTCTTCGGGAACATCTTCAGTGTGTACATGATGGCGGTCCCTTAGCCACAAACTTAGGGAATGTCTTTAGTGAATACACAGCAGCGGTCCCTTGGCTGCATTCTTAGGGAACGTCTTCAGTGCGGTCCCTTGACCACATTCTTAGGAAATGTGTTCAGTGTGTACATGGCGTCGGTCCCTTGGCCACATTCTTAGGGAACATCTTCAGTGTGTACATGGCGGAGTCCCTTAGCCACATGCTTAGGGAACGTCCTCAGTGTGTACACGGTGGCAGTCCCTTGGCCACATGCCTAGAGAACATCTTCAGTGCTGTTCCTTTGCTGCATTCTTAGGGAATGTTTTCAGTGTGTACACGGTGGCAGTCCCTTGGCTGCATGCTTAGGGAACGTCTTCAGGGTGGTCCCTTGGCCACATTGTTAGGGAACATCTTCAGTGTGTACATGGCGGTGGTCCCTTGGCCGCATTCTTAGGGAACCTCTTCCTTGTGTACAGGGCAGCGGTCCCTTGGCCGCATTCTTAGGGAAAGTCTTCAGTGTGCCCACGGCAGCGGTCCCTTGGGGGTGAGGATTTCAACGCAGGAATTTGGGGGAGGAACACAAACTTTCAGATAGTAGCAAATACCATTCTTTAAAAAAATACAGTAATGGTTAAGCTTTTTTTTTTCTTGATTGATAAATTTTCCAAGAAGGAGGAGTCAAAGAAACGCTCCTTGTTTTGAAGGTGAAGGTTAGTGCTGTGAAATACACATAGGACGTGGGCTTATATAAAAATCCTGGTCACGGCAAAATATAGGTGGTACGCAGTTCCTGGGAAAGCCCACCTTTCCTTTTTCTGACATGCAACTTTTTCGGAAATTGCCTAAAAGTTGTTTATAGTTAGCCCTTTTCGGCCCTGTGTCCAACCCAGCGTGTCCGGTACTATCTAATGTTCTTTGTTTTTGAGACGGAATTCCACTCTTGTTGCCCAGGCTGGAGTGCAGTGGTGCGATCTTGGCTCACTGTAACCTCTACCTCCTGGGTTCAAGCAATTCCCCCGCCTCAGCCTCCTGAGTAGCTGGGATTACCGGTGTCCGCCACCAGGCCCAGCTAATTTTTGTATTTTTAGTAGAGACGGGGTTTCTCCATGTTGGCCAGGCTGGTCTCGAACTCCTGACCTCAGGTGATCTGCCCGCCTCGGCCTCCCAAAGTGCTGGGATTACAGGTGTGAGCTACTCCGCCCAGCCTAATTTTTTATTATTTTTAATTTTTAACATTTTTTTTTTGGAGACTGGGTCTTGCTGTGTCCCACAGGCTAGAGTGCAGTGGCATGATCATGGCTCACTGCAGCTTTGACCTCCTGGACTCAAGCCATGCTCCCACCTCAGCCTCATGATAGCTGGGACTCCAGGTGTGTGCCATCATGCCCAGGCAAGTTTTTAAAAAAATTATTTGTAGAGATGGCGTCTCACTATGTTTCCCAGGTTCGTCTGGAACTCTGGGCCTCAATGGATCTTCCCACCTGGGCCTCCCAGAGTGCTGGGATTACAGGCATGGGGCACAGTGCCCAGTCCCTCATGTGTGTAATTGTTCAACAGCTAGAGAAACCCAAACACATACCCTCAGACACTGTCCCGTCTGCCGCCCAGGTCTCCTCACCTGCATGGTTTGCTGTTGCCACTTGATTTAATGGAGGGCATAATGAATGACCCTTAAACACGGCCTCTAAGAGTCCTCGTAAGTGCCTTCCTCATTAAAATTCAAGAGGAATCAAATACCTGTTACTGAATATAAATGTTTAGAGGAGAAAGCCTGTGAGCTGAGAGTCATATCTTAAGGGGTGTGTGCTTGCAGAATTATCACATTTTCAATTTCATGTGTGAATAAATTGTTGTATTTGGGATCACCAAGAAGGCAGAAACATGTATCAATGAAATTTAGTAGACGGCTAAAAACAAACAGTAGCAGCCTACTGAGGGGCTGTGGAATAAGCAGATTTTAGATTTTTAGAGGGAAAACGGTGATGGTAGGTTATTTCCCCAATGGCTTCCAGGCCTCCAACTCAGGCTTGGAATTGGCCATGGTCATTGGCCCTTTTTTTTTTTTTTTTTCTTTTTGAGACGGAGTCTCGCTCTGTCGCCCAGGCTGGAGTGCAGGGTGTGATCTCAGCTCACTGCAAGCTCCACCTCCCGGGTTCACGCCATTCTCCTGCCTCAGCCTCCCGAGTAGCTGGGACTACAGGCTTCCGCCACCACACCCGGCTAATTTTTTGTATTTTTAGTAGAGATGGGGTTTCACTGTGTTGGCCAGGATGGTCTCGATATCCTGACCTCGTGATCTGCCCGCCTCGGCCTCCCAAAGTGCTGGGATTACAGGCGTGAGCTACCGTGCCCGGCCCATTGGCTCTTTTTTTTACCATCTCATCTTCTCTCACACGAGTTATTCTCACTGTTGGAAAGAACTTGTCCTTAAAGCATTGCTTCCAGGTGAGTGTAACGGTGCCCAGCATGTGATACAAGTTAAAAATAAGAGCAGAGCCCAAATGCTGTCATTGCTTGATCCATCATTTCCCCTGTCATGCAGCTCATTTGAGTAACAGGGTCTCGTTTCGGGGTGCTGTGTCCGGAGAGGCAGAACTCCCCTTGGAGAATGGGTAGAGAATGTACATCACTTGCCAAGTATGGTGGTTTTGCATGCTGCCTTGACTGGACTTGTTTGCCTTTGGTTTTCTGTAAGAATCTTAGGATATCTGCCCAGGAGTTAGACCCCTGGGCTAAAGTAAGGTTGAGGGCCAGCCACGGTGGCTGGTGCCTGTAATCCCTGGACTTTCGGAGGCTGATGTGGGAAAATCACTTGAGTCCAGGAGTTTAAGAGGAGCATGGGCAACGCAGTGAGACCCCCGTCTATATAAAATTTAAAAAAAATTAGCTGGACATGGTGGTGTGCATCTGCTCCCAGCTACTTTGGAGGCTGAGGTGGGAGGATCACTGGAGCCCAGGAGGTGGAGGCTGCAGTGAGCCATGATCACACCACTGCACTACAGCTTGGGTGACAGAGCCAGACCCTGTCTCTACGAAACACAAATAAAAAGTAAAATGAGGTTGAGAAACTCCGCCTCCCTCTTGATTTCAAGGTAATACTCAGCTTCTAGATTGACACACACACAAGTCATTGTCTTATCATAGTGACATGTGACGGAACACGCACGTGTCTGGTGACAGATGGTGCATTGAGGGGAACATTCCTTAAGCTGTGTTTCCTTGGGGAAAGAGGCAATAGCATTCTCTGTTAGTACAGAACCCTTCAGTTTGTACAAATGTCTTCGGAAAGGGAATATTCCTGAGAGCTTCTACGTGGCAGTTAACAAGTCACACTTTTCATCTCAGATGTCTCAATTTCCAGAAGATGGTACTTGATTACATTTCCTGGGGTTCTTGTTTCTAGGAAATCGCGGCTGGGTTTTTCTAGAAATAATGCAGTGATTTGGGGACCTGTGGCACTGGGAAGGGTATGATCTCAGGCACAGGACTGCAAAGACACGTTGTTTACCGGCCAGCATGATAACTAGGCGTGACGCTGATGGCCAGTGTGTTGCATACGTACTGGGCTTTATTATCCATACCTGGATGGAACTGAATATATATATATACACACACACATAGACACCCATAATATATTATACAATGTAATTATATATCATCATATATCATATATATTATAATATATACAGTTGACCTTTGAACAACACAGGTGTAAACTCCATAGGTCCATTTATATGTGGATTTTCTGCCACCTCTGCCACCCCCGAGACAGCAAGAACAACCCTTTTTGTTCCTCCTCCTCCTCCTCAGCTTCTTCAGCATGGAGACGATGAGGATGGAGACCTTTAGGATGATCCACTTCCACTCGATGAGTAGTACATATGTTTTCTCTTCCTTAAGATTTTCTTAATAGCATTTTCTTTTCTCTAGCTTACTTTACTGTAAGAATGCAGTATATAATACATAGAAACACAAAATAAATACAAACATGTGTTGAGAATGTAGTATATAATATATATAAATACAAAATACATGTTGATTGACAGTGGCATGATCTCAGCTCACTGCAACCTCTGCCTTCTGGGTTCAAGCAATTCTTCTGCCTCAGCCTCCCAAATAGCTGGGCCTACAGGCGCACGCCACCACACCCAGCTAATTTTTTTTGTATTTTTAGTAAAGACGGAGTTTCACCATGTTGGCCAGGCTGGTCTTGAACTCCTGACCTCGTGATCCACCTGCCTCAGCCTCCCAAAGTGCTGAGATTACAGGCGTCAACCACTGTGCCCAGCCGTGTGAGTCTTTATGGTAGAACAATTTATATTCCTCTGGGTGTGTACCCAATAATGAGATTTTCAGTAGACTTTGAGTGAAGCCGATAGCTGTTCATAATGTGGGTGGGCCTTGCCTAATCAGTGGAAGGTCTTAAGAGGTAAAAAGAGTCCCTCCTCCAAGGAAGAGGGAATTCTATCTGGAATCCACCTTCAGACTTGAGCTGCGACATCATGTCTCCATGGGCATCTGGCCTGCTGGTCTACCCTGCACATTTTGGTTTTGCCCCTCCCCCACATCTTGGGAGCCAGTTCTTTAAAATCTCTTTCTCTCTATATATATATCCTACTGGTTGTTTCTCTGCAGAACTGTCACTCATGCAGATCTGTGTCCACAGATGACATCATTGCAAAGCCACTAAGAGAGACATAGCATCCAGGGAATGGAAGGACCAGGTTCCTTTCAGACTTGAAGACACGTCAAAACACATTCCACCGCGTTGCCTTGGAGAACCCAGGGACCAGGCCTCTTCCCCTCCTGTCAAATAGTCCTTAGCCTTTGTTCTTCTTGCTCCTTGTGAATTTCACAGGCTTCCTTGACTTTGAATTCTGCTCCTTGGATGTCTTTGTTGGTGAACGTGATGAGATAGAATTTTGGAAAGCTCCGAGGTGTGATCATTGCACCCTGGGACTGACACGTGCTCCGTCTTCACTGAAGACAGCCGGAAGCCGTGGTGTTCCAGAACTTGAATGTGGCTGTGGAAACTAGAGTGTCCATGCATCCTGGGCGGTAGCTACTGGTGCCGTCTGCGTCGTCTGTAGCTCCTCATTGCTGATTCTCATTCGGCTGCCTCAGTCAGGACAGGGCTGGTTACAGCGTTGCTCTTCATGCTGTTCAAGTCAGGGTGATCTACAGGGACAGAACGAATAGGACTGATGTGTATATGAAGGGGAGTTTACTAGGATAATTGACTCACACGATCACAAGGTGAAGTCCCACAATAGGCCGTCTGCAAGCTGAGGAGCCAGGAAGCCAGTCCAAGGCCCAAAACCTCAAAAGTAGGCAAGCTGAGAGTGCGGCCTTCAGTCTGTGGTCGAAGGTCCAGGAGCCCCTGGCAAATCACTGGTGTAGGTCCAACGGTCCAAAACCCAAAGACCCTGGGGTCTTGATGTTCGAGGGCAGGAAGCATCCAGCATGGGAGAAAGATGAAGGCTAGAGATCCCGCCACTGCACTCCAGCCTGGGTGACAGAGCGAGACTCCGTTTCAAAAAAAAAAAGAAAGAAAGAAAAACATTTAAAAAGCAGAAATGAGCTGGATGCGGCATCTTCTGCTTGTAATCCCAGCATTTTGGGAGGCCAAGGTGGGTGGATTGCTTGAGCCTAGGAGCTCGAAACCAGCCTGGGCAACATACGGAGACCCTGTCTCTACAAAAAAACACAAAAATTATCTGGCCATGCTGGTGCACACCTGTAGTCCCAGCTACTCAGGAGGCTGAGATGGGAGGTTTGGTTGAGCCTGGGAAGTTGAGGCTGCAGTGAGCCATGATTGCCCCACTGCACTCCAGCCTGGGTGAAAGAGTGAGACCTTGTCTCAAAAAAAAGAAAAAGAAAAAAGAACAAATAAGAAGACAGACACACCTCTCTTCTTTGTGTGGGTACAGCCGTTGGCAAACTTTGCTGACAGATGCTACTGACCTTGTTTTCCTTTCTGCATTCTGTTCATTTCAAAAGTGGGTAAATCAGAAGTGGGACTCACTGTGACCTTCAGTGACTCAATGCTGAATTCACAAGATTAATTGGAGAGTGTGAAGAATGCAGGGCATCCGTGGACCCATTTTAATGAATTTTAGCATCTCTTGCATCCTTGTATCCTTGCATCCAGTACCGGTCCCCAGCCTTTTAGTAACTGGGCTGTGCAGCAGGAGGTGAGTAGCGTGTGAGTGAGCAAAGCTTCATCTGTATTGACAGCTGCTCCCCATAGCTCATATTACCTCCTGAGCTCTGCCTCCTATGAGATCAGTGGTGGCATTAGAGTCTCATAGGAGCATGAACCCTACTGTGAACTGAACATGTGAGGGACCTAGGTGGCGTGCTCCGTATGAAAATCTAATGCCTGATGATCTGTCACTGGCTCTCATCACCCGCACGCAGATGGGACCGTCTAGTTGCAGGAAAACAAGCTCAGGGCTTCCACTGATTCTACACGATGGTGAGTTTCATAATTACTTCATTCTCTATTACAGTGTAATAATAATAGAAATAAAGTGCATGATAAATAGAATGCACTTCAATCATCCCCAAACCATCCCCCACCCCACATCAGTGGAAAAATGGTCTTCCATGAAACTGGTTCCTGGTGCCAAAAAGCTTGAGGACCACTGGACAAAGGAACTTGTCAGAGTATGGATTGAAGGTCTTTATTGATGCTTTGCTGTCACTCTTACTTTAAGATGAATGCGTATATATATGTATATACATTCTGTAATGTGTGAATATATGAAGCTCCAGCTGCTCTCTCCCTCTCTTTCCTCTGCAGTCCAATTCTCGTAGATCAGTCTTTTCCTGAAATGAATGACCTCTTAAATTTTATTTTATATTTTAAGCTTTTATGTTATTTTACTTTATTTTTAAGCTGTTTTTATTTTTTAAGCTTTTTTTTTTTTGAGACAAAAAAGTCTCGCTCTTGTCACCCAGGCTGGAGTGCAATGGCATGATCTGAGCTCACTGCAACCTCCACCTCCTGGGTTCAAAAAATTCTCCTGCCCCAGCCTCCTGAGTAGCTGGGACTACAGGCGCCAGCCACCACGCTGGGCTAATTTTTGTGTTTTTAGTAGAGACAGGGTTTTACCATGTTGGCCAGGCTGGTCTTGAACTCCTGACCTCATGATCCACCCACCTCGGCCTCTCAAAGTGTTGGGATTACAGGTGTGAGCCACCACAACTGGCCAGTTTGCAGGTCTTTGTTGATGCTTTGCTGTCAATCTTACTTTAAGACGAATGCATATATATGTATGTGTATACATTCTGTAATGTGTGAATATATGAAGCTCCACCTGCTCTCTCCTTCCCTCTCCTCTGCAGTCCAGTACTCTCCTAGATCATTCTGTTCCTGAAATGAACGACCATTTTTTTTTTTTTTATTTTGAGATGGAGTCTTGCTCTGTCCCCCAGGCTGGAGTGCAGTGGCGTGATCTCGGCTCACCGCAATGTCCGCCTCCTGGGTTCAAGCGATTCTCCTGCCTCACCCTCCTGAGGCAGGATTACAGGCGCCAGCCATCTCGCCCGGCTAATTTTTTAATTTTTAGTAGAGATGGGGTTTCACCATGTTAGTCAGGCTGGTCTCAAACTTCTGACCTCAGGTGATCAGCCCACCTTAGCCTCCCAAAGTGCTGGGATTACAGGCGTGAAGCCACTGCACGTGGCCGGTTTGCAGTCTTTATTGATGCTTTGCTGTCAATCTTACTTTAAGATGAATGCATATATATGTGTGTGTGTGTGTGTGTGTATGCATTCTGTAATGTGTAACTATATGAAGCTCCAGCTGCTCTCTCCCTCCCTCTCCTCTGCAGTCCAATACTCCTAGATCATTCTGTTCCTAAAATGAATGACCATTCAGGTTTTTTTTTTTTTTTTCTGAGATGGAGTCTCGCTCTGTCACCCAGGCTAGAGTGCAGTGGCATGATCTCGGCTCACTGCAATGCCCACCTCCCGGGTTCAAGCGATTCTCCTGCCTCGGCCTCCCAAAGTGCTGGGATTACAGGCATGAGCCACCGCGCCCGGCCAGAATTCAGTTTTTTTTTTTTCCCCATGGTTATCCAATAGCACACAGGCTCGTGAAGCCTTCAAGGTGCTTCATCTGAGGTTCGCTTAGAATGGTTGCCACATATTGTTCTGCCGGTGAGTTTTCATGAATT